>NC_000010.11:98173398-98476428 GCF_000001405.40 Homo sapiens | reverse complement strand
TAGTTACATATGTATATATGTGCCATGCTGGTGTGCTGCACCCATTAACTCGTCATTTAGCATTAGGTATATCTCCTAATGCTATCCCTCCCCTCCCCCCACCCCACAACAGTCCCCAGAGTGTGATGTTCCCCTTCCTGTGTCCATGTGTTCTCATTGTTCAATTCCCATCTATGAGTGAGAACATGCAGTGTTTGGTTTTTTGTCCTTGTGTTAGTTTACTGAGAATGATGATTTCCAATTTCATCCATGTCCCTACAAAGGACATGAACTCATCATTTTTTATGGCTGCATAGTATTCCATGGTGTATATGTGCCACATTTTCTTAATCCAGTCTATCATTGTTGGACACTTGGGTTGGTTCCAAGTCTTTGCTATTGTGAATAGTGCCGCAATAAACATACGTGTGCATGTGTCTTTATAGCAGCATGATTTATAGTCCTTTGGATATATACCCAGTAATGGGATGGCTGGGTCAAATGGTATTTCTAGTTCTAGATCCCTGAGGAATCGCCACACTGACTTCCACAATGGTTGAACTAGTTTACAGTCCCACCAACAGTGTAAAAGTGCTCAGACCCTTTTAAAAGTTCTTCTCTGAGCTACTTCTAAGACTGTCTCCCAATCACAGAATTCTAGTAAAAGCACATTTTTTTTTCCAGAAGAAGTGGGGAATTCCCTTCTGTTTTTATTATGCTCTTCTCAAAGGGATTATTAAAAACCAGCAATGACTCTAGATTTGTTTAATTTGAGGTATATAAAAATCTATATCAATAGGTTATATTCCCGCCCCATATACACAGGCACCTTCAACTCCCTCACACCTAACGGAGCCCATTCTCAGAGGGAAAGATGCCAACAAGGGAGGCTTCCCAAGGAAACTGGAAAGTATATCTCTTCATCCATTCACCAGTTCTATTGATCCTACTTTGTGTCAGACATAACTTCTTCTTCTTCAGTGATCTAATTTGCAATGACTAACTAAAATTTTAAAAGAATTATGGTCCCGGGCTGGGCACGGTGGCTCACGCCTGTAATCCCAGCATTTTGGGAGGCCGAGGCGGGGGGTCACAAGGTCAGGAGATCAAGACCATCCTGGCTAACATGGTGAAACCCCGTCTGTACTAAAAATACAAAAAAAAATTAGCCGGGCATGGTGGCGGGTGCCTGTAGTTCCAGCTACTCGGGAGGATGAGGCAGGAGAATGGCATGAACCCAGGAGGCGGAGGTTGCAGTGAGCTGAGACCGTGCCACTGCACTTCAGCCTGGGCGACAGAGCGAGACTCCGTCTCAAAAAAAAAAAAAAATAGAATTGTGGTCCCATAACTGTAAGGGCTCAAGAGTTCCAAGTAGACAAATTAGGGGGAAATTCTGAATGTAAAGTTCAATGTGAATGTTTCGGATCAGAATGTCCCTTGATCTTTCTATTGCTAGGCCATATCCTCACCTGGCTTTCAAGAGCTATTTAATGTGGGGTGTTTTGGGGTTGTTGGGGAGGGGATTCTGAGATGAATCTCAGAATCTCCTAAAGGAGCTCAGAAGAATCTCCTAAAGGAGCTCATCTCTGTCACTAGAAACAAACAACTAACAGGAAGCAGCCTGTGGGTGGTGCCATAAATAGACATGTAAAGTATTTCTGCTTTGGGGCTAATAGGTTCCATATTAATGTTTAAATTTCAGATCTGCATGAGCCTCTCCTTTAGCTGAAAAAAATCTCAAGGCTCCTATGAACCAAAAATCTTATTGCCTATTCTGTGAAGAAATGCACATCTTTTTTTTTCCTTTTTCCACATACTGCTCATTTTTTCCATCTCTCTGGGATATAACTTTTGCTTTCATTTCACCCTCATTAAAACCTATATCAAAGAAAAACATTGGCATCTAACTGCATGCCTTTAGAGAGGTGTCATTTGATGTTAACCAAACAGAATGGTTCTGAAAATACTCAAGTAACTCCCAGGTGCTAAGACTTTAAAAATATCTTCGTGTCCCTGTTGGAACAGACCAGACCATATTATGATATTTCATCTCTGGATTCAGAGCTTGGCTAATGTGAAAAATCCTGAGGGGTGAACTGGCCACCCACCTGACCCGCCACAATCTCTCACTAATGATACCTGAAAGCACCATGTTTAGTTTCTGGACACAGAGAGATCAGGTAAAAGAAGCTTTGGGAAAAACCTTAACCCCATTAATTCAATACCACGACTCAGACACTCAAAAACAAAATATGAAGACTTGTTTCTGGGACCAGTAGGCCATTTGTCCATTTATCCCAGCAGACTCAAGACATCTAAGTATTTTAGTTCTACACTGCTGATATTATTTGGTACCTACATTTTTTGAACTCTGGTCAACCAGATGTACTCCCTGCAGGTTTCCATTATCTTCACTTGTCTGGGATCATTTAAATTAGTTTCTTTCAAAAATAAACCATTCTATGAAAGTTCTATAGTTAGTAAAAGATGACTTTATAAAGGTAAAATTTCAAAGAACTCATACGGGTCAAGAGGTTTCTTCTATAACATCCCCGACAAAAAGCTTTTCAGTTTCTGTTTGATGGGATGGCTCGTCTCAGGAATTGGCTCATGCTAGGACTAGACAGCTCTGATTGTAGGAAAGAGCCTCCATGTATTAGGCCAAAGGTGTTTTCTTGCCCTTTCTACTCTTGCTTTGGAAAAAGTAAGAAGAGAAAATCTATATCTTCTTCTTTATCAATTTTTCTATATATCTACCCTAAAAGCTCTAGTCTCCAAGCTAAACACTCTCAGATCCTTCAACCATTCCTCAAATGACCTGGTGTTCAGATTGCTCACCTTAGAATCCACTGAGTTTTAGAATTTTATCTCACAGGATTAACCTTTCAATTTTCTCTTCCTCTCTTTCTTTCTTTCTCTCTCTCTCTTTCTCTTTTTCTGCCTTCTTTTTTTTTTTTTTTTTTTTGAGACAGAGTCTCACTCTGTCACCCAGGCTGGAGCGCAGTGGTGCAATCTCGGCTCACTGCAACCTCCACCTCCCTGGTTCAAGGGATTCTCCTGCCTCAGCCTCCTGAGTAGCTGGGACTACAGGTGCGTGTCACCAAAACTGGCTAATTTTTGTATTTTTAGTAGAGACGGGGTTTCACCATGTTGGTCAGGCTGGTCTCAAACTCCTGACCTCAGGTGATCCACCCATCTCGGCCTCCCAGAGTGCTAGGACTATAGACATGAGCCACCGCGCCTGACCACCTTTCAATTTTCTTACCTCATCCAAACTTAGTTGAAGAGGTCTGAGATGGAGGAGGAAATATGAACATTTTGTTATTACAATTCACCTCACTAACACAATATAGTAACATTTTTTACATCTTTGCCAACTCCATAATAAAAAAAGTATTCTTATGTTAATTTCTATTCTTTGAGCATTAATGAGCCTGAAGATTTTTCATATGTTAGTATTGTATTGCTTTTATGAATTTTCTATGTCCTTTGCTATTTTTCTGTTGGGGTATTAGTCTGTTTTATTAAGTTTGCTCTAATACAGGTATAAGGCAATTTCCTCCATTGCTATCTATGTATTGAAATATTTTCTCTAGTATTTTATTTGCTATTTTTCTAACTATTAGAGTATTATCTTGACATACAGAAATATTCCCTTTTATATAGTTAAATATGTTTACCTTTCTTCCATTCTACTTATATGTGTATGAATTTACATTCTTGAAATCAGATCAATATGCATCTTTATTTTCTTCCAGATTCTTTTTTGTTTCACTTGTATTCATTTCTTTGATTCACTCGGAATCTGTTTTGATGCATGGTGAAAGGTAAGGAGCCTCAGTGCCTATAACGTTCAGGCTAAGACCATGTGAGGAAAGCTGTTAACCCCTGCAGGGCTTCAGATGTTAAAATATCAGGAAAAAATAGGATAATTTTTTACAAAGCAAGACTTAGAATCAGACATCTTTGACCTGGAGCAAAAGGCCCCCCTGGTGCAGATCAACCACATCAGCTGCAGCCCTTTTGAAAGGCCATTCAGAGCCCCTCAGCAGGAAAGACAAGCTGCAGAGGCTGAGAGCACCGAATGGCAAGAAAGTGCCTGGGATCAGGGAGATTTACGAGCTGGCTGTGAGTTAACAGGAAAGTGGTACTTACTCTAAACACTAGCATTCAGGTTAGTGCCCCAGTTCAGAAAGGCCGAAATAGACACTGTAAAAAGCGGAAATATAAATATATATGTAAGAGTATATATATATATTTATAAAAATACTTATACTTAAGGTTCTGAGGCAGTATATAGAAAAAAAGAAAGAGAAGTAAATATGTAGAGAAATGAGCCTCACAAATCTTGTTAATGCAAGCTTACTCATTGAAACCCAGAGGAGTTTGGATTCTTTTAGCCCTTCTGCTAATTTAAGAGATAGTAGCTATAACCAATGTTAGCTACATAAATAAGTATATACATACCTGAAAACAACAGTGAGGATACTGAATGACACATTCTTCATTCCCTTAGTTCCTCTTGCCTGAAGAGAATTTGAACCACTCTTTGTCTATAAGGAGCTCTCTGCAACACAGTCTAGAACTTGAGAGAAATCTGAATGATTTTATAGAAACTGACTTTCAAGAAAAGAAAAAAGTTGTTCTTTTCAGTGTTCAAGAAACACAGAGTTGGCTATCAGCGCTGATGCTTCATCTGATTTGTTTCCTAAGTCATCCTGTAAAGTGCTACACATGAACATCCCTGGTACACACCGAGGAGCATAATCATCCCACCAAGGTACAAGCGGGAGGGGGCAAGACATCCAGCGAAGCAGTTCCAGTGAAACAGCAAAAATGCTCCCTTCAGTCTATGGAGCAAAAAACTTGTCTTTGGAAAGTTCATATCTTCCTTTTAGGTTAAAAAAAAATGTAGCCTCCTGACATGGCACTCAAAAAGTAAGAAAATCTCTTTTTATTCGAAATAAATTCAGAATGTAACAGTTAGAAAGATATCTGAGTCCCCTCCACCCCCAGCTACAAACATATCCCCGCCCCTTCTTCTACCCGTGGTGTTCAACCTTGGCTGCACTTCCAACTACCTGGGGAGCTTTAGAAACCCCAATGCCCAAGCCACACCCCAGCCAATTAAACCAAAATCTTTGGGTTGGGACCAAGGCACCAGTATTTGTTAAAGCTCCCCAGGTGATTCAAATATGTGGTCAAGGTTGAGAACCACTGTCCCACTATAAACTTCTAGAACAAGATCCCAGATGATTTGTATCTTCGATTTTTCCCAGATTAGATTCTTCATTCAGGCGCTATGCCATTTTGCCAAAGGTGTGAACATGCCATGAGCCCCTGGGAGTTCTCTGTGACTGAGTGGAAGGATGAGTGCTGGCTTCTCAAAGGTTTTATTGTTTGTTTTGTTTTAACTCCCAGATTACTAATGTGGAGATCACTGTGCCGATTAGAGGATTATGAAATGCTTTTATGTTTTACAGCGACTTGACATTTTAAACCAAGATGTTTAGGAATCTAGGCTTTTCACTGTTATTTTCCGAGAGTTTTTTGTTTGTTCTCAGATCCAGAATATATTTTCCTCCAGTTCACTCCCAGCAGCTGGAAACTCTCTGCGTAGCTGTCCATTAAGGCTGTGGTATCCCCTCTTCACCTCCACTCACTTAGGGACCCTCGTTGTAGGCAGGGATTTCCATTCTGTCCCAGATGACCTAGACGAAACACCTGTAAATGGGCAAGTTAGGGTAGAGCTAACATATTTCTAAACAGTTGATTCTAAAGTGAGAGAGCAGCAGAATATGTGGGCAGTTCTGGCTGACTGAGAAGAAATGGCCCTCGTCTTCTTCTTCCCCTGCACCTTCCAGAGGCTGTGATGAAGAAATGTAAGCCTTAAGGAACTGAAAGTTCTAATCCAGCTTATCCCTATAGTGGGGCCTGGGCCCTGAATTGGTGTTTCTTTGGCTGCTAAGCATCAGGAAGCCCAGGGCAGGATGTGGGCTCATTCCAGACAAGGGGCCTGGAGCATTAAACTGTGGACCCACTGCCAAACACCAGCAATACCCGTGCAGACTAGCCTTCCCTGCTTACCCTTGCAACAATGATTCAGAGTCACCCCACACTTTGCACTTGGATATCTGTGGGATCTGGAACAGAGCCTGTACCACCTGAGACATCTTTTTTCCCTTTTGAGATTATACCAGTACACCTGATGTCATGGGGAATACTTTGTCAAAAGTTAATAAAACAGGTATTTATCACCTTAACATGTGTGTTAAACATAACTAAACATGTTATGTTTAAAACGTGTGTTAACATGTGTGCATACACACACACACACACACACACACCTGCCTTCCTACCTGTCTTCACTCCACCTGTAGACTGCTGTAAAGGGGATGCTTTGTAGCCCCACATTCTCTCCTCCAGCTCCACACAATTAGGACTGGGGAAACCTGGTCCCTCTCCACAGAGGCTACCGTAACTCAGAGACAAAACAGACCACCTAAGGGTAAATATAGGAGATGGGATTATGAGAAAGAGAGAGATGAATTCTGACTTGGGAATCTGAAAAGTCTCAGGGCTGAAGGCCGTGGAGCTGGAGCTGGAAGGATGTGCCATACTTCTAGGAAAGGCTGTAGGAAAGGCAACTTCCAGCAACAGGATGAGATCACTAAGGGTTTGGAAGTACAGAAGTTCAAGGCTCATTTTGTTTGGGAGGTGGCAAATCATCTCATGTGACTGGAATACAGGATGCTTTGTGGGGCAAAGGGAAAGGCCACAAACACATAATAAGCCCAGACTGCAGAAGGCCTTGAAATCCAGGCTAAGTCTGATTTTCCTCCCTTCCTGCTCTTTGTGTAATATCTTTATATGGTGTGTCTGCTCAGACATTTGCATATTTCAGTGTTTTCTTAGAAGACAAGGAGTAAGTCTATTGTAATTTAATTGGTACAATGAAAAGAACGATGGAACTATGAATAATGCCCCTTAAACACTACTTGTAAATGTTGATGATGATGGCACCAATTCTTTACAGTGGTAGGGGGACATAGTTAACCACATGCTGAAGTCTCCATGGTTTTTATAGCTGGTTCCTATTGTGTCCTGTGGTTTGAGTGTGATATGCCTATGACATGGAGCTTTGAGATGGCTGCAGGATCAGATTTTCTTTCCAAACTTCCCCCAGATGATTCCCTCATCTGCTGGGAGTTAACAATATCAGTATAAATCCAGGTTCCTTAGTCAGGCTCTCATCTTGTCTGCCAAGTGTGCTAAATTATTTTAAGCCATTAGAAGCACATGGTAGAGTCCATTATGGATTGGATCACTATTACACAGACTTGGATAGAATACAGATCAAATCCTGACCCCCAAACCACACTACATCCAGGAAAAGCCTATATCCCTAACAACTTGCCTACAAAACCCCCAGCTCTCCTTGTATAAAGGGTCCTGGTATTTTCTCTGGTCAGTGATACAGAAGCTAGATCAAAACTGCTCACCATTTCAGCGTGTCCCTCAGAGGGTAGGATGGAGGGCAAATAAACTTCTCAGCCTCAAAATGTCTTAGGGACAAGGAACTCCAAATAGGGTATGGGCTGTTGGAAGGGCAAGGGAACAGGATACTATTTTCCCCATTTTCTCTCTCTATCCCTTACAGTCCTCTCTGTTAACAACAGTAGAGGAAGAGATTGGAACATACAGCCAGGCATGACTCCTAGAGCAGTTGATTGAGCAGAACTCAACAAGTATTAACTAAACAGCTATCATGGACAAAAAGGCACTGAGCCGCATACTATTGAAAATTGAGAAATGAAAAGTCAGTAGCAGACAAAATGACCCAAGCACACAGATAAAATAAGCCTGAGAGGGACGCTAAAAGGGAGATGCAGATAATGTGCCGCTCTCCCAGCTTGTTATCAGGTGAGGTCCCAAGCAGGAGGCTACCTCTGACAGGGCCTGGAGGGAAGAACAGGCTTTTGAGAGATTCCACCGGATTCCAGGTAGAGCAAAAAGCACATAGAAGAAAAGTTCAGGACACACTTGAAGTAATTGCCCCCGTGACTCCTGAGGAGTGGGAGCACCCCAGAGAGGGTCATGACGGTCTTAGAGCCTTTCCTCCAGCCGGACATGGGGTACCAGGCGACACCACCTGCAGGGGCCACTTCTGAGCAGCCTTCCTCAGCGTGGTAGCCATCACTCAAGGCAATTTCAGACGAACTTCCTGTTCAAGCTGCCCCAGATGCACCGTCTCCCCACCGAGCAGGAAAGGGAAGCAAAGCCCCTCTGTCCTCAAACCTGACTGGGCCTCCTCGGGACTCTAACCTGCCCCTGACCTGGAGAAGGGCAGGGCAGCTGCACATACCAGCTTCCTCGCTCAGCGAGGGGGCCGGGAGCCTGCAAAGCACAAACAGGTGCGGGGCCGACCCGACTGGCGGCCGGGGGCAGCCGGGGACCCGGAGCCCGGGAGAGCCCAGCGCCGAGTCGTGGCGGGCGCCGCAGACCCCGCACCTGCCCTGGGACCCCCCGTTCTCTGCACGCTGGCCGGGAAGCCGGCACCCCTGCAGGAATTGCAGTCCCGTTTCGCACGTTTCCTTAATATTAGGCCACATTCCAGGTGGGACCCTTGCCAACGGGACCGCAACGAAGTTCTGGTTGGGATTTGATTGATTCTGTGATTTGTTCCTCCGGGAGGCCAAGCGCAGGGCACATCTCCCGGCCTTCCTGAGACTGGAGTGCGGGATTTGGAGGCAGGCGGACGCATTCCGGCTTCCTGGGTGCCACCCCGAAGTCAGACTGTCCTGGCACCATTGTGTAGGACAAGAGTGACCTCTAGTGGCCCCTAGGAAAGCACACTGGAGGAAAGGGAGCTGATAACTCAAGCGCAGGCCCATACAAACACACAGTCGGACTTATCTCTCCCCTGCCCCTCCTCCTTTCTCTCCCCCTTCCCTCTCTCCCTCTCTCTCATCATTTAACAATCCAGAAACTGAGACCAGAAGCGGCTGGTCACATACCTAGACCTGCACATTTCATGTCCCAAGCCTGGACTAAAACGGGTTTCTGGCCTTCCTGTCCAGAGTCTTTCCTTCTAGGTAGTAGTTCTTTTGCCCACGTGTTTATATCCAATGTGTCTTTTATTGACGCCTCCTGTGTGAGTGGGCGGACAGAAGAGTGACGGATGAGTAAGACACATGGGCTTCCAATCTAGTGGAGAGACTGACAAGCAGTCAGCTCAGCGGTCACAATACTGTGTGACAGGAGCTGAGATCCAAGAAGTACTGGGTCCTGTGGGAGCACCCCTGACTTGAAGGACAAGTAAGAGTTAGCCAGGAGAAGGAAGCTGGAAGGGAGGAGGAGGGCATATGGAGAAAGGTCCGGGTAGAAGGAAACCGTGTGCAAAACCCCTGTGCTTAGGCCGCGATTAGATAAATGGCCGTAAAGAATGAAAGGAGGTGGGGGTGGAAGGGAGCTGGAAGGGGCGGGAGCTAGAGTGAGCCTCTTGGCGGTTGGAGAAGTAGATAATAGGGCCTGTGCATGGGGACTTCAGACAATGTTCTAAGATCAGCGGGAAGCCACTGAATATTTAGACAGGTCAATATCATGGTCAGATTTCTGTTTATGCAGGATCACTCTGGGCTTGGCATAAAACTTTGCCTTAGGCTAGCTGTTAGTCATAGGCAACCCAACTGAAAAACGGTTAAGCCAGAAGGGATCTTAGGGTTCATCTGATCTATCACCCCTCACCTTACAGATGGAGAAACTAGTCTCAGAGAAGGCAAATGTTCTGAAGGTGGGTGAGGCAGAACTGATTTTCTTTTCTTTTTTTTTTTTTTTTTGAGACGGAGTCTCACTCTGTCACCTATGCTGGAGTGCAGTGGTGCAATCTCGGCTCACTGCAACCTCCACCTCCCGAGTTCAAGCGATTCTCCTGCCTCAGCCTCCTGAGTAGCTGGGATTACAGGCACCTACCACCACGCCCGTTAATTTTTGTATTTTTAGTAGAGCCAGGGTTTCACCATGTTGACCAGGCTGGTCTCGAACTCCTGACTTTGTGATCCGCCTGCCTCGGCCTCCCAAAGTGCTGGGATTACAGGCGTGAGCCACCGCACCTGGCCAGAACCAATTTTCTTTAAGTCCCTTCACCTCCCACTCAAGGCCCCAAAATATGCTATGCCAGCCTGAACTACACACCAGCTCCCAAGGCTGCTCCTGATAAAACACATAATTCCCCACTAAAGATCCCCTCTTGCCAGACTGTAGTCCAGAAAATTATCTTCAAGCTTTAAAAAGGACATGCTCCCTGACTTACTTCCCTGACACCTCAGAACAGTTGAAACCTTGCTTAAATATCCATGGCTATCGAGAACAGTGATAAGACATGAAGACCAGAGACTGTAGACAGGTGGGCGGAGGGTAGCGGGGGAGTGACCAGGCCAAGGGGCTCCCATGGAGACCTGGGGAGCAGAGGGCTTGACTCCAAACTGACACTTTGAATCCCATTTTAAATAACATTCAAAATTAATAAAACAAGTGTAGGGATTGGAAAATAACTCAGACTTTGTAAAAACAGATGGTGATAAAATGCAGTTGTCCTAATATTTGGATAATTTAAATACCCTCAGCAGTTCAGGCAAGCTAGGGAATTAAGAGAAATAGTTCAACCTAGGCTGGATCATTCAGCATTTGATTTAAAAAGTCACGAGCCATTTAGGAGGTCTCAGAATATGATGAAAATATGATAAGGACGGTTTTCAAAGAAAGAAACATAATCCTGGTGAACACCAGCTGGAATTGGAGAAACAACATGAAATAGTAGAAAGAGGTGGTCAGGAAGCCAGAATTTGAGACCTAGCTTAGCCACTTATTAGCCACATGACCTTGCCCAGACCACTTAACCTGTCTAACCTTGTCCCCATAGTAAAGTTACAATAATAGTAATACTGGCCTATGTATCTCCTGGGGCTCTTTAGCAATCACATGTGACAAGGGAGGCCAGATAGGGCTATGGTTAAGGGCGTCAGTGCAAATCTCAGCTCTACCACTCATTGGCTGTATGGCTTAGGTGAGTTTTAGACCCCTCTAAACTTTGATTTGCTCATCTGTAATACAGGAATGCTAACACCTGCCTCAATTGTTGTAAGGACTAAATGAGATAGTCAAAATAAATCATAGCATAGTGCCTTTTGCATAAATAGTGCTGCATAATTGGTGAATTTTATCATTAATGTGATTATGTTTACAAGCTTACAAGCTGTTCAATGTATCTAAATGAAAGATTATTGTTATATTTAGCATGATATGACTGCTGGGTAACAAGATAAATATTAAAAGAAAAATATAGGCAGGAAGAATAGAATGGAAGTGATAAAGCACATGGCCCATCTTTATAATGAAGGGACTTTGTGGATAAGGATGTATGAGGACTCAAGGTCTCACAAAACCTTATTCACAAAATTAACTTATGCTCACTTAGCTAAGAGATGGTCGCATAGATCTTTTTTAAGGATGGAAAACACTAGCAATGATCAATGGTCTTATGTCAGGTTGGAATGAGGTATCTAGTGAGTGGCTGAGAGAATCAGTGATAATTCAGATCTTATCTAACATCTCCACAAGCCAACAAGAGCAATAGTAATTGGCGCATTAATGAAATCTGTAAACACACTCAGCAAACCTCCAGGGAGCCTCTTTAGAGCTGGAGAAACTCAATCCAGGAAGATCAGAAATAATGCAAAAGAGCCTCAAAAGCCCATTCACTTGCTCAGAAAATATTTAGCCCCTACTCTGTGCCAAGCACCTCTTTAGGCATTGAGGATTCATAGCCCAGTGAGGGATCAAACAAGTAACTCACTACAATAAGGGCCACAGTTAGAAATAACTTTGGGTGCTAAGAGAGTCCAGAAGTGGGGCTCCAAACCCAACCTAGGGGTCAGAGAAGGTTCTCCAGAGGAGGCAACACCTACACAGACGCTGCAAGGATCCATTGCAGTTAGTCTGGCAGAGGAAGACAGCTGGAGGGAGCACCGCACAGAATGATATGACTCGGAAGCAAAACTGCAAGTCATTTTATTTGGTCATGCTAGGGCACGGGGGCTTGGCCTCTTCAAGCATGTGGGTTCCTTTTAAATGTCAACAAATGTCACGGTCTTCCACATTATAGTAATTGTCCTTTCAAAATCTATTCCTTAAAAAGTACATGATACCTCCCTCCCCCAAAAAAAATCTATTGGGAATTGAAGAACAGTTTTAAATGAACTTATGTTTTAATCCCAAAACTGCTGACTAGCATTTACTTTTGAAAAATATTTTCTTTCTTTTTTTGTGTTTTTTTGAGACAGAGTCTCGCACTGTTGCCCAGGCTGGAGTGCAGTGGTGCAGTCTGGCTCACTGCAACCTCTGCATCCCGGATTCAAGCAATTCTTCTGCATCAGCCTCCTGAGTAGCTGGGATTACAGGTGTGCGCCACCACACCTGGCTAATTTTTGTATTTTTAGTAGAGACAGGGTTTCACCATGTTGGTCTGGCTGGTCTCAAACTCCTGACCTCGTGATCCACCCACCTTGGCCTCCCAAAGTGCTGGGATTACAGGCGTGAACCACCGCACTCGGCCTGAAAAATGTTTTCTACCTTTTTGTTATTTTGGAGACAGGGTCTCACTGTGTCACCCAGACTGGTGTGTAGTGGCACAGTCTCAGCTTACTGCAGTCTCAATGTCCTGGGCTCAAGCAATCCTCCCACCTCAGCCTCCCAAGTAGTTGGGACTACAGGCATGTGCCACCACACCCATCTAATTTTGTTTATTTTTTTGTAGAGATGGGGGTCTCACTATGTTGCCCAGGCTGGTCTCAAATTCCTGGACTCAAGTGATCCTCCTGCCTCAGCCTCCCAAAGTGCTGGGATTACAGGCATGAGCCACCACACCCAGCCTACTATACTTTTGAATTAACTTGTGTATTTCAATCCCAACAATATCTACTTACATTTTCATTGAGAAATATTTACCTCATCTCTGTGAAAGACATTATTTTTTCATTCGTCATCTTTGTGTATGCATATATTAATGAAATTCTTACAATAACTGGCAACCCCCTACCAATGCCCACTCCCAGAGGTCTGCGATCCACAGTGAGCGTTGGAGGGGGGACTGGCGGGATCTGAGACTGGAGAGGTAGCTGGAGCTGGGTGTCATTGTTCACAATAAAGTGTAAGGGAAGGGGAGTGTTGGCAAGTTTGAAGCGGTGCAGTGACAACAGATAACTGTCAGCAATGTGGCACAGAGATAGGTTAGGAGGCAAGTTCTGAACTAAAAAGATAGCAGTGGATGGAGGAAAAGGAGCAGATTTGAAAAACACTATAAGGTCGAATTATTTTGACTTGGCTACCCTACACAAGGGAATTGGGGGAGAAGTCTCAGAAGACTCCAAGCTTTCTGGGTACAGTAATTGGATAAATGGCGGTACCATCACAAAGATAAAAAAAAAAAAAAAGCAGAGATAAGGACAGAGTTTGAGGAGAAGATTTTGAATTTGGACCTAGTGACTTTGAAATTCCTGTGGACAGCCAAGTGGAGATACAGAAGTTCATAGAAAGAATGTAGGTAGGGTAGAGATACAAGCTTAGGGAGCATCAGCTTGTGGATAGTGACCGAAGTCAAGGGTGAGAGCAGCAGCAACCTGGGAGGAGTGCAGAGTGTGGGGACAGAAGAGTCCAGGGACAAAACACTAGGAACCCTAGCATCTGAGAAGCAGGCAGAGGGGAATGGCTCCCTCTCAAAAAAACAAAAACAAAAACGAAAACAAAACGCCATCCAGAAATGGAGGAAAACAGAGAGAAATATCATGGGAGCCAAGGGGAGAGAGGGTTTTGAGAATGGAGACCTGAAAATGTGAGTACCACAGAGCAGTCAGGTATGATAAGGACCAACAAGTGCATCTGTCCACAGTGACATTAAAAACAATAGCAACAACAGGTCAGACACGGTGGCTCATGCCTGTAATCCCAGCATTTTGGGAGGCCAAGGCAGGTGGATCGCTTGAGGTCAGGAGTTCGAGACCAGCCTGGCCAACATGGTGAAACCCCGTCTCTACTAAAAATACGAAAATTAGCCAGGTGTGGTGGCACATGCCTGTAGTCCCAGCTACTCGGGAGGATGAGGCAGGAGAATCATTTGAACCCAGGAGGCAGAGGTTGCAGTGAGCCAAGAATGCACCACTGCACTGCAGCCTGGGCAACAGATCGAGACTCCATCTCAAAAAAATAAATAAATAAAAATAAAAAGAACAACAACAACAAAAACACCATATCTTAAGTATATGGTTCATTATGCTTTCAAAGCACTTTCATATTTCTTATTTCATTTCTTTGGTGCCTATATAACGTTCTTACAGATGCAAAAGCTACAGGGCAGTGAGGTTAGGGGATTTGCCAAAGCCATCTAGCTAGTTAGCAACTTGGCTCCTGGAATTCGAGATTTCAGTAGAGAATCTTCACCATGCTTCCTGGTTCTACTCTTAGCTTTTTAACCAACCAATAAAGAAACCAGAATAGGGCCTGTTCCAGGACAACTACTCCTTATTAGTATAGATTTTTAAAGGTTTGCTAATCACACGTTGTTTTGCACTCCCCAGAACCCAAAGATGTCAATACTGTGGGATCATCTGAATCTAAAAGGGCATTACCTAATTCTTCAGAAGAAAGGTTTGCACCTAATTCTGTATATGGGAGAAACCATTGAAGGTTTTCTAGCAGAGACCTGATATAAATTTGAGTATGCCTTAGAAAGATTAATCGGTATTATTGAACTCGTGTTTGACTGTGCTTATATCTGGGTGATAGATATTCATAGCACCTGAAACAAAATAATGAAAATACACTGTGAAGACCCATCTGGGCTTCTTTTGTAACTGAACCACTCTCCTCACCCTGCCTTCCACTCCAATGAGTAGGCTGTCTTCACTACAGAGGGTCACTTCTCATATTTGGAAGCAAAAGCTCCTTGCATATCTGATGCGGTCAACACTGACCTTCAGATCTCAATTCTCCCACCCCATGCCTTCCAGAGGCAGGCCTCGCTCTCCATATAGAAGCCTCCTACTCACTTATTCACTCAGTCATTCTAGCAAAGGGAGGGGGCCTGCTCCCTCTGGCCTATCAGATCTGGACCTAGCCCAAACTTACCCATGTGGGGCCAGGCCTGGATCTCTTCTCTGCCTAGCTCTCCATTGGGAGCAATTTACAACACACTTATCTCTGGGAATTCACTGCTCTATTGGGCATGGGTCTGATTATCTCTCTCTAAAGCAGTCTATCATTCATAGCACAGAAGGAACACTAAACAAAGACCTCTATATCAATTTATAACATTCTATTCTCTTTACAGCTCAGATGATGTCACGGCAATGTTATCACACTGGAGGTTGGGCAAGGCCCAGAAACAGTCATCACTATGCAATGTTGATTTTCTGAGGGTGACTCACAACCTTATTTCCAGCTGGTGGCCTGTTTCTGGCCTTTTCTGCTGACCCATAAAACTAAGCTTCCACCTGGGTGCATGGCTGTCAGGAACAGCTGGAACATTATCTGGATTCTGGTACCATAGGTCAAGGATAGGTGGCATTTCCCTCTATCCAGCATAAGATGAGCTGTTTCTCTTTTCTAAGTTTGCTATGTATGTAGTCCCCCTTCTCAGGGTGAAAGTGGCTGGCTATACAGAAAGGATAAAAGCAAGATAGATGAATTGTGATCACAAATGCCTACTTTATCACTTACTTTGCTGTTTTGCTAAATGGAAACATCTGTTAATATTAAATATGAAAACTCATTTTTTGTTTTTTTTAGGGACAGAGTTTCTCTGTCACCCAGGATGGAGTATAGTGGTGTAATCTTGGCTCACTGCAGCCTCAACCTCCCAGGCTCAAGTGATCTTCCCACTTCAAACTCCTGAGTAGCCACCATGCCAGGCTAATTTTGCTTTTATATTGTTTGTAGAAATGGGGTCTCGCTATGTTGCTCAGGCTAGTCTCAAACTCCTGGACTCAAGCGATCCTCCCTCTTCAGCCTCCCAAAATGCTGAGATTATAGGCATGAGCCACTGCACCCAGCCAAAACTCATTCTTAAATTAGAAAAAGTAGAGGTGTTACCTATGTCTCTGTCTCCCTTCCGTATAACCTTAGACAAGCAAGGTAATGTCAGTTATCTAATCTGTCAAGTAAATTAATGAGATATGAGTTAAATAGATTTCTGAAGTCATCTTAAGCCCATGTATCATTCCACAGGTAAAAACTCTTTAGGTGGAAAAGTCAAACTGAGCTGATATTGTGATTTTTAAAAAATAGGAATGAAACATTCCAGCTTCTGCATCACAGACTTTTCACTTGTCTAAATGTGTCTATGGAGGTAGACTACCTGGGTTCAAACCCTGGACCTCCAAGCTGTGTGACTTGGGACAAGTCACCTAGCCACTCTAGATAAAATGGGGATAATGATATTAATAGTTACTTACCTCAGGGGAGTGGGGGGGTTGTTGGGATGTTTGAATGAGTTATTAAAGTAAAGCACCTAGGTCAGAATCTAGGGCATAGCCAGTAACAATAAGTGTCAGCTGTGTGTGTGTATCAGACACTGCCAGGCCATCTGGGGCTAGGCTTTGTTGCAGTGGCTCCCTTATAATGCAATAATGAGTCCCATACTGTTTTTCCTCACTGTAGGTCAGTGCAACTGAATGGCCAGCCCTTAGTGATGGTGGACGACGGGACCCTCCCAGAATTGAAGCCCCGCCCCCTTCGGGCCGGCCGGACATTGGTCATCCCTCCAGTCACCATGGGCTTTTATGTGGTCAAGAATGTCAATGCTTTGGCCTGCCGCTACCGATAAGCTATCCTCACACTCACGGCTACCAGTGGGCCTGCTGGGCTGCTTCCACTCCTCCACTCCAGTAGTATCCTCTGTTTTCAGACATCCTAGCAACCAGCCCCTGCTGCCCCATCCTGCTGGAATCAACACAGACTTGCTCTCCAAAGAGACTAAATGTCATAGCGTGATCTTAGCCTAGGTAGGCCACATCCATCCCAAAGGAAAATGTAGACATCACCTGTACCTATATAAGGATAAAGGCATGTGTATAGAGCAGAATGTTTCCCTTCATGTGCACTATGAAAACGAGCTGACAGCACACTCCCAGGAGAAATGTTTCCAGACAACTCCCCATGATCCTGTCACACAGCATTATAACCACAAATCCAAACCTTAGCCTGCTGCTGCTGCTGCCCTCAGAGGAAGATGAGGAAGGAAAAAAACTGGGTGGACCTACAAAAACCCATCCTCTCCCAACTCCTTCTTCTCTGCCTCTTTCTTGCTGCTGCCCTGAGTTTTTTGACACATCTCTTTCCATAGGGGAGTAATGGGTGTGTCAGCCCTGGCCTGCTGGGAGAGCTGTTTGTATGATTTCCCGGCTGATGTATGAGCGTGCGCATCTGGGTTCCTGACAGTGGCATCCATCACTGGCAGTTCTTCTGGGAAGCGGGTGCTTCAAAAGTAAAATTACAATCACACTCCAGATTTGGTAAGAAGGTTCTATTCCTCTGTGAATCCAGATTCCCCCAGAGTTGTAATGGGAGTCAAGTAACAATATTCATTGAGTGGAGAGCAGTTTATTAGGCACAACAAAAAGTAGTCATCATTCTTCATGTTGCTATGAGGGAGAGTTTGAGTACAAAGAGAAAGCATACTGAAACATCAGGTACACACACACACCCCAACTGGACAAAGCAAATTAGACCTCTCCAAAATTAAGAGAATATTAGGGGCTCTATAGGGTAAGCCCTTAATTGTTTGGTTAACTCAAATCATTATTTTTAAAAAAGAAGAAAAAAGTGTGAATCAAGGTCATCACTGGAAGACACAACTGAATCTAACCTTTTTGCCTCTTCCCAAGTAGCCTATTTGAGCTAGAACAAAACTTTGTTAGCCATTTTGGGAGAGAATAGGGAATCTAGAGAATGAAGATCTGGCCAAAACTATGGAATGGTAGGTAGGAAGCTTCTGAGTTGGGCAGGTGTGAAGTGGGGGATGAGGACGTTCTATATGATTCAAGGGGCATGAGGGTCTTTGCCAATGAGCTACAGCTGAAATGACTTTCTTTTCTGTGGATGTGATTTTCTTTCTCAGGATAAATGACAGGAATGATGCTTTTGTTAGAAGGAGGAGAGATTTGACACTGTTCCAAGTGAGACGGTGATACAATTTCTGCTGTTTGTGAAAGGACAGGAATGGGGCGGGGGCAAGGCAGGGTTGCCTAGGGCAGAGACTAGGGAGGCTGCCTAAGACGCACACGGAGTTAAGGATTTGGGCCAAGTCTGCAAAGTGAGAGATGGAAGGGAGATTAGACCAAAGAGGAGGGAGAGAATTCTGAGCTTGGAGAACGGTGGATTTGGGAGAGGGAAGCTGACTACCTAATTCCAGGAAGCGAGGGGACCGGGTTTTGACATGCTTATCATTAAGCACAGGAGGAACAGCATACAGCAGATGTACTACAGCGAGCAAGAAAGGGAGAGCCCGAGGACCAGGCTGCACCAGGTCAGTGGCTGTGCTCAGCATGGAAGCAACTGGAGAGAGAGGGGCAGACCCTGAGACCGCCCTGCAAGGCTGCCCAGAAGGGACCCGTTTCTCTGGGACCAGGCACCTCCCACTGAGGCTTCAGCTCTGAGAGGGCAGGAAAGTGAAGTACCAAGATGGGGGCGGGGCGGGGGGTAGGAAATAAGAGAAAGAAGAAACAGATTGACAGGCCAAAGTGAGGAAAAGAGAGGAAAAGAGAAATGAGACTAAAAGGTCGTTCCCCCAACTGTTAAAAATGTGTGCAGATATCAACGTCTCTTCTACATACTGGTACAGGTGCGACTGCAGGGCCCCCTGATATAACAAGAGTAACCAAAGGTCCCTAAGAGCCTGGCCCTGGGGACCTATGGTTTGCTTTGCGTCCTTAGTAACCCCATGATAAAGGGGTACTACTGTTATCCCCATTTTTCCTACGAGGCATGGAGAGGATCCATGGCTCGCCCAGGGGCACCCGGGGAAATGGGTTGCCGAGCGCGAAATAATCCAGAGCCTGCCCACTCAGCCACAAGGCTCAGCGGCTCCACAGGTCCAGACACCTCCTTCACATCTTTGTAGGTTCTGCTCATTCAGAACAGCCAGAACTCCACTCAAACACACTTTCTGTAAATAAGTGTTGATTTTTTTTTACTAAACCTTGCAGAATATGGGTAATTCCTGCTTCTTTTATCTTTCTCTGTGTATTAAATGCTGCTCTCACGAGATTTAAGTTTTGTTTATTTTTTAGTTAATAAAAGGAAGAGGGAATTACTGAAATTTATCTCTGGAGTCCTGCAGTTCTAACTTTGTAACTGTTTCACAGAAGAAATATGCGCATTGTTCAAAGGATACCAGAAAAACTCACTATAAAATCACATTCCATAGAAACACCTTGGCTTTTTCCCTTGGAGGGGTGGGGGTTGCTTGTCATAGGGATTCCCCTATCACACTCACCCGCAAAAAGACAGCCTGTGGCAAAATGCAGCATCACAATGCACTTCAAGGGAGCAGGTTGCCAGCTGGGAGCAGGGACAAAAGCACAGAAGAGCTGGTCGGGCAGCTGCCCCAGATCAGATATTTCCTTCCTAAAACAAGATGTGGCCATAATAATCTGAGACTTAAAAGCCACTTTATTTTAAACCTAGAATGGGCTGGCAGAAATGCTCATTTGAAAGACTAATAATGTATAATGAAAAGTTTCTGCCTATTGTTGAGCTGGTTTTCTGCTTCTGCCTCTAGGAATGATCTTCTTTCTCATTTCTTATCACAAAGGCTCAGAAGAAATACTCATTGTTATTTGGAGAGAAAGTCCCAATTCTTCTAGTGCCCTGAACAATGCTGCAGCTGTGGGATTATTAGCATTATCTCTGCTGGAGAAAAGTTTGAAAATACCAGAACTGGGCTACAGTGAGACTAAGGCCTGGGGCTCCCAGAAGCTCAATTCCCAAAAGCCTAGTGGCCCTCTGCAGCCTGACCCTTCCCCAGCAGGCGGGCGGTCCCTAGGCAGGTGGGCTCAAAGCCTTGCACTCTCCAGCAGGGCAGAGGTTGCTGGTGGATGCTGCCTGAAGAGGCTCCCACCTGCTGTCAGCACTGGGAGTCTCTGTGGCCCCCTGGCAGTGAGGACTCGTGTGCTAACCACTTAGCCTCTGGTGGTCATGGCGAGGCCCAGCATCTGCAGGTGTGCTCCACAGGCACTCAAGGCCCCAGTGTCTGGGATGGATGCAGCTGCAGGATTCACCTTGGAAATCCATTGAGAGTAGCTTTATGTTTGAAAACAAAAGGGCAGTGTTGAGTCTCTGCAGAAGCAAAGGTGAACCAGGTGGATCCCTCTGACGATAAAAACACAAGGGGAAGGGAAGACTAACATTTTGAAATATCAATAGAGCAACCAAAATTAATAGTGCTGTGGCTTGGAAAAGGCAAGAGAAGAAAGGGCATAAACTTTACCTAGCATGGCTTCCTCCACTTCTCCTCTCTCCAGCATCGGCACAACTGCCCCAGCCTGGCCCCTGCTGAGTGCTCGTTTCCACCAACTTACTCTCCACGTCCACAGACTCCCCTCTGCCAGCCACTCTGTGCCCAGCCAGGAGCCCAGGGAAATCTGCTGTATTGAAGTGAAGTTTCCATTTTAGAATTGTTTGTAATCTTTTCTTAGGATATACCAGGATTGAAAAGCAGATAAGAAGTACTCCAAAGAGAGATAGTGCTAAAATGAATTTTATTATTATTATAAGGCCCAAACAACTGGGACATACAGAACCCTTCTCTCTGAGTTCCACTAACCATGGCACGAAGGCTTCTGTGGCTGCCCTTCCTTGATCAAGTGCCTTCTTCTTATCAGACGTGCTATTTTATTGAATGCTCACAGCAGTGCTGGGTGGTATGGTAAGTGTTCAGACCCAATTATAGATGGGGAGGATTAGAGAAAGAACTTGTTCAAGACCACCCAGAAAAACAGTGTGGCAAAACTAGGAGTTGAACCCAGGTCTGTTAAAAATTTCAAAGCCTGCTATCCCTACACTGTGCTACCTCTCACCTGACTGATTGTAGCCACCTATTTCTCATCTCTGTATTGCCCACAGCTAGATTCCTTAACATCTCATGTGTGTCCTACAGAGAACCCTAGCAGTGCCTTACCCCCAGTACAACTGCTCTCTGGTTTGAGGATGCCAACTAGAAGCTCTTGTGAGTAGTGAGTAGTAAGTAGTGTTGTGGACAGCCTTTGCTGTAGAACTTTGAGTCCAGGTTCACCTTGGCCGATCAGTGGTCATCCTGGTCTGTTCCGCTATGATTTTCTTTTTTCTTTTTCTTTCTTTTTTTTTTTTTTTTGAGACGGAGTCTCCTTCTGTCGCCCAGGTTGGAGTGCAGTGGCACGATCTCGGCTCACTGCAAGCTCCGCCTCCTGGGTTCACGCCATTCTCCTGCCTCAGCCTTCAGAGTAGCTGGGACTACAGGCGTCAGCCACCACACCCGGCTAATTTTTTTGTATTTTTAGTAGAGACGGGGTTTCACCGTGTTAGCCAGGATGGTCTTGATCTCCTGACCTCGTGGTCCGCCCATCTCGGCCTCCCGAAGTGCTGGGATTACAGGCATGAGCCACGGCGCCTGGCCTCCACTATGATTTTCTATAAAGCAGTTTTAAGGACCACTCCCACCATCGCCACCAATCGTAGGTGAGAATCTTCAGTATTCCTAAGGCCTGAGAGGTGAGTGGCAGAGCCAGTCAGCAGCCCGCCCCCGCCCCGCAACACACACACACACAGCTTCTATGAGTGCTGCTCCCTGGCCCCCATGACCCAAAGGTCAAATCCATTAACCATTGCCCTCGGGGTAGTATTTGCAAATACCACTTTAAAAAAAGAAAGTCAAAATCCAGCAAACCAACTGCTTTGGCACCACCTCCTTCCAAACACCAAGGCAGCCCCTGTGAGCGCTGGGAGCATTTTGGAGGAGTTGACCAAGTTCCATATGACTTAAATCCCAGGGTCCCAGGGTCCTATGCACACAGCAGAGAAAAGACGCCCTTCCCATGTGAACATTACTCTTCTAATTATTATTCATGAAAATATTCTAGGATTCTTTTTCAAGTTATAAATGTTATTTGATAATTTATGTTTTTGGAAGAAGCAAAAAGAAACTTTAGTTTTGTTCATCTGGAAGTTGGCAAAATGAGTTCAGGAATACCTCCCAGAAAAAGTTTCCTCTCTGTGCAGGGAATTTTAACAGGTTAATATTTTCTTCCAGAAAACAGAGTAGATTATAGTTTATGGAACCTGGTGATTGTAGAGAGTTTGGGTCCAGGGGGTAGTTTGCATTTTGAGGTAATGTTTTGTAAGTAATAAGATGCGACTACTCTAACTTCCTATTCTCAGGGTGTTCTGTGGGGAGAGGGAGGCAACTGCTGCCCACACTACACCCTGACCTTAAGACTGATTGACTGATGAACTAACACGTACTGGGGATCTCTGATTTCATGGTGTGCTGCCCTCCTCCCCTCCCCCACAACCTTTGCTTCAATTACTCTAAGTAGAAATTGAATTTCATAACTCCAGTTAGATGTCATTGACTATATTAGTTAAAGTCATTCTTAACTATAATAACAGTTAAACCCCAGAAACTCAATGACTTAACACAGTCCAAGTTATTTCTCGCTTATAATTCATGTAAAGTTGAATTGGTGGTATTGGGGTGGAGGTGGTGTTCTGTTCCATCGACGTGCCCAGAGCAGTTGGAGGCCCAACCTGGAACTGGAGTCAGTCCTTTCCACTCACTTCTATTGGCCAGCAGTCATTTGGTCCCATCTGGATGCTAGAGGAAATGCAGTCCTTATCTGGGCAGGTACCTTCCAACAACAGCTGTGTTTCATGGAAAAGGAGCACAAAACTATGATGGATGCTAGAAGACCAGAGAATGGGTCAATGCTGTTAGATCCCTCTGGCTGATTTGTCTTCAAGTGAGTATTACATACCATTTGTGTGTGGTGGTATCTAAATCCACAGGACCTTTTTGCACACTCCATAGTAACCTAAGCTTCCTTCTCCATCTCCTCCACTTCTAAAGTCCTGCCTCTCCTAGTACTTGGCTGATTTTTGTCAGAAAACAATCTGTGTTGCTCCACTGCCATCCAATGTAGATGCACATAGTAGAAGATGCTGCCCCCTGTACCAGAAACATCAAAAATATAATTTGAAACCTCAAATAGCAAAGTGGGTTAAAAGGTAACTAGAGAATCATAGAGGCCAACTCTAGACCCAATGAACAGTCACACCTGGAGATCACAACAGGCTATTCCACTGATTTTATCCACCTCAGAAGACAAGTCACTCAGCCTCTCTGGACCTCAGTGTTCTCATCTATAAAATGAGGACTTTGGATTTAAGTGAAATCTAAGTTTACCTGAAACTCCCTGTTGTCTGATGTTATGTCAGATGGTCTCTGGTCCAAGTGCTATTGTTTTTCTATTTCCTCCTCATGTTAGCTTATATATTAGATAACATCCTTTTGAGAAGTTTCAAAGTTAGCTTTAAATTGTTGCTATTTCTACCTAAATGCAACGTGCCTTCTAGAATGCATGCACATGAAATTCAACACAGATAACACGTTTTGAAGATCCTCTCACCCTCAGGGATAGTGTCCTGATTTTATTTTTGAGTTAATTACTTGACTCTTGCCACCCCAGTTTCTTCCAAGCCGTGATTTAGTGCATATTTAATGCAGACTAAGCATGCCCCAAGGCATACCCACCTTGTTAGGTTTTTAAAAGGAAAAGATTGACCTCACATAGGAGAAATTAGTTAAATTGAACTTTAAGACAAGTACGTGGGGTTGCTCCAGCAGCAACTGAAATGTATTATAGTAGAATTTCACCACGTATGCACCTAATGTCTTGGAACTCAACTATGTCTACAAGTGCATGGGTGGTGGGAGGCTGAGAAAATTGGAGGAGACAGTGAAAGGAAAGATGAAGACAGACAGGGAGAGAAAGAATGAACAATCAAAATAATGCAATGAGAGATGCAGGAAAGAATAAAAAGCAACGTGAAGGGTAATTATGTGGGAAACTCTAAATAAATATAATCTAATAATAACAATGTCTCTTGCAATTTAAAATAGGTAAATAATTAAAAATGCATTACAATAATACCATACATATTGAAAGCTGGTAAATGGAAGATATATTAACATCCTTACATTTTCAAGAAAGAGGTAAAACTACTAATTTACATTAAACTTTGATAAGTCAAGGATGCATGTTTTAGTCTCTATGGTAACCACTGAAAGAATACTTAAAAGAGTATATTCTTTAAGTGAATGGAGAGGCAGTGGAATCATAACAAAAACGCTTCATCTAACAGAAAGCAAGAAAGAAGACAAAGATAATGAAGAACAGGACAAACAGAAAGCAACTAGCAAGATAATAGATTTAAAACCAAATTTATTTGTAATGGCACTAAATGTAAATGGAATAAATGCTCCGATTAAAAGATGAAGGTTGTCAGATAAGATAAAAGAAAGTTCAATTAAAAGCTATTTCAAAAGAAATATCTAAAATATAAGAAATTAAAAGGAGTAAGAAAAAGATATGCCATGCAACAAAAGGTGATGTCCTTATGTTTATATGAGACAATAAATGCTTTTGTAAAACCAAAAAGCATTGCTAGTGATAGGGACATTTCATAAAGATGAAAGTTTTGATTTAACAGTAAGATATATAATTATAAATCTGCATGTACCTAATGACATCTCCTATATGTGAAGCAAAAATCTAACAGAAATAAAAGGAGAAATAGAAAAATTTGCAATTATAATAGATTTTTAACTGCTATTTCTCTCAGAAAATGAGAGAAAAGGCAGACAAAAATCAGAAAGAATAGAAAAGATTTAAACAATACAATTAACATTTTATCTAAATGATATATGGAGAACATTACAACAACAAATGAATAAAGTCCTTTTTCAACAACACATCGAAATATTTATAAAACGTGGTTATATACTGTGACATAAAGTTTCAAAAAACTTCAAAGAATAATAACATACAATGTATTTCTGACAGCAGTGGAATATAAGTGGAAATTATAGATAGATGATAGATAGATAGATAGATAGATAGATAGATAGATAGATAGAGAGATAGAAAACTAGAAAATCTCCCTGTGCTTGAAAATTAAGAAACACACTTCTTAATATTCCATGAGAAAAAAATCAGAAATCACAATAAAAAGAAAATATTTTAAACTAAATGGAAAAGACTACATATAAAAATATGCAGAAAGAACTTCCAATTTCTGGTAATGTTACAGTTGTATCAGACTGACCCTTTTGCCAATAACAATTACGAACCTTAGACAAAATTTGAAAAAACAATTCTTTGAAGGCAATGCAGAACAGCTAAGAGCAGGCAGAAACTGCAGGAGATATAGCTCTTGAATGAAGAAAATCACACTGGGTGATATCCACATTTATTTGGCTTTTCTCCTGAAGGAATTCCCCTAGTTCACAACAAAGAGCAAGGTCCATCAGCAAGCAGCTATTATATTAGACCGTGGAGTGACATTGGTGTTCAAGACTGCCAGAGCAGCTGAAAATTGAATGGAGAGGGAAAGGGAACAGGTGGGAGAAACTTAAAAAGCTGGTACAAAGTACACTCAAATATCTGGCTGACCTCTGAACTATACTCTAAATAAATCAAAAGAAAAATTAGCATTTTAAAGTAATTGAAAATGAAAACATGGCAGATAAAAAGTTGTGGGATGCTGATAAAGCAGGACCTTGGGGAAGATCTACAGCACTCAACTCCATTAGAAAAGACAAAAGGTCTCAAATCAGTGGCCTCTGTTTCTAGAAGAAAAAAAAACCCAAAGTAAACAGAAGACACGAAATAGTAACTATCAGAACAGAAACTGATGAATTTAAAAACAGGATCAATAAAAATTGATTCAACCAAAAACTGCCTCTAAGAAAATCAATAAACTCCTTTTAAATTTATTGAACATAGACTCCAAAAATAGATTCACACACAGATGGTCAACTGATTTGAGACAACGTGCCATGATAATTAATCCAATGGAGAAAAGATTGATTGATTTATTTATTTGAGATGGAGTTTCACTCCTGTTGCCCAAGCCGGAGTGCAATGGCACGATCTTGGCTCACTGCAACCTCTGCCTCCTGGGTTCAAGCGATTCTCCTGCCTCAGCCTCCTGAGTAGCTGGGATTACAGGTGCATGCCACCACGCCCAGCTAATTTATTTTTTTGTATTTTTACTAGAAATGGGGTTTCACCATGTTGGCCAGGCTAGTCTCCAATTCCTGACCTCAGATGATCTGCCCTCCTGAGCCTCCCAAAGTGCTGGGATTACAGGCATGAGCCACCACGCCTGGCTGAGAAAATATTTTTTTTCAACAAATGGTTCTAGAAAAATTGGACATCTATATACAAAACACACACACACACACACACACACACACACACAAAAGACTAAAACCTCAACCTTCTTTCACATCACACACAAAAATTAACTCAAAATGGATTGTGAACCTAAAGACAAAATCTACGACTATTAAATTTCTGCAAAAAAGAAAAAACAGGAGAAAATCTCTGTGACCCTGGCTAAGCAGAGACTTTACATAGGACACAAAATGCACAAAGATTTCTGCTCTTCAAAAGTCACTGTAAAGAAAATGAAAAGACAAAGCCACAGACTGGGAAAAAAAAATATAATAAAGGGCTTGAATTCAAACACATAAATAAATAATAAGACAAACAATCCAATTTTTAAATAGGCAAAATTTGAACACTTAACATACTACCACATACCTACTAGAATGGCTAAAGTTAAAATAGGACAATATCAAGTGCTAACAAGACTACAGAGCAATTACACCTCTCAGTGTTGCTAGAAGGAATGTAAAATGGTACATCCACTTTGGAAAATGGTTCAGCAGTTTAATATAAATTTAAACACAGACTTACCATACAGCCCAGCAATCCCATGAGTAGATATTTACCTAAGAGAAATATAAACTTATGTTGAACTACCTCACACCCATTAGGATGGCTACTATAAAAATTTTAAAGAAAATAGAAAATAGCAAGTGTTGACAAAGATGTGGGTAAACTGGAACACTTGTTCCAGGTTGGGAATGTAAAATGATGCAGCTGCTGTGGAAAACAGTATGGTAGTTCCTTAAAAAATTAAAAATAGAATTACCATATGATCTAGCAGTTTCTCTTCTGGGTATATGCCCAAAAGAATTGAAAGCAGAGTCTCAAAGAGATATTTGTACACTCATGTTCATAATGGCCTTATTCACAATGGATGTAACCCAATTGTCCATCAGCAGATAAATGGATAAGCAAAATGTAGTATATACAGACTATAGAGTATTATTTAGGCTTAAAAATAAAGAAAAAAGGAAGGAATTCTCACATATGCTACAACATGAATGCACCTTGAGAATATTATGCTAAGTGAAATAAGCCAGTCATAAAAAGACAAATACTGTATGATTCTACTTATATGAGGTACTTAGAGTAGTCAAATTCATAGAGACAGAAAGTAACATTGTGGTTGCTATGAGGAGGAATGAAGAATTGTTGTTGTTGTTGTTTTTGTTGTTGTTTTTGAGATGGGAGTCTCGCTCCGTTGCCCAGGCTGGAGTGCAGTGGCATGATCTTGGCTCACTGCAACCTCTGCCTCCTTGGTACCAGCAATTCTCCTGACTCAGCCTCCTGAGTCACTGGGACTACAGCTGTGTGCCACCACACCCTGCTAATTTTGTATTTTTAGTAGAGACAGGGTTTCACCATGTTGGCTAGGGTGACCTCAAACTCCTGACTTTGTGATCCGCCCGCCTTGACCTCCCAAAGTGTTGGGATTACAGGTGTGAGCCACCACACCCGGCCAGCATTATTGCTTAATGGATATAGTTTCAGTTTTAAAAGATGAAAAGAGCTGTGGAGATGGATGGTGGTGATGGCTGCATAGCATTAGGAATGTAGTTAATACCACTGAACAATACACTTAAAATGCTTAATGATCAATTTTACATTATATGTATTTTACCACAAACAAATTTGAAAAAAAGAAACATGTTGACACAAAAAACCCGTACATAACTAAAAAATAGATTATATTGGATTACATAAAAATGTAAAACTTTGGTGCTACAAATGATACCACTAAGAAAGTGAAAAGACAAGCCACATAATGGGAAAAAAACTTTTGCAAATCAAGTATCTGATAAGGGGCTTGTAACCAGAGCATATAAAGAACTCTTACAACTCAATAATAAAGACAATTTAAAAATGGATAAAGGATTTGAATAGACATTTCTCCAGAGAAGGTACACAAATAGGCAAAAAGCACATGAAAAGATGCCGAACGTCAGGGAAGTGCAAATAAAATCACAAGACACCACTCCACGCTGGGTTACTATACTTAAAAAAAAAAAAATCAACAATAACAAGCATTGGTGAGGATGTGGAGAAATCAGAATCCTCATACATTGCAGTTGGGAAATGGAAATTACCAGTAGGGGAATGAATAAGTAAATAACAGCATATCCATTTGATGGAATTCATTCGACCACTGAAAGCATAGTGAGTGAACGATCTCAACGGTGGGCTGAGCAAAGAGATGCGTGTGGCAGGGCTATGTGCTGTAGATGGGGAGTTGGAAGAATTTGCCCTAAGGTGGGCTGGAAGGGGTGGGTAGTGGGTTGGGGGGAGTGATGCTCTCTTTGATCTGCAGGTGGTGGAAGTATTGATTCTTAGCCTCTGCCTTTCCCCCAAGAGATGCTCAATCTACTATATCCCCAGCCAGTTCTTGCAACCCATACCTTGCTGGGCTGGGCTCAAAGCTCCCAGGTGGCACCCAGGCACTGAGGGGTGGACTGTTCGGGGATTTAGGCCCTTCCAGAGCGCCCCCTCCACTTCCAGGCACCCCCAATACACATACGATTTTTTAAAATAAATATTGCAAACATAGGTTCAACACAAAACTCCTAATGTGCACTCCACTCCCAAAATAGATTGAGAACTCCTATAAATTCCAGCGTTGGCACTCTGGGGGCAACTGAGCCCTTCTGTGCGCTATGTCACCTCCCCAAAGGTCAGGGAGAGCAGTCACAAAAGGACAGCTCTAGCCCCAGAACTTCAGTTCATTAGGCAAAGCCTGAGGTTCCGGGGCATGGGGAGGAGAGAAGGGATCAGCTGAGGAGCCAGGAAACCTGGGTTCTGAGCCTGGTTCGGACCCTCAGCAAGTTATTTCTTCTCTCTGCGCCTCCGTTTCCTCTTCTGTAAAATGGGGCATGGGCAAGGCCTGGCAGGGGCGGGGCTCGAACCCGCGGAAGGCGACGGCGGCTCCGGCCCCTCCCGGGGCGGGCGGTCACGTGCGCGATCACGCGGTCCTACCCGGAAGCGCGCCCGGGCTCCTGCAGGCGGGGCGCTGTGCGCGCCGCGATCCGGTACGTGGGCCTCCGGGCTGTCCCCTCTGGGGGCGGCGATCCTCCCTCCGGAGCCCCCCTTCAACCCTCCCGGAAGTGAGGTAGGGTCCCTAGGGGTCCCGGAGCGGGCCCACTCCTAGCCTCACCCACTCCGGGCGTGTGGCCGTGGGCCGGTCGCTTCCTCGCTCGGGGCCAAAGTTCCTCAGCCGTGAAGAGGGGTGGATGTCACAAGTCAAGCCTCCTTCCCAGGGTGGCCGTGAGGTTCGGGGGTGGGGGGAGGTGGGGATTTGGGGTGAAACTGGACAGAAACTGGCGTGCTAGGCAAACGGGAGCCCCGCGGCGGCGAACTGCTGACTCGCTCTCTCCAGAGACTCAGGGGCAGGGCCGGGCTCCGAAGGTGTGGGACCCCAGAAGGAGCTGCTGAAGACGGGACCAAGGGCCACAGGGAGGTTTGCTGGGGTCCAGATGGTGAAAGTGGGCGCTGGGGGTCGCCCCAGGTTGGCCCCCCGCCATCTGGAGCTCCTTTCGTCAGTGAGTCCCCTCCGAGTTCCCTTTCTAGGGCAAGATAGCGAGGTGAAGCGGAAGTCTCAGTGTGACACCGGCGAGGTTCTCTTCCCAGCAGCCTTTGGGAAGCATCCCCCTGTTTCGGGAATATGGCATTCGGGCCAATCATGTGGGTGATGGAGCCCGTCTCAGGGTTCGGCTGCTAAAGGCCGAACTCGTAACAGCAGTCTCTGTGGCGGGTAGTCACTTGCCTCTTACTGGCTCACAGTGCTTGACTTCCTAATTAAGTTTTCTGTTGTTCCTGCCCTCTATTCAAATATGAATGATTCCGGAACCAGATTGATTAATCCTGTTATTTGAAGAAGGGAAGCTGGGAAATAGGAATAATGATCCCCACACCTATGTAAGAACGCAGTTTGCTAAGGTTACTTTGCAGCTTGCCTGGTCACTCCCATGATCTAACCCTGTAGGGAGGTAGAGTAGGGGATGTTGCTCTGTTTCTCCGCAGGAGTTTGAGGCTCAGAGAGGTTTATGGGACTTGGCAAAGCCAAAACTAGAACCTGGTCCCAGATGCCTTTCCTGTTAGTTTCCTTCCATTCATCGTATCATCCCAGGATCCCCACTCCCTTCACCGGGACTGCATCCTCACCACCTGGGATGTGCTATGCTGTCTCCCGTCAGTCACTCCTAGCAAGCTCCCTGGGGCTGCTTGGGGAGCTCTGAGTGACCCGCAGAAGTGAGAGCACTTCATGGGAACAAAGGAGGAAGGAACAAAAGTGGGCACCTGCTCTGTGCAAAGGGCTGTGCTGGCCGGGTTCCTATTCTCCATTATGGGAGGTGAGGGGCAGGATCCCAGATATGTTCTTAGCAGACTGCCTCAGGGCCTGGAGAGACCAGGGACCACGCAGCCCTTCTCCAGCTTGTCCTTTCTCAACGGGCAGCAGTCAAGACCAGGGCATCTGCCTGCCCTCATATTCTCTCTGTTTTAAGCATTTGCAGGACCAGGGATGCTGTGCTGCTCTCCCATGAGCCAGTCACCGAGTCGGTCTGCTGCAGCCCTTTCTGAACCTCTGGCCGTCTGGATGCTCCACTGTGCTTGCCAAGGTAGATGATCTTGCCCCACCTGGGGAGGACAGGGAGGCAGGCAGCATCCACCCTGGGGCTTTGGGAGGCAGATGGAATGAGGTAGGCAGTGGACTGAGTGCTACTGGGCTCTGCACACCTGCTCATCCCCTCCCCAGCCCTGCATCCTGAGGCCACCCCCATCCTGATGCCTCATCTCTCCTTCACCCCTCGAATCCAGGCAGGTCATCACAGCCTGCTGCATCTTTAAAGCTCCTCCCAGCCCCCACCAAGGGGTGAGCACTCATTACCTGACACCCGCACCTAGATGACCGCCTTCATGACCTTGACCTGCCCATCTCCAGCCAGCCGGTCACTTCTCCGCTCACAACCACAGCCTCCATTCCATAGCCCACTGCTCCCTAACCCATACACTCTGGTCAGCTTTGTCACATGTACCTGGGAGTCCCAGAGCAGCCTCTTCAGGTCCACCCGCCTCTCCCAGCAACCTCCTTTTCACACCTGTTGCACTCTCAGTGTCTGCCTTGGCATTGAGTAATTCTGTGGGAATAGGCTGCATTCCTTCTTCACTGTGCTGTTATGTCTCCTGGCATTTGCCATAAATACCTTGGGACCAGTTGCACCAAGTTAGTTTGGGAGGAATTCAGTAAGGACCACTAAGCTGGACATGGGGATGACGGAACACAAGACCTGGAGATGCTGTGATCCTCCCAAGAAAACTGGAAATCCACTTGTGTGAGAGTTACAGCAGAGCTTCCTAATCATTGTCATGGCTTAGCGCACATACCACATGATTATATCTGCGTGACACCCTGAGGCACATAAGAGGATTTGAAACCACTGCCTGAGGCCTCTTAGCTGCAGCAGCCAGCCTGGAGCACTGTCCTCACCAGCCTGGTCAGGCTGCCCCAAGTTTTAGAAGATCGAGGGTTTGCCGCACGCAGAGGGCCATGGCACACAGTGTGGGAAGCTGTATTAAAGATCTTCCAGTGGGTGAATAGTTAAGACATTTCTTACATAATCAAGCACAGAGTGTGTGGTGTGTGTGTGTGTGGCGGGGGGGTGGGGAAGGAGATTTGGGAGGGCTGAAGACACTGGTGGCTGTGGCCCTAGAAGCTGCAGCCTACTAGGTACAGGGGCTTTAGGCAGCCTCTGTTCTCACCATGAACAGGGAGAGCAGCATTTGAATGAAACTTCTGTGGTGCTGAAGTAAATTCAGGGGCTTTGAGGCTCATCTTCTGGAGCTGTTTTTTGTTTGTTTGTTTGTTTGTTTGTTTGTTTTTTCAGACAGAGTCTCGCTCTGTCACCCAGGCTGGAGTGCAGTGGTGTAATCTCGGCTCACTGCAACCTCTGCCTCCCGGGTTCAAGCAATTCTCCTGCCTCAGCAGTTATCCCGAGTAGCTGGGATAACAGGCACTTGCCACCATGCCTGGCTAATTTTTGTATTTTTAGTAGAGACGGGGTTTCACCATGTTGGCCAGGCTGGTCTCGAACTCCTGACTTCAGGTGATCCACCCCCCTTGGCCTCCCAAAGTGCTGGGATTACAGGCGTGAGCCACCGCGCCCAGCCCTGGAACTGTTTTTATCTGAGGGAGAGATATCTCTGGACTGCCCAGAGATGGAGGTGCACCAGTGCCCTCCGATCCACACCAGGCACTAACTGGCTGCCGTGAGCATGGCCTCCCTGGGCATTCGGCTCCATGTCTAGGCCAAGACCTGGGTCCCTTCCTGTGCCAGTCTGGTTCCAGTAGGCCCCGTGGTGGGTCTGTTGCTGTGCTGAGAGGGACCAGATACCACAGAGGAAAGGGCCCCAGCCTTGGCATCAAACAGGTCTGGGTCCAGATCCCAGCTTTGCCACTTCAGGCTGTGCCTGTGTCCTGCTCTCTAAAATGGGGGTACCTGAAGAGTTCTACTTTGTCCAGTTGTGAGGGTGCAACAAAAATGGAAGTCCCTTGTGATGCCTGGTGTGCAGAAGGGGCTCACTGAATGTTTGCTGAGGTTGGGGTCCTCTTCGTTACTCAGACTGAGCTCATAGATGTTGGGGCTGGAGGCTGACCTTGACCTTGCCTTTCCCTGGCAGATGAAGTGCGTCTTGGTGGCCACTGAGGGCGCAGAGGTCCTCTTCTACTGGACAGATCAGGAGTTTGAAGAGAGTCTCCGGCTGAAGTTCGGGCAGTCAGAGAATGAGGAAGAAGAGGTGAGTGCAGGGTAGGCAGTCCCAGGAGGGGTGGATAGGAAGGAACCATACAAAACTCCCAGCAGGCAGAGAGGCAGGAAAACCTGTGTTCACCCTGTCCTGGGCAGCATGAGCAGGGTGCTGGGTGGGGTCCAGCATCCTTCACACCTAGACCCTTATCCTCAAGGTTGGCCTCTTGATGCTCTGAGCTCGGTGACCCCACCCCCACACCCCACCAGTCCTCTCTGGACTAAATGAGGGCAAGAAGAAGTCGAATTTTATCACGTAACAGAAGAACTTGGAGCCATCAGTTTCTGTAACCTAAAAAGTTTAACAAGGCTGGGCGCGGTGGCTCACGCCTGTAATCACAACACTTTGGGAAGCCAAGGTGGGCCAGTTGCTTGAGCTCAGGGATTTGAGACCAGCCTGGGCAGCATGGCGAAACCCTGTCTCTACAAAAAAAATACAAAAATTAGCCAGGTGTGGTGGTGCGTGCCTATAGTCCCAGCTACTTGGGAGGTTGAGGTGGGAGGATCACTTGAGTCCAGGTGGTAGAGGCTGCAGTGAGCCGAGACTGTGCCCATGCATTCCAACCTGGGCGACAGAGCAAAAAAAAAAAAAAAAAGTTTAACGTAAGCTGAACACGTTAATTTTTTAATAGCTGTATTAAGGTATGATTAACATACCATAAATTGCACATATTTAAAGTGCATAATTTGATAAGCTTTGATATGTATATACCTATGATTCTATCACAATCAATAAAAGGAATATATCTACCACCTCAAACATTTGTAATCCCTTCTTTCCCATCCCCATCGCATAGGAACTGCTGATCTGCTTTCTGTCATGATAGATTAGTTTGTATCATATGGCCTTATATAAATGGAGTCATACAGTATGTGCTTGGATTTAGTTTGGTTTTGGTTTGACTGCTTTCACTCAGCATAATTATTTTGTGATTCATCTGTGTTGTGGCATGTATCAATCGTTCATTCCTTGTCATTGAGTAGTAATCTATTGTATCAGGATGCCACCATTTGTTCATTCATTTACTTGTTGATGGACATCTGTGTTATTTTCAGTTTTTGACTATTACAAATAAAGCAACTATGAACATGCACGTACAAGTCTATGTATACATGGATGCTTTCATGTCCAAGGACAGATACTTAGGATAGACTGGCTAGGTCATGTAGGTGTATGTGTAACTTTTTAATAAACTGCCAAACTTTTCCAAAGTGGTTGTGTAATTTTTGATTCCACCTGTAGTGTTTGAGAGTTCAGTTCCTCCATATCCTCACCAACACTATAGTCCGTCTTTTTAATTTTAGCCATTCTAATAGATGTTCACTAGAATCTCACTGTGTTTTAAATTTCATTTCCTTAATGACTAATGCTTTTGAGCATCTTTTCATGTGCTTATTTGCCATATCTTTTGCCCAGTTTTTATTTGAGTTGATTGTTTCTTCTTCTTATTCTTACTGAGTTTTGAGAGCTTCTAATATATTTTGGATGGAATCCTTTATCAGATACATGTTTTACAAATATTTTCTTTCAGTTTGTGGCTTGTGTTTGTATTCTCAATGGTATCTTTCAAAGAGCAGAAGTATTAGAACTCGAGTTTATCCATTTTGCATTTATGGATTATGCTTTTAGTGTTATATCTAAGAAATCTTTGCCCAACTTACAAAGAGTTTTCTCTACATATTCTTTTGAAAGTTTTATAGTTTTAGGTTTTATATCAGGTCTGATGATCTACTTTGAATTTTTGTGTGTGGTATGAGCTATGGATTGAAGATAATTTTTTTTTTGCATGTGGACATCCAGTTCAACAGTTTAACATTACAACTCAGAAATACTTGTCATTTTCACTTACATAATTTCCACTCTACATTTTAAAGGAGTAATTTATTTTGAAAATGTTTTCCAGATTAATTTTGGGTTAAAAATATTTTTACTGGGGATGCAGTGGAAGGTGTTCTTACATTTCTGCAGCATGGGCTGATTGCCTCTCTGTCCCTTTCTGCTCTAAGGGGTCTCATCATCCAGCCAATGAGTGAGCTGACTCCACCTCAGGGAGTCCATTTACCATCAACATCACTCGTGTTCTCATCACAGTCTTTAGGCAAACACAAGATATCAGAGATCATAGACATTCAAGTGGTTTTATTTAAGCTAACTGTTAGGCTTTTTTATTTTTTAACAGTCAATACATATAATATTTAAATTAAGAATTTTTAAATATTTCAGTTTTTAAACTACTGTTACAACTATGTCAACTTAAGAAGCAAACTATTTGGTGGCCTTTCTCTTCCTCTTTATTGAAAACCTGGCAAAGGAACGAACTCCTGAATTTTCAGTTCCTAAAAATGAGTAGTGTAAAGGAAAGGTGGTCTTTAAAGTTTTTTTTTTTTGTTAATGTGCAACACATTCTTTTCTCATCATATAAATAATGAGTTAATTGTAGGAAATTTGGAAATACAAAGAGATAGTTTTTAAATGACCTATAATTCCATGACCCAGAGCTATTAGCTTTTTAATATACTTTCTTTGGGTCTTTATTTTTTCTATATAATTGGGATTATACCACATTTACAGTTTTACTGCCTGTTTTTTTTTCCACTTGCCATTATATCAAGATATTTCTTCTATTTTTTTAAATAGTCTCAGAAGCATAATTCTTAATGGAAACATTGTACTCCAGTACATGAATCAGTGTATCATCCTTTATTTAACCATTTTCCTCATATGGACATAAATATTGCTCCTAATTTGCTATATCACTCTTGCTTTAAGAAACATTTGTGCTTAAATTTTATCTCATGTCAGATAAATTCCTAGGATAAATTTAGGATAAATTCCTAAAAATAAAAATGTTGAGTCAAAAGCCATTCAAAGATATTGTACTACTTTATAATTCCGCCAAGTAATATATGAGTATGCTCCTTTATATACACCAAATATTTTTATCTCCCCTGTATTAGTCCATTTTCTTACCACTATAAAGAAATGCCCAAGACTGGGTACTCTGTAAAGGAAAGAAGTTTAATTGACTCACAGTTCAGAAGGCTGTGGAGGCCTCAGGAAACTTACAATCATGTCAAAAGGCAAAGGGGAAGCAAGACACCTTCTTCACAAGGCAGCAGGAAGGAGAAGTGCTGAGTGAAGGGGAAAGAGCCTCTTATAAAACCATTAGATCTCATGAGAACTCACTGTCACAAGAACAGCATGGGGGAAACTGCTCCCATGATTCAATTACCTCCACCTGGTTTCTCCGTTGACATATGAGGATTGTGGGGATTATGGGGATTACAATTCAAGATGAGATTTGGATGGGGACACAAAGCCTAATCATATCATTCTGCCCCAGGACCCTCCCAAATCTCATGTCCCTTTTACATTTCAAAACCAATCATGCCTTCCCAACAGTTCCCCAAAGTCATAATTCATTCCAGCATTAACCAAAAAGTCCAAGACTGAAGTCTCACCTGAGACAAGGCAAGTCCCTTCCACCTATGACCCTGTAAAATAAAAAACAAGTTACTTCCAAGACACAATGGGGGTATAGGCATTGGGTAAATGTTCCCATTCCAAATGGGAGAAATTGGAACTATGGGGCTACAGGACCCATGCAAGTCCAAAATCCAGTGGGGCAGTCAAATCTTAAAGCTTTGAAATGATCTCCTTTGACTCTATCCACGTCCAGGTCACACTGATACAAGAGGTGGGCTCCCAAGGCCTTGGGCAGCCCTACCCCTGTGCTTCTGCAGGGCACAGTCCTCTTCCCAGCTGTTTTCACAGGCTGGTGTTGAGTGTCTGCGGCTTTTCCAGGTGCATGGTGCAAGCTGTCGGTGGATCTACCATTCTGGGGGCTAGAGGATGATGGCCCTATTCTTACAGCTCCACTAGGCAATGCCCCAGTGGGGACTCTGTGTGGAGGTGTCTGACCCCACATTCCCTTAATCACTCTAGCAGAGGTTCTCCATGAGGGCTCTGCCCCTGTAGCAAATTTCTGCCTGGACATCCTGCCATTTCCATACATCCTCTGAAATCTAGGTGGAGGTTCCCAAACCTCAGTTTTTGATTTATGTGCACCCGTGGGCCCAATACCACATGTAGGTCACCAAAGCTTGGGGCTTGCACTGTCTGAAACAACAGCCAGAGCTATATGTTGGCACCTTTTAGCCATGGCTAGGACGCAGGGCACCATGTCCCCAGAGTGCACAAAGCAGCAAGGCCCTGGGCCCAACCCCTGAAACAGTTTTTTCTTCCTAGGCCTCCAGGCCTGTGGCGAGAGGGCCTGCTGTGAAGACCTCTGACAGGCCCTGGAGACATTTTTCCCATTGTCTTGGTGATTAACGTTTGGCTCTTCATTATTTATGCAAATTTCTGCAGCCAGGGCTTGAATTTCTCCTCAGAAAATGGGCTTTTCTTTTCTATTGCATCATCAGGCTGCACATTTTCCAAACTTTTATGTTCTGCTTCCCTTTTAAACATAAGTCCCAATTCCAAACCATCTATTAGTGAATGCATAAAACTGAGTGCTTTTTAGAGCACCCAAGTCACTCCCTGAATGCTTTGCTACCTAGAAATTTCTTCCACCCCAAATCATCTCTCTCAAGTTCAAAGTTGCACAGATCTCTAGGGCAGGGGCAAAATGCTGCCGGTCTCTTTGCTAAAGCATAACAAGAGTCACCTTTGTTCCAGTTCCAAATAAGTTCCTCATCTCCATCTGAGACTACCTCAGCCTGGACTTCATTGTCCATATCACTATCAGAATTTTGTTCAAAAGCATTCAATGAGTCTCTGGGAAGTTCCAAACTTTCCCACATCTTCCTGTTTTCTTCTGAGCCCTCCATACTGTTCCAACCTCTGCCTGTTACCCAGTTTCAAAGTCACTTTCACATTTTTGGGTATCTTTATAGTAGCACCTCACTCTCTGTGGTACCAATTTACTGTGTCAGTCCGTTTTCGTACCACTATAAAGAACTGCCTGAGACTGGGTAATTTATAAAGAAAAAAGGTTTAATTGACTCACAGTTCAGCATGGCTGGGGAGAACTCAGGAAACTTACAGTCGTGGTGGAAGGCAAAGGGGAAACAAGGCACCTTCTTCGCAAGGCAGCAGGAAGAAGTGTCAAGAAAAGTGGGGAAGAGCCCCTTATAAAACCATCAGATCTGGTGAGGACTCACTCATTTTCATGAGAACAAGTTGAGAACAGCCTGGGGGAACCACCCCCATGATTCAGTTATCTCCACCAGGTCTCCCTTGACACGTGGGGATTATGGGGATTACAAGTCAAGATGAGATTTGATGGGGACACAAAGCTTAACCATGTCATCCCCTCACCAAAAAAAAGTTCTATTCCTGCAGAAAAAGCTATAGTCATGCCCTGCTTAATGATGGTGATACATTCTGTTAATAACAAACTCATCATTAGGTGATTTCCTTGTCATGTGAACATCATAGTGTGTGCTTACACAAACCTAGATGGTGTAGCCAACTACACACCTAGGCTGTACAGTATGGCCTGTTGCTCCTAGGCTGCAAACCTACAGCATGTGACTGTACTGAATACTGCAGGCAGTTGTAACACAATGGAAATGTTTGTGTATCTGAATGAACATAGAGAAGGTATAGCAAAAATAAAGCAGTATAATCTTATGGGGCCACTATCATGCGTGGTCTGTTGCTGACCAAAACATTGCTCTTCAGTATGTGACTATACTGCTTTTACGATGAGTTTCTATCAACATCTAGATTCATAAGTGACTTCTCTATTAATAAAATTTGTTCAAGAAAATCATGGTATATGAATAATTCAGCAAATATTTGAATTCTTGCCTGTTTATGGAATTCTCGCCTATCTGTGGGGTATTCATTAACCAAATATTAATTGGGAACCTACCATGTGCCAGTCTCTCGGGGTAAAGCAGTAAACGTAGCAACATGATCCTTGCTTTCATGGAACTTAGAGTCTAAAGAAGGACATTGTACAGTGAACCAGATGGCAAATAAGTACCATGAGTTCAGATAGTGACAAATAGTCTGGAGAAGTTAAATGGGGTATGGGATGGGGAGTGACAGAGGTGGAGGGCGGTAGCCTGAGGTGGCCAGAAAAAAAAAAATCTGAGCTGGAACCAGAATGATAAGTAGGAGCCACTGTGAAAGCTGGACAGACTAACTGTGGGAGCTGGGTACAGTCCTTGGTTCCCGAATGTTGGCAGGAAAACCTACTCCATAGTGCTGTGTCCCACTTGTACTTCAATGCTGCACCTTCCCGCTGGCCAGTTGCCTGTCTTTCTTTTCAAGGCAAGGTCTTACTCAGCTTCTTGTAGACTTCCCCAGCTCCAAGTTAGGACTGTGCCTTCCCCATATTTCATTCACGTCTCCTGAAATCTTCTTGGGAAGTCTGCTGTTTTCTTCCTTTCTTTTTATTCCACTACGGAGAATTTGAGTTGTAACTGTTCCACTGGCTTTATCCCATTTTATTCACACATTTGCAACAAACTTGTCCAGTTCCTTTTTGTTTTTGTTTATTTGTTTTGTTCCTTCTTTTGGAGAGCTGAGAGAATGGATGGAGGAAGAGCTTATCAAAGTCAATGCAGGCTTGTTATGGAAAATAGGAAAAGTACAGAAACATACTTAAAAATAGAGGGAAAAAAATCACTCCTAATTCCTCTATCCAGAAGTAACTTTAATAGTGTTGGCTTTCTCAGTATTTTATCAATACTTCGTTTTTTCTATGCATTCACATTCTTGTTTTATTTTTAGCTACAACATTGTATCAGAGGAATTTTCCATGTCATTGAAACACTCTAATATTTTAAGTGGCTATAGACCCTTCCATAATTTTGATGTGCTGCTATTTATTTAACTATTTCCCTGATACTAGATGTTAACATTTTTTTTCCAGTTGTTTGCTATTATAAATTAGGCAGTAGTGAACATCTTTGTGCATGTATCTTTGTCCCAATCTCTGATCATTTTCCTTAGGACAAATTTTCCAAAGTAGACTTATTGCAAAAAACAGCATAGACTTTGGTACATGCTACAAACTTCCTTCCAGCTCCCCGTTCAGTGCTCCCCACATTCCACTGTTGTAATGAGGCCCAATTCCTTAATGTTTCCTTCTAGATTCAGAGCCTAAACAGCACCATTACCCAGCTGGCCCTCCCCATTCTTCCTAACCACCACCCGAAGTGTTGGGGACAGTCTCTTTTTGCTCCCCTCCCTACCAGGACAGTGATACCCTCCCAGGAGGGTCTAACACTATGGAACCCTTGATATCAAGGCCTGATCTTGTCCCTTCCTTAGTTCTTGGTGTCTGGCCCACTCTAAGCTGTGAAATTTTCCCCCATTTTTGCAGCTCCCTGCCCTGGAGGACCAGCTCAGCACCCTCCTAGCCCCGGTCATCATCTCCTCCATGACGATGCTGGAGAAGCTCTCGGACACCTACACCTGCTTCTCCACGGAAAATGGCAACTTCCTGTATGTCCTTCACCTGGTGAGTCTATAGCTCTGGGGCCCATGTTCCTCTTCCCTCAGCTTGATGGGGAGTCCACAGGCCTCTCTTATTTGGAACTTTAGACTCCTTTAGAAGGCAGAAACGGCATCTTATCAAACCCGCCTGGGACCCGAGCCTCCCCTGGCTTGTCTGCAGAGACCAGGGCAGGTGAAGGGAGTGCCCTTGGGGCTGGCTGACACTGGCCTGCCTGTGCCTGCAGTTTGGAGAATGCCTGTTCATTGCCATCAATGGTGACCACACCGAGAGCGAGGGGGACCTGCGGCGGAAGCTGTATGTGCTCAAGTACCTGTTTGAAGTGCACTTTGGGCTGGTGACTGTGGACGGTCATCTTATCCGAAAGGAGTGAGTCTTCAAAGCTGGTCCCCTCTGTCCTTTGCCGAGCACCCTCGCTGGGCCAGGCAGCGTGTGCCCAGCCCCTGTGAAGCTGCCATTTTTCACATACTGCCCCCAGCTGGGTCCCTAGGTCAGAGAAACAGCTCAAGTGAACCTTGGAGACCATCTGGTCTGACCCTCTGACTTTATATCTGGTGAAACAGAGCAGAGAATGGAACTCACTTGCCTGGGGTCATCTAGCTGGTTGGTGGCCACATCCAAACTGGATATTTGAGCTCAGGACTCTCAGTCCAGTGCTCTTTCCATCCTCCCAACATCATCACCCGTCATTACAAATCTGGTCTGAGCTAGTCCTCTCTGGCTTCTCAAGCTTCAGACTCTCTCTCCAGAAAAACACAAACCCATGCACATTCATACAGTCTCGTGAAGGTTTTCTCAGGAGACAGACCTTAAAACCTGTCTCTGGGCCCACAGTAAAGAACTTGGGGAAAGAGAATCATGGTTCAGAGTATACACTGAGGTGGGAGGGACCCCAGAAAAGGCTTGTAGTTGAAATGTAGACCTAGAAAAGAGAAGTTCGTAGTATCACCACCCCCTGATTCTCTAAGATGGATTGGGAAGCTGCGGAGTGTGAAGCTCTGGGACTTTAGTTTTGTGGCGATATGAGCAACTACCCATATTGAGGCATTTCTCAAATGCACAAACATTGTTTCATGAGTCATTTTAGCCCAGATAGGTCATGGTGTCAGTGGCAAATGCTGCAGGTGGCAGATGCCTGTTACATGAATCACAGTGGCCAGTGCAGACGTTGCCAGCATCCGAGATGGCTGCGACCCTGAGTAGGGCCCTGATGATGGACCAGATCTTTCTGTGTTCAGTGGCCTCTGTGTGAGAAGCTTAAGCATCACCCTGGCTCTCTCTAGCTGGCTTTGTATGACATGTGTTTGTGTGACAGAGGCTGAGGAGTGAGGTGATTTGCTCAGCTGCCTGCCTTCCGGCTCCGTGCCTATCCCACCCCACTCCACAGTTAGAGCTCGGCCGGAAACCTGGCCCCCTTTCCCAGCTGTGTGGGCAGGTCATATGGGCTCACCAAGCTCTGATGCTGAGCTGAGACTGTGGTCCTTTGGTTGGGTGTGGGGGAGACCAGCTTTCTTGTGATCTCTCCCGCCCTCTCTGGCTCTGCCCCCAGGCTGCGGCCCCCAGACCTGGCGCAGCGTGTCCAGCTGTGGGAGCACTTCCAGAGCCTGCTGTGGACCTACAGCCGCCTGCGGGAGCAGGAGCAGTGCTTCGCCGTGGAGGTGACTACTGGGCGCGGGAGTCCTCAGGACTTGAAGCTGTCAGGTCAGAGGGGGCGTCCACCTTTAAGACCATGTTTTAACCCTAATGAATGAAGGCACAAGCAGCCCCTGAAACTCGTGTATTCAGAGAGAGTTGTTCTTTCTGGCCATATGGAGGGTTGGGTACCCTGATGGGCTTTCCCATGGTAAAACAGCTCGATCCTGGATAACACATACTTTTAATGCAATTTTTGGGTTCACTGTAAATTACAGGAATCTTTGAAGACAGTTCCTTCAACCCTCCCCTCCTTTTCCCACAAAATTATATTGAGCTGGAACTGGAGGGGAAAGCAGTGGAGAAAAACACAGCGCTAAAGGCAAGATTCCCTGAGTGCAAATGATACCAGCACTACAGCCAGTAAATAGCCTTAGGCCAGCAGCAGCATAGGAGAGCTGAGCCTGCAACTCTAGGTTAAGCCCAGCCCCAAAAAGTTAAAGTGGCTACTGGTCCTTTTATAAAGCCCTAGTAAATAAAAAACTAAAAAATTAAAAATAAAAACTAAAGTGGCTGCTGGTCAGTAGCACTCCTTGCCTTCCTAAAGAGGTAAACCAAATTCTCTTTCAAGCAGTGGTTTTCATACTCCAGTGTGTGTCAGAATCCTCTGTAGGGCTTGTTAAATACAGGTTACTGGGCCTCACTTTCAGCTTTTCTCATTTAGCGAGTCTGGGATGGGGGCTCTAGAACTTGCATTTCTTTTTTTTTTTTTTTTTTGAGATGGAGTCTCGCTCTGTTGCCCAGGCTGGAGTGCAGTGGAGCAATCTTGGCTCACTGTGACCTCTGCTTCCCGGGTTCAAGCAATTCTCCTGCCTCAGCCTCCTGAGTAGCTGGGATTACAGGCACGTGCCACCACGCCTGGCTAATTTTTGTATTTTTAGTAGAGACGGGGTTTCACTATGTTGGTCAGGCTGGTCTCGAACTCCTGACCTCATGATCTGCCCACTCGGCCTCCCAAAGTGCTGGGATTACAGGCATGAGCCACAGTGCCCGGCCCTAGAACTTCCATTTCTAAAAAATTCCCAGGTGCTGTTTATTGTGCTTGTCCAGGAACCACACTTTGAAAACCACTGCTAGAGCAGGAAAGGTAAAGATCAAACAAACGTGAACTCACAACTGAAGAAAATCAGATATGGAAGAAAATAAGCCACCACGAGTGAGAGTCAGGAAAATCAATCACCAACAGATTTAGATCCCAAGGCACTTGATACATTGGAACTATTAGGTATAGAATATAAAATAACTATGAAATATTTAAAAATATGAAATGTAGAATCACAAAATGAGATAAGAAGAAACTCTAAATTGACCAGGCAAATTTGAAAAAGAACACGTACAGATATTTTAGAAAAGAAAACATAGTTGTTAAAATGAAAAACTCAAGGGATGTGTTAAATAGCAGATGAGACATAGCTAGAGGGAGAATTAATGAGCTGGAAAATAGATCTGAAGGAATTCATTCTCATACCCCCACTCATTCACTCTTCCAATAAACATATAGTACCTATTATATGCTAAGAGGTGTGCCAGGCCATGGGAATAAAGAGATGAATAAAGACATATTCACTGCCCTTGAGGGGAAATCAGCCATGTATATACTAAAAGATATAATAAAGAATCCTGGTGCCATATTAGGTTTTTCATCAAAAGCTATGGTGGCACAAGAGATGGAGTGGTAAACTCTTTCTGGGACATTAGGAAAGACTTCTTTTAGGAGGTGACCTAATGCCATTAGCATAAAATCCAAACTCTTCCCAAGCCTACCAGGCCCTGTGTGATCTATCGCTGCCTATTTCACTCTAGCTTCATCTTATGCCTCTCTTGTCCACGCTTACTGAGTGCTAGTCACATGAAACTTCTTTAAGTTTCAGGAAAACTCTATATTTAGATCTGTCCAATATGATAGTCATTAGCTGCATGTGGCTGTTGAACATTTGAAATATAACTAGTGCAAATTGAGTTATGCTATGCATGTGAAATATATACCAGATTTTGGTAACTTAGCACAAAAAAGAATGTAAAACATTCCATTAATAAGGCTTTTATATCATATGGTGATAATATTTTGGATATATTCAGTAAAATGAAATATATCATTAAAATTAATGTCAACTGTTTCTTTTTACTTTTTTAATGTGGTCACTGGAAACATTTAAATTATGCATAGGGCCTTTCTTTTATTTCTGTTGGACAGCACCATTGCAAACTCTGTCCCCATCTCATGGCCTCTGAATATGCAGTCTCCTTGACTTGCAGTGTTCTCTCTCTCCCTCTTTCTCTGGTGGGCCATCTGGTTGTTTAGATATTAGTTTAAAGGTGACCTAATTCAGGGACATTTCTTTGGACACCCTACCCAAGGAGGTCTCTGCTATTTCTCTCTAGCCTAGTGCTGTGTATTTTGTACTTGGTGCTTACTTACAAATGGCACTTACTTTATTTCCTTGTGTATTGCCTTGCCTCATCCACTGGAGTCTAGTGACCAGACAGTAAGCCTCAGGAAGGCTGGGACCTGGTGGGTCTTAGTCCCCCTGTTTCCAAGTATCTGGTGCAGAGTCCAAGCTCACTGTGGACAGAGTGAATGTCCCCACTAGCCCAGGGCTTGGAGTGGGGCAAGGTTGTTGGTGATATGGCTTCCTCTCCCTTCCTGCCCTGGCTAGGCCCTGGAGCGACTGATTCACCCCCAGCTCTGTGAGCTGTGCATAGAGGCGCTGGAGCGGCACGTCATCCAGGCTGTCAACACCAGCCCCGAGCGGGGAGGCGAGGAGGCCCTGCATGCCTTCCTGCTCGTGCACTCCAAGCTGCTGGCATTCTACTCTAGGTGAGCTCAAGGTCTGGCATGTGGTGGCTAAAGGCTCCCTGGCCTTCTCACTCCCCTATGGCCTCTGCCTGAAAAGCACCACCTGCCCAGCCAAGAATCACCTCCTCCATGAAGCCTGAAACCTTCCCAGATTTGATTCTCCAACCTTTTTCAGCTCACCCATTTCTCTGTATCATTCCTTCCTGGAACACTGTCTTAGAGTCTCAATCTAGAACTTCCTTTTATGTTGTTCTTGGTCCCTGGTGCTTTCCCACTGCTAAATCATTTTCTTTTCTTTGTTCTATACAACCAAGTTTTATTTTGAAATTTGACGAGTTAATTAATTGTATTTGTGCCTTGCCCATCTCCAGAAGTACATTGCTCCTTGAGGGCAGGGGCCAGGCTCCACACTCCTTTAACCTGCCTGCCCCGTCTCCTGCTGGGCATGTGCTGATGGGTGGCCATGCTCCTGTGTCTGCAGCCACAGTGCCAGCTCCCTGCGCCCGGCCGACCTGCTTGCCCTCATCCTCCTGGTTCAGGACCTCTACCCCAGCGAGAGCACAGCAGAGGACGACATTCAGGTCTCAGGGCAGCTTTCTGGGCAGAGGGAGGCCATTAGGGAGGTAGTTCAGAAAACCTGCCTGAAGATGGTGGGCAGGCTCCCCCTGGGGACTCCATGTTTTCTAAGTCACAATTCTGGGTGTGTGGTTGGGCGTGACTTCTTTCCCACTGCTTTCAGATGTAAGGGGAATTCTGGAGTGCACATGGTCCAGTGGGTTAAAAGTGCAGATTTTTCAAGTCAGCCATGGTTCGAAACCCAGCTTCAACACCTGGCTGTGTGAGCTGAGCCCGTACTTGCACCCCCAGAGCCTCAGTGCCCTTATCTGTGCAATGGGAATAACAAAGCATCTACTTCTCAGGGGTATTTGGAGGGACAAAAGGGGTGGTTCCCACAGAACCTGGCACTGCCTGGGGCATAGTGAATGCTTAGTGAGTGTCAGCCACCACCATCGCTGTTGACCTCATCACCAGGGGTAGTGGTGGGTTGGATACCATTGTGTTGGAATTTCTCGAATTTCCACAGAACAGACCGCCTAGAATCGAATCCCTGGGAAGTCTGAGGACCACACACCCAGGACTGCACCCGGAACGGGTGGAGGGGTGGAGGGGTGGAGGCTTCTCTGTGAAGCGCTGGGAGGCAGAAGGGGTGGAGGGAGCCAGGTCAGATAGGAGCTAACCAGCCTCTCCCCTGCCCTGCACAGCCTTCCCCGCGGAGGGCCCGGAGCAGCCAGAACATCCCCGTGCAGCAGGCCTGGAGCCCTCACTCCACGGGCCCAACTGGGGGGAGCTCTGCAGAGACGGTGTGTGCTGTGCACTTCGTGGAGTCAGGGGCAGGAGGGGATCGGCCTCTGCAGGCGACCAGGCCTTTCCCATCCCTCCTGGGAGAGCAGGGACAGGGTTGAGCCAGCTGGGAGAGCCTCTCAACCTGAGCCACCTTCTCCATTCCAGGAGACAGACAGCTTCTCCCTCCCTGAGGAGTACTTCACACCAGCTCCTTCCCCTGGCGATCAGAGCTCAGGTGAGGACCGGAGGAAAGCAGGAGGAAACAATAGCTAGCTGCGAGCGACAGGCAGCCCAGGACATCTGTCTTAGGCTCCAGTGGACCCCCGTGCCTCCTAAGGCTTGAGTGCAGGTACCCGTGTTCCTAGAGCACAGGACGCTGTCTGCGGCTCCCCATCTTCCCTGCCAGCTCCAGCCTGAACTCAAGGATTGTTAAGACCACTCCACTGATCCCTAAAGCTGTTGATGACAAGTTGATTCATTTAAAACTTCTGTACATGCATTCTCAGACTCATCTTTTTTGTAATTAAAATTAAAAATTAAGTTAAATTTAGTAATAATCATCTAATTTCTATACATTCTAAAATATATTCAGCATCTGTAGTTTATACTTTGTTTCTCCAAAGTATGTGGGTAAACAATAAAAAAAAACTATAAATATTCAAAATGGTTGAGGTGTGGTGGCTCACGCCTGTAATCCCAGCACTTTGGGAGGCCGAGGCGGGTAGATCACCTGAGGTCAGGAGTTTGAGACTAGCCTGGCCAACATGGCGAAACCCCATGTCTACTAAAAATACAAAAATTAGCCAGGTCTGGTGGCAGGCGCCTGTAATCCCAGCTACTCGGGAGGCTGAGGCAGGAGAATCGCTTGAACCCGGGAGGTGGAGGTTGCAGTGAGCCAAGATCATGCCACTGCACTCCAGCCTGGGCGACAGAGCAAGACTCTGTCTCAAAAAAAAAAACAAAACAAAACTACAAATATTCAAAATGTTAACAAAAAATGGACAACCTTGCTTAGAGAAGTAGATAAACCAAAATCCAGACTGTTGTGGTCACTATGAATAAACATTACATTTATTTCTGAAGTTCTTAGGTAAAAAAAAAAAAAAAAAAGGGTCCTGTGGTCCCTCCACATCATCTGATGGAAGAAAGAAGGCCAGGGTTTCAGGAGGAGAAACCTACTGGGGACTAGGATTTGAAAGGAATTTATTATGTGGCTGCTTTTAACCCAACCCTGGCACATTGGAATCACCAGGCAGCTTCAGCCAGCCCAATTAAGTTACAGTCTGTGGGCCTGGGACCCAGGTGTGAATACTTCTAGGAAATTTTCCCAGGTGAGTTCAGTGTGCCTCGGGTGCAAACCACTGCTGTGCACAGATTTAGGTTACAGCATGCTTTGCCCCCTGGCTGCATATTGAACTCACCTGGGGATCTTTAACAATTATTGAAGCTGAGCCTGTACCCGGAGATGCTGACTCAGTTGGTCTGAGCTATGCCCTGGGCGTCAGGATTTTGTAAAAGTCCCCAAATGATTTTCGTGTGTAGCCAAGGTTGACAACCACTGGGTTAGATGCTTTTAACTTTAGGTCTGGCTAGAAGCCTAGGACCCCCTGAGACTGTGTGTGAACTCACTGATGCCTGTGCATTCCTGGGGTGAGGGTTCCTAGCTATCTTCAGATTCCCTGAGCTCTTGATGAGCCTGAGACCTGTTGAGAAGCAGAGTTCTGGGTAATCTCCGAAGTTCCTCTTACCACTCCCTTCCTCATTCATCACCATCTTCCTCCCAGTCCCTCTCTCTTGATAGTGGTTTTTTATGCCTTAAAACTGTAAAAAATAATGCTGTTCCACCGTGCAGAGAACTCACAACTTACAAATGGTTTGGGTTGCACTCATCCATTTGTAAATCAGGTGTTTAAGATGTAGGAACACACTTCCCCCAAAGAAACATGATTATAAATGAGGGTTGTTTGCAATGAAATATAAGAGGTAACAGTATTATTACAGACACATAATATTTCAGATATGTGGTGGGTTCAGTAGGTTTTTGTGCGTTATATTAGGAAGGAAATCCACCTCAATTCCCAGCACACAGCAGGTGCTCAGTAAGAGCTTGCCGGTTGAATAAATGAATGGGCAAACGTGGACTGTGTGTGCTGACTCCTGAGGGGCGGGTTGAGGCCTGAAGGAATACAGGGGACAGAACAAGGAGGGGATTGGGGGCAAGGGAGGGGGGAGGAAGATGCCCCTCTACCCCCTGACCACCATTACCAAACATGTCCTCAGGAGCTTGATTCTCAGCAGCTGGCTCTGGGGGCAGCTTCTCTGCCAGGCCCAGGCCGCCTTAGCCCTGGTACTGCAGAGTTCACCTTGTGCCTGCCAACTTAGGATGAAGGGGTGTTGCCCCAGCCACATTAGCACCCCTGCGTGGAGCTGGCAGCCAAGGGCTGAGGTTGTGGGGGGCACCTGGGCCCCCTACCCCATGCTGTTGAGCCATTGCTTACATCTCATGGTACTTACATCGTTATGTTATTACCTGTGGCCTGCAGGTAGCACCATCTGGCTGGAGGGGGGCACCCCCCCCATGGATGCCCTTCAGGTGAGTTTCTCCTGTGCCTGCCTGGGCGCCAGCTGATCTGAGATGCCGCAGTGAGTATTGGGGGCTCTGAGGGTTTCGCCTCCAGGGTGACTCTACCCGTGCCAGCCCTCCTCCTGCCCACCCCAGGGCTGGTCAGTGCAGGTGCCTGTCCTGGTGCCAGAGCTCAGCCCAGAGGCAGGGTCCAGGAATGGGCTGTGAGGGGTGGCGAACTTGCCCCTCCCCTCCCCCAGGTGCTGTCCCTCAGCTCCATTGTTCTTGGGAGTGAAAGTCCAATAGAATTTTTTTTTTAAGTGAGCATGTATATTTATTGTAGAAAAATCGGGAAATACAAAAGTAAACTATAAAAAAGGGAATAAAAATTACTCTTAATCCCGTCCTCAAAATGAGATTAACATCTTGGGGTGTTTCCTTCTAGTCTTTTTTTCCTATGACTTTACACACACACACACACACACACACACACACACACTACATATGTACACATGTGTATTTTTAAAATCAGATTTGGATACTAACGTGTTTCATTATACTTTTTTATTTAAACATTTTTCCATTTCCTAAGCACTCCCACAGTGTGGTTTGTAATGATTGGTAGTCCATCACATGCATATGTTATTTATCTAGCAAATCCCCAGGAAAATCGCGTCATGTGTCCAGTGTTTGCTGTTAGGTATGACACTGAAGAGGAATTTTTGTGGCATCTCTCATGATTTCCTTAATTCTATAATTTTTTGCACTAAAGGCTTTCTTGCTTAGATCCCTCTGTAAGGCTGGAGCCTTGCCCATTTGGTCACTTTATGCCTCAGTTTCCCCAATTTGAGTGGCTGTTGGGATGTTCTGAGGGTGATTGAAATGATACAATGTTGAACATTAGATACCTCCATCTGTTGCAAATGTGGGGAGGGGACCTCTCCCCGTCCACTCCCCATCCACGAGTGTTTCCCTGCCTTCTCGGTCCTCTGTGCCACCACCCAGCCCCTCTGCCCCTGCCCACTGCCCTGCTTGGCACCCGGGCCAGACTCTGGGCAGAAAGGCCCAGGAGCAGCTGAGGGAGAGGGGCAACAGCGAAACTGGAGCTGCGAGGGCAGGTTCAGCAGAGTGCAGGAATTTAAAAACTGGAGTTTCTTGGAGCTAAAAATGATTATTTCTTGTGGTTCACAGATAGGGCCGCAATGGGTGGGTCCAACTTAGGGATCCCACCTCTCACTGCAGCTCTTCTTCCTCTGTAGATAGCAGAGGACACCCTCCAAACACTGGTTCCCCACTGCCCTGTGCCTTCCGGCCCCAGAAGGATCTTCCTGGATGCCAACGTGAAGGAAAGCTACTGCCCCCTAGTGCCCCACACCATGTACTGCCTGCCCCTGTGGCAGGGCATCAACCTGGTGCTCCTGACCAGGGTAGGAGAGCCCCTCACCCTGCCCTGATGATGCTTAGGGTTGGCACGTCTTCCCCAGGGGCAGCCCCGTTCACCCGCCTCTCGGCCCTTACCCTCAGAGCCCCAGCGCGCCCCTGGCCCTGGTTCTGTCCCAGCTGATGGATGGCTTCTCCATGCTGGAGAAGAAGCTGAAGGAAGGGCCGGAGCCCGGGGCCTCCCTGCGCTCCCAGCCCCTCGTGGGAGACCTGCGCCAGAGGATGGACAAGTTTGTCAAGAATCGAGGGGCACAGGAGATTCAGGTGAGACCCAAGTTCCAGTCCTCCCCACCTGGGGAAGAGGCAGGGCTGGCAGCAGGGTACATCCGGTCCACAGCAGCTGAGGGGCCAATGGGCCTGGGTTCCTGTCCGGGCTCCACCTCCCCCGGGCCTACGATCCTTGTTTTCCCTATTATGAAATGATATTGAAAACTTAGCTGCTTTTTGGTTTTCAGAATCTTTTTATGTGTGTTTGGCAGAATACGAATTATAATTCCCCTTTTTTAGGTGTGGAAACTAAGGCTTAGACAAGTTTTAACTTGGCCAAGATTATGCAGCTCATGAGCAGTGGAGCCAGAGCCCGGATGCAGTGAGCAAGTGCAGTCGGGATCCGCCCGTCACGGGCTTCCTCTCTGCAGCGGGGCTGTGTCCCCGGGCTCACAGGGCAACACAGGGATGTGCAGGTCACGGCTCCACCCCACCCCCAGTGAGCTTAGGGCCCAGGTGGGGAGCTGAGACCAGGAGACAGGTGAGAATGTGCAGGCAGTAGAAACAGTCCATCACCCCGTGCTCTGACAAAGCCCAGATCAGGGCCTGGACGGCAGTGGGGCTGGTGGGGCTTGACTCTGGATTTAAGCAGTGGAGGCGCCTGGTGTTTGAGGAGCTGGGACCCATTGTGGCTGGAGTGCCTGTCAGTCTGAAGGCTGCAGGATTGGCTGGAGGAGGCAGTGCCACATCCCGCAGTGCCTCAGGGTGTCCTAAGGAGCACTTTCACTAGAACACCAAGTTCTTCTGCTTTATAGAGATCCCGTGAGGCCGCCCCCTGCATGGCTACCCCATGCCCACCCCATACCCTCCCAGCTTCTGCAGCAGCACCTCCTCCGCACACCCCAGCCGCTGCCCTGTGTGTGCCCCCCACCCCGAGGGGCTGGCCTGGTTGCTGTGACGGTGCTACTATGTGTGCCTGTGCCCGTCAGACAGCGAGCCCCTGGAAACTGCCCTTTAAATAAACGCTGCTGAGTGACTAGAACATGGCACACTGAAGTCTGCAGGGGGCTGGTGGGGCCTGCCAGGGTAGCCTGCATTGGCCAGAAGGGCAGATTTGTCTGGGGGCCCTGTGCCCTCTCAGAGCCTGATCTGAGAAGGACTTTGGCCTGGACCTCACTGGAAATATGGTCGGGATGCAAACCTGCCCCCTGTCTTCCTTCCAGAGCACCTGGCTGGAGTTTAAGGCCAAGGCTTTCTCCAAAAGTGAGCCCGGATCCTCCTGGGAGTGAGTGGTGGGCCTCAGGACAAGGGGTGGGTCGTGTGCCCAGGGGACTGTTCCCTGGGAGGCCACATCTCCTCCACCACTGCCCTTCATTTATCAGCAAAATAATTTCAAGAAAGGAGATTTCTTCCCACATACGTGGAGCACCGCGTGGAGAAGCTGGGAAGCTCCTTCCCATTGCCTGATCAGCTGTGGCTGCCCCCTTAGGTCTTTCCATCTGTCTGTCCTGGGTGCAGGAGCAGGGTGGTCCACCTGGGAGTGAGGGGCTCCCCAGGTTGGTCTGTCCTGGGTACAAGAGTGGGGTGGTCCACAAGGGGGAAGGGCTCCCCAGGTCTGTCTGTCCTGGGTGCAGGAACAAGGTGGTCCACACAGGGCGAGGGGCTCCCCTAGGTCCCTTCTGCTGTAATGCCCTCCTCTCTCGTGCTCAGGCTGCTCCAGGCATGTGGGAAGCTGAAGCGGCAGCTCTGCGCCATCTACCGGCTGAACTTTCTGACCACAGCCCCCAGCAGGGGAGGCCCACACCTGCCCCAGCACCTGCAGGACCAAGTGCAGAGGCTCATGCGGTAAGTGCAGTGCGGCCCCCTGGGTGGCCAGGGCAGGGTCTGGGGCCCGTACTTCCTTCACGCAGCCCGAGCTTCCCTCGGCAGGGAGAAGCTGACGGACTGGAAGGACTTCTTGCTGGTGAAGAGCAGGAGGAACATCACCATGGTGTCATATCCTGACGCCGGGGCCCCAGCCAGCCCAACAAGCCTCTTGGATCTGCTGCCTCTACACCTGCTCCCTGGAGGGACTATGGGCCCCAGGGAAGGGGGATATATGTTCCACCCCATCAGCTGCTCACCACCTCTCTGAAGGAAAATAATGGGACATAGTGGCCCATGTGCCTTGTCTATAGGAATACTTCAAGCTGAAATTTCAGGAATTCCTCCTGTCCCAAAGTTAATTCACAAAAGCCATAAAGACCCTTTATGTCAGTGTTGCCCAGCTGGCAAAATGGTAGTAGGTATTCCACGAGGGGTGGGGACCGGGGGGGGGGTTCCTGTGGTCTAGTTTGGTTGAAAGGGCCGTTGTCCTTCTTAGATCATGACAGTGCACAGTGGCATGTAAAAGCTCTAGAAGGCCTACGGCAAATGTTTATCCCTGTTTCAGAAGCCATTCCTAAGACTATTTGACCCTTTTATTATGGAACACTAATTTTATCGAATACTGATTTTCCATGAAAATTCATGTAAAGCAGCTTTTCCCATATCATCTCTGAAATGTCCAGCCCCCAGTCTCCTGAGGCAGGTCCTCAGTGGGCAGGTGAAAGGATGCCAGAGGGCCTCTTTAGCCACCAGCTGCTGCCCTTCTATGGATGTCTCTTCCCCTCCCAAATGGGAGCCTTCCAAACTCTCATGATGAAGTGTAAGGGTTTAGCAAGATCACAGTGAGGTGCATAGGCTGGGCAGTCAGCTAGGCTCACTCATGAACCAAGTGGCTGTGCTCACACTCCAGCCTCACGTGTGTCTGACTTAAATTCATCCCTCATGAAAATGATGCATACCATGTTCCTGTAGGGCCAGAACTGCCCGTGTCAAATGTGCAAGTGTTGAGGATCTTACAGCTTTTCAAGGCCTGGGGAGCTTGGAGGTAGTGGGGGATCTGAGGAAGCAAGGATACAGGGGGCTTAGCTGAAATGGAAGCTGCTGGAAAGAGGCAGTCCTGGCCCTCCTGCCACCATGACTGGGCACAGCTAGAAGCCCAGGACAGAGGCAGGCCGTCCCTAGCTCCTGGCTTGTAAGCACCTTAACTCAGACCTTCACCTACCTAGAAGACTTCCCAGGCTTGGTGCACTTCATCTATGTGGACCGCACCACTGGGCAGATGGTGGCGCCTTCCCTCAACTGCAGTCAAAAGACCTCGTCGGAGTTGGGCAAGGGGCCGCTGGCTGCCTTTGTCAAAACTAAGGTAACCATTTGGACCCAGGGCGGGGATGGGTGGGCCTCAGCCAATATTGGGTAGCCCTTCCTGGTGTGATCCACATGCCTGGGGCTAGCAGAGTGCGCTGGGCAGCAGGCCCAAGGAGGCAGTGGCCAGTGCCGGCATAAATAAATGCTCGACAAGTATTTGTTGAATGAGCTAGAATGGAGAGAACGGCAAGGTCCATCAGTTGGGCATCAGAATTTAAAACAAGGTGATTTCTGTTAAGGAAGCATTCCCTGGAAATTCTTTTATTCTCCTTATTTAACTGACTGTTTTTCATGACAAAGTTGTATTTTTGATAGGGGGAGGACCCCTGCCACTCTCCAAAAAAACTATACGTGTGTGTGTGTGTGTGTGTGTGTGTGTGTGTGTGTCTGTGTGTGTGTGTTCTTTTCTTTCTTTGTTTTGGTGGGGGAGGCAAGTAAAGTGTATTCTAATGTTTAAAACAAGATGGGAAGATGGGTGGTGGAGGCATGTGTTGGAAGCCCAGCCCCGTCTCCCACCAGTTATGTGGCTTTGGGCAGTACTTAGCCCAAGGGTCAGTTTCCTCATCTGTAGAAGGAAATAATAGTGCTATTTACATCACAGAGTTATGAAGAGTACATGAGAGGATACGTATCAAATATTTAGCATAGCACGTAGCACAAAATACAGATACAGTTCATTCAGTACTTACTGGTGGCATCATCATCACCATCTTCATCCTTGCCCCTCATTCTGGAGACAGTTGGGGTTATCTTGGTACGTTTCTTTCTGTTGGTTTTCTGTGCAGTTTGTTGTAGTTGAGATCACTCTGTATGTGCAACTTTGCTACCATGTTTTCATTTCACATTATATCAGATGCTTTCCCTCATGCCATTAACTCTTTATAGACATGATTTTTAGCAGCTCCATAATAGTCCATCATGTGAATGTAACATAATTTATTGAACCATTTCCCTGATGTTTAGACATACAGATTATTTCTAGGCTTTTGCTGTTATAAATAATTCTGCAGTATACACCTTGCATACATCTGGGTCCCCATCTCTGATTATGTCCCCAATATGGATTCCTAGAAATGGAATTATTAAGTCAGATGGGAGGAATGTTTTTAAGATTATTGATGGATGTTGTCAAATTACTTTCCTGAAAAGTACAGTCAATCCATGGCAGATTTAATGAGTAATCACACGGCGATGCAGTTTGGAGCAGATCGCCTGTCCCTCCCGTTAAGGGTAGAGGAGAGGGCTCCTCGAGTCTCTTCCCAGCCCTGAGAGGTGGCAGAGAGCCCACTGTCCCTGCTGCCTTCCCTGGGGCACTTCACCGGCAGCACTGGTGACAGTCCCTGCGTCAGGCAGGAGGACATTCCCAGGGGAGCTAAGGCACGTGGTTTCTCAGGCCCTGTGTTTCCATCTGACCCCTTGGTGAACTCTGATTTGGACTTCCCCCCTGGCTCAGCACATCCTACAGGGTCACTCACCTGTGCCATCAGTTCCCAGCCTGAAGGGCACTAGGTGAGTGGGCGACCCCAGGCAGAGGAGGGGATTCAGGAGACCACACCTTGTTCTCCTGTGTTCATTAATGATGTCCCTGGCTATTCTCTGGCCTGAATGATCATTTCACTAATTTATTTTTTTTTTAATATTATTATTTTTTGAGACAGGGTCTCACTTTGTCACCCAGGCTAGAGTGCAGCGGCACAAGCACAGCTCACTGCAGCCTCGACCTCCTGGGCTCAAGCGATCCTCTCATCTCAGCCCCCCAAATAGCTGGGACTACAGGTGTGTGCTACCACACCCGGCTAATTATTTTGTATATTTTGTAGAGACAGGGTTTTGCTATGTTGCCCAGGATGGTCTCGAACTCCTGAGCTCAAGCAATCCACCTACCTCAGCCTCCCAAAGTGCTAGGATTACAGGCGTAAGCCACCACACTAGCCCAGTTCACTAATTTATGGCATATGTGTATAGTAAAGTTACACAAAGCTTTTTTACATATATTTTGCCCCCACGCTAACTGGAGGGTAGTCCATCCATCCAATAATGATTTATTGTTGAGCCTCCTGCTCTGAGCCAAGGCAGTGCCCGGGTACTAGGAGAGGCCCCTGGCACTCACGGAGCTTCTCGGCTGTGCCCTTTCCTTCCTTCGGAGGTGAGAGCTGCCCAGGCAGACCAAGGCTGGGAGAGTGGTGATGCTTGCTGTCTTTTCCCCAGGTCTGGTCTCTGATCCAGCTGGCGCGCAGATACCTGCAGAAGGGCTACACCACGCTGCTGTTCCAGGAGGGGGATTTCTACTGCTCCTACTTCCTGTGGTTCGAGAATGACATGGTAGGTGAGGCTGAGTCCCTGGGCCAGGACGGGCCACACACACTTCCCGCTCTGTAACTCTTGGATTCCTTTCTTCTGAATTGTTGTCTGTCTGTCTCATCTTCTCTTCTTGTTGCTGGTAAGCCCAGCAGGTTGGGAGCCAGAGTTCAGAGGTCACATTTTCACATGGGCGTTTAACTGCTTTGTGATCCCTCTGCCCAGCTGTCTGGCAAACTCTTGCCATTGTCCACGTGGCATCCAGGCACACATGTGAGCAGAAAGGCACATGCCCCACTGTGAGAAATGCGACTCAGACCACACACTTTGTCGCTAGTGCTTCCATGTCGCCAGCGTCACATGCCAAGTGTGGCACATGGTCATCCCTGTGGCATAGGCCCCTGAACTCAAGAGCATAGGCCCCTGCTTGAAGCAGTGAGCCAGGCTGCCTGAGGAGACACTGGTGGTGTGGCTCGGGGCCCTGGCCTCCAGGCCCTGCACTGCTTCTTCTGGGCCTCACTGTTACTGCAGAGTAGGGTCCAGTGGGGGGAGCTTACTATCATTGTGTCTCCATCCATACAACGGGGTCAGGGATCCCTGCCCCAGCCACTGCACAGGGCTGTGAGGGGTGCAGTGGCTGGGACTCCTCTCCTCCTGTCTCTCCCTCCTCTCTGTCTTTTCCCTTTCTTCGCTTTCCTCCTGTTTCTCTTTTATTTGCATCTCGCTTGTCACCATAAGTGGTTGTTCCAGCTCTCAGGAGTGGTTGTTCCAGCTCTCAGGAGTGTTCCTCCTCCCTCGCAGCCCTTGGTCTCTGGGTCCCTGCACTCCTGTGCCTTCCCCTGCCCCCACCCTGCACTCTTTGTTCACTGAGGGTGACAGCCATCCCTTTCCATAGGGCAGGGCGGTTACTGGGGCTCTCCACCACTGTTCTCTCAGTTACCCCCTCACAGCCCTGTAAAGTGGCTGGGGCAGGGATTCCTGACCCCGTTGTACGGATGGAGACACAATGATCCGGAGATCAGACGCCATGGCCAGGGCCACCGAGGCTGTAAGTGAGGAAGCCGGAGCCCAAGCTCTGCTCCCCCGGCCTGCAGGCTCCCAGCTTTCCTCCGTGCCCTCAGAAGTGCCCAGGACGTGTGTACAACAGAAGTGCTAGAAAATTCCTGTGACCTTTACCTTCACTTCTAGGGAGGGACAGGAGTCTGTGTGCTTGGGTGGCCCCGTGGGGTGATAAAGTGAGGCAGAGCTGTGGGCTGGAGAGGCCAGGTTTGAATGCCAGCCACACAGCCCAGCCGGTGCCGTGGGGGCAGCCCTGCACACTAGGGAGTCCACTCCCCCTGCAGGGCAGGCCACGGTGCCCAGGCAAGCATCAGCTAAGTGCCATGTTCATGCCTGGCACACACGGCACGTCCAGCAGATCTTAATTCCCTTCCCCACCTTATCCCACCCTGGGAATTCCCAATTCTTTCAGAGCAGAGGCTTGGGCCTTTTGTGAATGCTCTGCTCTTCAAGACCTGTATGACAGCCCTGCAGGGTGCCCTCCTGAGCGTGTGTTTGTGGCCTGTACAGGTCCAGGTATTGACGGTAATGAGAGCTACCCTGCCGGCCCTTGAAGCTTTGTATACTTTTTCTCTAATGTTCATAAGGTGACTGTTGTCATTCTGACTTCAAAGATGAAAAAACAAGGTCCAGGCATTTTCCCAAGCACCCAGCGCACATGACAGAGCCAAGCCAGGCCGCAAGCCCGGTGCGTCTGACTCAGGCCCTTGCACTACCCCCACACCCACTGCCTCCCTGTCCTCCCTCCTCAGGGGTACAAACTCCAGATGATCGAGGTGCCCGTCCTCTCCGACGACTCAGTGCCTATCGGCATGCTGGGAGGAGACTACTACAGGTGACGCTGCGTTGGGAGCCACTGGGGACAGATGCCCCCATTTGGGTGATAAGTGCTCGCCTCTGCCGGGAGCAGCTTCTGCTTCAGCAGTGCCCTACCTCAGACCCAGAAATCCACGCTGGGAACACCTTCCCGGCTGGCCCTGTGTGCAGCGAGGGAGGACGGGTGTGGAGGGTACATCTGTGTTCCTACCACCTTCCTGCTGGCATGGTCTTGGCAGCACGGGGAACGTCTGTGCCCGGCCCAGAACATCCCCACTGCTACCTCGTAGCCAGGATGCCACTGTTAGGTCAGTGAGGAACCGGAGCGGTTGTCAAGGCCCACATGCAGGGGCCTAGTGAGATGACCGAGGGCATGGGCATTTGCTTGCGAGGGCCCAGAGAGGCCTCTGGCGCTGGAGGAGTGCCACAGCCTCACTCCTGAATCCCATCCTCCCCTTCCTCCCCAGGAAGCTCCTGCGCTACTACAGCAAGAACCGCCCAACCGAGGCTGTCAGGTGCTACGAGCTGCTGGCCCTGCACCTGTCTGTCATCCCCACTGACCTGCTGGTGCAGCAGGCCGGCCAGCTGGCCCGGCGCCTCTGGGAGGCCTCCCGTATCCCCCTGCTCTAGGCCAAGGTGGCCGCAGTCTGCCTTTGCATCCTGTCCTCCAGCCACCCTTGCTTGCCACTGTTCCCCATGACGAGAGCCTCCTGTCTGCAGTGGCCATCCTGAGGATAGGGCAGAGTGCCCAGGGTGGCCCCAGGGCTTCTAAAACCCCACCTAGACCACCCTCCATGTCAGGTACTGAGCAAGGCCCCAGATCCTTCTCTCTGGAGGAAGAGGGAAGCCCAGGGGTCCTGTTTGTAAAACAACGGTGGCAACAGCTCCTCTTCCAGAGCTGCCTCTGCCTTTATCCTGGGAGATGGGGAGGAAGCCCCATCTCTGCTGTTCCCTGCGTGGAGGAAGCCCACCCAGCAAGCTCTCTCCTACCCCAGGTAAAAGGTGCTCCTTTGCCTGGGTTTGAATTCCAGCGCTGCCACTTCCTCTCTGCACCTCCTGGCAAGTTTCTTCTATTCCCCACGTTTAAAGCGATGGCACCTCCGTCCCAGGGTGGTGTGAGGATTACCCAGTGTGGTAGGTGCTCAATAAATGTTGGTCATTGTTATCACTGAAGCCCAACATGCTAGTGCTTCTAGACCCTTCTGTCAGTGCTGATAAGCCCTTGCTAAGTCCCAGCCCCTTCATGCTTGGCTGGCGTCTGCCCTAGGGCTGGGGTTCTCAAGCCCCTGGCCCTGGCCCAGAGATTTGGATTCCCTTGGCGGCCGTGGAGCCCAGCCTTTGATGTCTTTCAAAGCTTCTGTGGTGCGCCCTGGATTGAGAACCACCACCCGAGGGGTACAGCCCCTCTCTTCCAACCGAGAAGTTCCTGTCCCAGAATGGACCCAGGGACAAGAGACCCTGAGAGCCCTGGGACTGGGAGTGTCTGCTCCTCTGAGGCCAGGAGGCCGGTGCTGGGCCAGAGAGGACGGCGTGGCGAAAGTCAGCGTCCACTGCAGCACAGGATCAGATGGCCGTGTGCTGTGCATGCAGGAGCCTCGCCTTCTGTGTCTTTAGTCTTGAGCCAAAATTTGCTCAAAGACTGATCTCTTCCTTGCAGGGAACAGCTTTGGGGCTGGGGGAACTAGAACCCACATGTTGGTCTAAACCCTGAGAAGGTGGCAGTGAGGAAGTATCCCCTCAGGTGACTGGATCTGTGTTCCTCCTTAACATCATCTGATGGAATGGCAATGAAAAGCGTGGATTGTGGAAAATACAGAAAAACATAAAGGAAAAAACTCCAATCCCCTGAGCCCACCACTGTTCAGGACCCCTGCTTTTGTCACCTACTATTTCCCTTTAGTTTTTAGCAGCGGCTGGATGTGATATGTCTAGTTTAACCAGTCCCCTTGATCTTTCTATATAATAAATAACACAGGAGTGAACATCCTGAATCAGATCTTAGCAGAGATGCTCACATGCGGGGTAACTGTCCATGGTGTGTGGAGGGGTCCTCGGAACCCCCTCTTAGGATCATCTCCACATACTCTCCCAGTTCTGAGATTCGTTACCAATAGCAGGTTTCCGTCACACTGCGATATCAGAGCAGTGCAGGAACTCTCCGCTCCAAGGGGTTTTTTCCTCCTAGGGGAACACTCTGCTAAGTAATGGGCAGAGAACAAAGGGGCTCCTAATTCAAGGCAGGCCTAAGGGAGGGTCAGAAAGAACTTTAGCTGGAGGTATTTACAGATGTGACCTCGAATCCTTGGGGATTCTTGGAAAATGGGCAAGGTGCCAAAAGAGGAGAACTGGCCAGGCCTTCAAAACTAAAACACCAGAGAATTACAGACAGCGAACTTGCCCCTAAGCCCTCGTTGTGGGTTTGTGTTTGAGCATTTAGGAGAGGACTCCAGTGCTCCTCAGCGACAGACACAGCTGCCTCTGCGGTGTCTGAAGGCCCTGGTCGTGGTGACGCTAGATGGCCGCCCTGGGCGCCTCCTGTGGGCGTAGAGGCATCACCACTCTGCACTGGCAGACTCAGCATGGAGTTGGAGCAGAGTCTGACACGAGCACTTGCCATCCCAGGCGTTTCAGTTCTGACTGAGAAGGTAGATGCACAGGGGAGGAGAGGGCCCTTTCGAGCTCCACTCTGCCTCCACCACTCATTCCCTAACCCCGCAGCCTCAGCGCCCTCATCTGTAAAATGGGGAGTTTTGCCTACAGGGTTCAGCACAATGCCAGCCTGACATAGGAACCCCAGTGGATTGTCAGTTTTGCCATTATCCCCTGCATCCTGGAGGTGACACCGCCTGGTTAATAGGCAACACTCCCGACGGCCCAGCACAGCCCCAGGGCAGCAGGAGGCTGGCCTGTGGCCAAGAATGCATGGTGGAGGGGGCCTGGAGGGGGACTGCAGCTCCTCCTCTTCCTGCTTCCTCCCTGCTCCACCCCGTGCCTAGGGCAGCACAAAAGCCAATCGCTAGCAAACTCCCTGCCTAGCAAGGCCCAGCCTGGGGCAGAAATGGCTGCAAGTGGCCGAGGTCTCTGCAAGGCTGTGGCCGCCTCTCCCTTCCCGGCGTGGAGACGAGATAACACGGAAGCCAGGGGAGGTCTGAAGCCTGAGTATGATGCGGTGGTGATAGGAGCAGGTAAAGTGGTAAAGCAGGCCGGGCCAGAGCTGAGGGGCGGGAAGACAGCCCTGCTCAGAGCTTGGTGGGGAGGGGGAGGGGGAGCCAAGCCCCACTGCTCTCTCCTCTGGCATAACCCAGCCAGAAGTTTATACGCTAGCAGGGGCTGCAATGGAAAGCCCTTCCATCTGGCAGGCAGGCACCTGGGATTCCGGTGCTGGCTCTGCTGTGTGGCCTGGGGCAAATGCTTGCCTTCTCTGGGCTTGGATCTTCCCATGGAGAATGACAGGAAGACTAGGTGAGCTCAGGGGTTTCCCTATATCTCTTGCAAAGTGACCTAGTTTCCACCACATTCTCAGCCTATGGTTTGTAAGGGTTGGAAAGAGCCCTGGGCCAACAGACAAGTGAAATCCAGCACCCCGCCCCCTCAGTGCCCTGAGTTCTGGTCACCACTACCTTACCACTGAGGCCACCCCTCGTCACAAGAAACTGCAGTCATTTCATAAAGGCCAGTTAGGATAAAACAGAACTGAGTCCCAGAGTTCCTACTGCGTGTCTGCAGAGGGAGATGGACCCCATTGCCTTGCAGCTCTGGGACATTTGGGGATCTGCAGTGATCTGCCACACTTTGCCAACCCCTGGGCTCAGAGTATCACAGTCTACTGGGTGCTAGGGGAAGAGGCAGGCCCAGGACCAGGTGGTCTTTCCTTAGTGCCTTCCTTTCACACTTGCAGAGGGCCCCAAATGCATGATTGCCAACTGGGTCTATACAGAGATAATGACGGGACCGAAAGCAGACGGCACTCAACATGCAGCTTTGAGGGCATGCCTTCATTTTCATATGTACTAGAGCAGTTGCGAGCTGGTAGATACTCAACACTCACCTCTCCAGGGAAAAATGTGTGATGTATGTGTGTGTGTACATGTATATATATGTATATATACACACATATATGTGTATATATATGTATATGTGTTACGTACATATATATACACATATACACATGCTTATTTTAAATATTGAAATAAAAGATACACTGCACACAATTTTACAAATAAAGATACAATACTCTCAATTTAAATGCAGTCTACCCGAGTGATTCTTACCAAAGGCTTTCTTTGATTTTTGCCAAACTCAGTAGCCAACCTATAGTTGCAAATGACAAATGAGGGTAGCTCCAAAGAGAACGGTGCTCCATATTTTCTGTAAAGAGTAGGATGATCGTGAAACAAATGAAACAACAAAGATTTATGTCCCAACCTTACTCCTTTATTTTTTAAAATTTATTTTTATTTTATTTATTTATTCATTTATTGAGATGGAGTCTTGCTCTGTTGCCCAGGCTGGAGTGCAGCGGCGCAATCTCGGCTCACTGCAACCTCCGCCTCCTGGGTTCAAGCGATTCTCTTGCCTCAGCCTCCCGAGTAGCTGGGACTACAGGCGCCCACCACCACGCCCGGCTAATTTTTGTATTTTTAGTAGAGACGGGGTTTCACCATGTTGGCGAGGCTGATCTCAAACTCCTGGCCTTGTGATCCACCTGCCTCAGCCTCCCAAAGGGCTGGGATTACAGGTGTGAGCCACTGCGCCCGGCCTCCTTCTTTAAATGACAGGAATGATGTTACTCAAATAAGATAATATTGTTCTAATACTAGAATATTTCCTTCAATTTTTGTGCTATTTATTCATGCTATAACAGCTAACACTGTTAGGTTTAATCTGCATTATTAGCATTTTCCCATCACTTTCTTAAGCCTGACCACAAAAAATAAATTCAGCCCTTCTGTGTAATATTTGCTGATGACAGTGGTGTAAATACTCCCACCATAGCCTTTTCTGTTACCAAGATGAGGTTGCTCAATGTGATTTAGGAGAGATACCCAGTAGCACATCATTGTATAGTGTGTCCACCATGCAGATATGTACATAGAGGCCAGTGACTGCCAGGGCATGGGCAACAGTCAAATGTAGTAAAACAAATAGGAGGTAGTGTGTTTTGAGTATTTATTACCTTTGTTTTTAATTTATTTAATTGTAAGCTTATATAATTTAGTTTATATCAATGGCTGTTTGACAGCCGGCTCACAAACTCCCCGGGCTGGTGGGAGCCATCTCCAGCACCTCACTTAGCCTCAGAGAAGCCCCCTGCCTCCTTCCGTGCTCAGCCACAGCTCACCCTGCTGTCTCCTAATGGGGAAGGTTGACTTTAGGTCACCAGCTGCCTTGGTGACTTGCCTACAAGTGCGAGTGAGTCTCAGTGTGTGAGCTTTTCCTTGACATGATTTCTTTAGTTGCTAAACATACCATAAAGCCTGGTTTAAAGGCATCTTGGGCCTCAGTGAGGAACAGAACGGCATCTTCTGAGACAAGGGTTACCTCTGAGTCCCTGAAGGCACACTGGCACCTGGCCGCCACCTTGAAGATGAATCTCATTTAGTCATTTGACTAAATGTGCCTGAGAGTGACTGAGGGGGCTTGTTAAAATGGAGATTCCTGGCCCCATACCTGGTGACGAGCATTCTGAGGGCGGGAGGTGTCTCCCAGAGGTCAGCACATCCACCCAACCAACACTGCCTGATGCAGGCAGCTGCAGAGCCCACGCCCAGAGCAGCTCCTCAAGGGCCCAGGCGCCTGCTATGGGGCCCCTGAGGCAGGTCTGGGGATTAGCAGAGCCCGCAGCTGAAGTCCTCTTCAAGGGAACAGAGGTGTCACCAGAAGCCAAGGAGGGCTCAGCCAGGACTTGAGGGTGGTCACTGGGAGGGGGTCTTGTGCTTTGGATCCTTGACCTTACTCATTTGAGGTCTGCCATGATTGAACTGGACCCAGTTGCCTGGAAGACTATGAGTTTTCCAAGATCGATCATCAGCACCAATTAAAAGACAAATAGCTCCCATTTATCTCATCCTTGCCACACTGCAGGGTCCCTGGCACCCTCTGTTCCCCATGTGAAGAAACTCAAGGCTCAGGGCAGCTGATGACTCTCTGAGGTCATGCCCTGGCAAATAGCAGAGGCTGGGCTGAGCCCAGGACTGTCTGCCTTTAGTTTGCTGCATGTCTTTGAGAGACAGATTCCATCTGTTCATGAGTCCCACTGGCGGATTGTTTAAACTTTCTTATGAACATTTTCAAAAGCCCATACAAATAAAGAGTATGTCAACCAGCACTTTTTAAGATGAACTGTAACCAACTAGCTTCTCACATGCTTCTCATATGGTAAGAGTTAATTTTAGCTCATGAAACTTTTGGTTCTGTGAAACACCTGCTGAACAGACTCCTGGGAAGGGGGTCTGTGGGAGTCGACATTTATACAACCTTCCAGGTGATTCTGAGCTTATCAGAGCTGGAGAGGCACTTGCTACCCAGGGGCTTGGTGTGGAACGTGAGATGCCAAAGCCAAATTCAGGCCTCTCAGCTCAAGGCACCCTGAAGCACAGCTAGTCACTCCAGCACATGTTGAAGCTGTGCATGTTTACTTCATGTTGAACTGTTCATGTTTTATTTTTGGAACACTGGGGATTGGCAAAAAAAAAAAAAACCCATGTGAATAAAGCCTTCTAGGGCACCACTGTGCCGATTGTGAACCACACGTGGACAAAACAAGCCGCGCTTGATAGCAACTACCTACATGACCAGCACTCCCCTGGATGCTGATGCTGCCATGCGAGACGGGACGTTGGCGCAGCAGCATGCCAGCCACCCATTGCTTCTCCTGCTTGCCAACTCAACCGTGCTGCTCCCTCAGACACCATCACTTGCGCCTCCCAAGCAATGGAAGCCCTGGCGATGCTCTCATGAGCCCCTCACTCCAGCAGAGCCCCTGACCAAGCCAGGGGAGCAGGACTTTTCCAGCCAAGGCAAGAACCAGGGTTTTCTGACTCCTTGAAGATCTGGTGTTTCATGGAGTTGAACTAGATGCTGTTCCAACATCTGAGTGCGGGAAGGGGAGGGGAGGGTCACCAAGGATCTTCATGGCATGGGGACGGGCAGCGGGGAGCACATTCCTCAAGGACTGTCTGTCTGCCCGCCCGCTGACCAGTGATGTTTTCCTTCCCTGTCCCGTTTTGTTGCAGGACACAACGGACTGGTGGCTGTGAGTACCTCCCCACTTGATCCCACTTCACTGGCCCTGGGCGTGTGGCTCTCAGCAGCCTGGGAAGGAGTGTGAAGAAGCAGGTGGGATAAGGGCCTTGAGAGAGAAGGAAAAGGCAGCCTAGTCGATGCTCTCTGCTCTCCAGTGCTGACTGGGGGCTGGGTCGAATGCTCATCTGCAGCCAGCTGTGGACATCACAGGCTCCTTTCCTCCCCTTCCCCTAATGGGGAAAGGTGGTTTCCCCATGGCCTGTGAGGGAGTCAGGGAGCTTCCAGAAACAAGCTGACAAGGTGGGGAAGCATGTAACCAACACAGCATGAGAGCAGGTGGGAACCAGGGGATTGGGCACCTGGGGCGGGGTGGGGGCCCTTGACTCCAGATCATAGGCAGCCCTTGTGTCTAGAGCCCTGTGTTCCCAGCCAGGTCCAGGCCAGGTACCACCTTGGAGTACATAGCTGCTATGTGGCCAAAGTGTGCCCTGGAGACATTGAGGAGCTCAGTCTAGCAGAAGGGCCTGTGCCCTGTCCCCAACACAACTGACTTCAAGATCCCAAACTGAGCTGGATATCCCAGAGCTATCCTTAGCTTATGCTTCTGTAACCTGAGTCCAGATACCTCCAGGAGGCCACAGAAGGCATTCAAGGCCACAAAACAAATGTGGAACATCTTCTTGAAGCAGCAGCAGCTCTAGAACATCAATATAGGGGGAAACTGTGGCTGTGCTAACGGACTGATGTTAAACCTTAATACTTTGCCTGATGTCTAAGTTTTACTTGAACATTTTACGTGCGGCATTTTGTAACTCAATGGATCAGTAATTTAAAACATTTATTTTATTTTATTTTATTTTAATTTTTTTTGAGACGGAGTTTTGCTCTTGTCACCCAGGCTGGAGTGCAATGGCATGATCTCGGCTCGCTGCAACCTCTACTTCCCGGGTTCAAGCAATTCTCCTGCCTCAATCTCCTGAGTAGCTGGGATTGCAGGCAGCCGCCATCATGCCTGGCTAACTTTTGTATTTTTAGTAGAGACGGGGTTTCGCCATGTTGGCCAGGCTGATCTCGAACTCCTGATCTCAGGTGACCCGCCTGCCTCAGCCTCTGAAAGTGCTGAGATTACAGGCGTGAACCACCACGCCCGGCCTGATTTTATATTAATATAAACAAAGATTCATCTCCCAGCTCTGCCACTTTGTGAAGGTTAAGGTGTCACTTAGCCTCTCCGAGTCACGGTAAAATGGAACAATGGCACCTGCCCTCACAGAGCTGCTGTGAAGGTAATAGATCATTTGCTGCTAGGACCTGGCACATGCAGCCTTGCCCAAATGGTGGCTGTTATTACTGGAAGTTTCCAGGCCAAGGAAGGCTGGCATCCACAGCCCTTCACCCAAAGCCCACCAGGAACACACTTGTAGTTAGTCTAGTTTGGTTTCTTGCTCTTTGCAGCGAGGGAACTCACATCAGGGGAACCTCGGGTTGCCTCAGTAGGAAGGTGTTAGAAAGAACCTAGCACAGGATTTGAGCTTTGGTGATTTGAGGGAAGGCCTACGAAAATAGGGGTTGCCACAGATTAGATACTGTCAGGAAGGAGGGACAGCCCTGCAACTGGGCAGCTCAAGAAATCTGATCTGTAGGGAGGAGAGACGAGTGTGCAGAGAGCAGTAATTGATAAAGAAGTAGCAGTCACTCATTTCAGCCAAGAGGGGTGTTCGGTATTTTCTGGATGGCACAGAGACATTGCTTTTGTTTGTGCTTGCCTCATTTTATCATAGTCTCATAGAAACCTTATTTGAGGTTGTCAATCTGTGAGATCGTTCCTGTGTAATAGGAGAATGACGCAGCTCACCTTGCGTGCCAGGCCTCAGCCACTGAGTGACAGCTGCTGTTTCTTTCTCAGTAGGTTATGATAGGAGGTTATGTTAGGAGGATAGATGCTGGTTTCACGCTGTCTGGTTTCAATTCCCAACACCTCTACTCATCAGCTCTGTGAGCCTGAGGCAAGCTGTTAACCTCATTGGGCCTCAGTCTTCTCATCTGTAAAATGGGAGAATCATAGTACCTACCTCTTGGCTGGTGGGAAAAATTAAACAAGACAATGTACTCACTGCTTCTGGCACATAATAGCTGCCAAGTGAGCTTTTTGAAAAGTCCGACTTTTGCATGGCACCATTCCTGTGGTCACAGGGCCAGCATTTTAGATCGGTAGATTCATGACCAGTTTGGTTCAACAAATATTTATTGATTTTTCCACTAAGTGCTAGAAAAAAATTAATAGAAATCCTTGCATCATTTGTTCTCCCAAAATAAAGCTCTGCTATGAACCGCTTCATTTACTGAGTACATTCTCTGTGCCAGGGACCACTTAAACCCTGTCTAGGAACCAGCTCAGTTAATCTTCACAGCAGCCTTATGAAGTGGGTAAAGCCGGGACTACTTTCATCAGCCCCACTTTTGCATGTGAACAAACTGAGGCCAGACGGATCAGGTACTGAGGCTGCAGCAGCAGAGAGAGAACGAGGGACTGAACCTGGGTGGAAGGGTCAGCATTCACAAGTTCCACCTCACTGTGCTGCGCTTGTAGGAGAAATGAGGCTGGCTCCCTGCCTGGAGGAGAGCGACATCCCAGGGCAGGGTGGCAGGAAGCAGCGTGAGTCCCCGAGGCACCAGGCCTCTAAGGAGGGAAGACCACTTTCAGCTGGGAAGTGGAGGGGCGGGAGCAGGCCTGTCGGATCTTAGAGGACATCTAGAAAAGGCGAGGGTGGAAAGGGAAGCACAGGGAAGGGCATTCCCAGAGGCAGGAACAGCATGAGCGGGGCAGGGAGGCCATGGGGTGTGGCCCATACTGGCCTATAGTGAGGACCTTAGTCTGCGGGTCAGCCCGAGGGAGCCCTGACATTTCAGAGGGATAAAGGGAGGGCCCTGTGTGCTGCCCCACTTCCCAGGCAGCGTACCTGCAGAGACTGGGGGTGAACACCGCCGTCTTCGAGAGGCGCCATGTGATCGGGGGTGCAGCTGTCACTGAGGAGATCATCCCAGGTGAGCTCTGATGTGGCATGGGGGAGTGGAGGGCAGTGACTCAGGGTGACAGTCTCCATCCCTGCTGACCCCGGGTGACGGTCTCCATCCCTGCTGACCCCGGGTGACGGTCTCCATCCCTGCTGACCCCGGGTGACGGTCTCCATCCCTGCTGACCCCTGGTGACGGTCTCCATCCCTGCTGACCCCTGGTGACGGTCCTCATCCCTGGTGACCCCTGGTGACAGTCTTCATCGGATTCGGTTTCAGGGTTTAAGTTCTCCCGCGCGTCCTACCTGCTCAGCCTGCTGAGGCCGCAGATTTACACTGATCTGGAGCTGAAGGTAGGGCCCCCCCGCCGGCCCGATTGCACGGAGGGAGGAGGCAGTTCCATCTTCCCAACCTGTGTGGGGGGTCCCTGTTCTGTGCCCGAGGTGATGCCCGCCCCTGAGGGCTCCCTCTTCCACCCAAGTCTTGTGTATCCCACGTGGTCTCCCTGCTGCATTCCCACAGATGGGTTTTGTCTCGTCCATGTAGTGTCTTGAAAAGTGGGAAATTTCATCCAAAAATCAGACTTCTTTTGAAGAATGAGCTTTTTCACCCTCAGGCCCACGTGGGACACCTATCTGAAGCCTTGGGCGCCTGAGCTTACAGCTGCCTTGGGACATGAGCCCGATTTCTGCCCTCATTGAACTTGAGAGCTGCTTCCCTCTCTTGGCAGCTGGAGCAGGAAGTGGGGCCTGGGGACTTTTCTGGCTCCCGGGCTTTTTGGAAGGTTCCTGGGAGTCTCATCTGGCGCTGTTTGCCTCTCTTAGTCTGCTGACCTTTGTCCACAACCTGGCCCAACCCTGCCCCCCACCCTTTCACCTTCCTTCACCCCCACTGTCTTATAAACCGCGTCACCACATTCTTGAGGCTGATTGGCTTCTACCTGCTTAGTGCCACTGTCACTCACCACTCAGAGAAAAGGGTTCTTGGTGCTATCTGCAGCTGCCACTCACGTTGGTGCCATCTTTTTTTTTTTTTTTTTTTTTGGGACGGAGTCTGGCTCTGTCGCCCAGGCTGGAGTACGGTGGCGCGATCTCAGCTCACTGCAAGCTCCTCCTCCCGGGTTCATGCCATTCTCCTGCCTCAGCCTCCTGAGTAGCTGGGACTATAGGCGCTACCACCACGCCAGGCAAATTTTTTGTGTTTTTAGTAGAGAAGGGCTTTCACCGTGTTAGCCGGGATGGTCTTGATCTCCTGATCTCGTGATCCACCTGCCTCAGCCTCTCAAAGTGCTGGGATTAACAGGCGTGAGCCACCGCACCCGGCCACGTTGGTGCCATCTTTGCTCTAAATTCAAAATTTTAAACTAGTAAGATGTCCAGCTGTTGTTCACAGCTCTTTGGCTGCTCTAACTGGTTCATGTAGAGAGTTCTTCAAGCCACTGAAACAGAGTATGTGCATCCTGGTACCAGGACTGGATGAAATCTAGCCAGGCCTGGGGATGGGTCGCTGGTCTCCAGTCCAGAGCAGACCATAGCAGCAGGCAGTTTATAAATGCACCACTTATTCATAGTGGCAGATGTTGGGGAGCAGGGACCCTCCTTTTGGCAAACCTGATTTAAGAGACTAAGAATCACAGAATGGACATTTTCACTTGATTATTCTCTTTCTTTAAAAAACGTTACTTATTTGAAATGGTATTTGTCATAGTGTTCCTTGAACTAGAAGCTCCCAAGTGAACTGAGTAGATGCTTTAACCTCTGCCTTGGGCTGCAGTAATAGGAGTATGGAGCTCAGAGCAGGGAGAAAGCAGTCCTGTTGTGTGATACGCAGGACTCACCCCATCTGGAGCACCTTGTTTTAACAGGACATTGACAGCCTGGAGGGCATTGACAGGAGGACAACTAAACTCCTTCCAGGAATATTGTCTTTCCAAAACTATAATGGAGAGCGTTTATTTTACCAGCATCACATCTTGGGCTATGACCTTAATGTTCTATCTCAATTGATCCTTACCTGTAAGTCAAGAGCCATGTTATAATCAGGGAACTAAAGTTCAGGGGTTAAATTCACACAGCTAGAAAGTGATGGAGAATTCAAGCCAAGGCCTGACTGTCTCCTACTCCTTGTTCTTGAGCTATGATGCGCTCAGGCCTCTTGGTACCAATACCGCCCAGACTCACACGTCTCTGGCTCTTGGTACTTTGCGGTGAACGTGGTGATAGAGTGCCCCTGGCAGCTCCAGCGCAGTGTGCACAGAGGCTGAGACTGGAGCTGCTGGAAACCGGCCGGCTGCGTCTGCCTCCCTGCTCCACAGCTCACCAGCTGCGTGATTTCACCACGTGGTGCCTTCTTTTCCTCATCTGTAAGAGGGAATAGTAACAGCAGCTGCCTCCTAAGGCCACATCAGCACAGTGCCTGGTGCACAGAGGGCTCAGTACTTGTCGCTATTATTATTACCCCCATTTGGCACTTGAGAAAACTGAGGCTCCAGAAAGACCCATGGCTGGAGACTACTCACCCACCCTGCCACTTATAAGGCTGTATCCAATTAGAGTGAGCCCTCAACTAAAGTGAGAGGCTTGGCTTTGGCACCACTGCCCCTCCTCCCCTCCTTGAGCCAAAGCACCCTCCACTGACCCGCTGTGGTCCCCACCAGGGCCTGCCTCCCCTTCCTGGGTGTTAGTTTCCACAGCTGTCAATGCGAGCACTGACTTGGATCACCTCCCGGTTCCATCCACCTAGTAAATGAGTTTGCTTTTGCAGCGGCCCTGCGCTGGATGATGGAATCCAGGCTGGAAGGGCAGAGCCTTTGCACTGGTGGAGAAGGGGGTGTGGAGGGGGGCTTTTCATCCCCTTCAGCCATAAGCCACCTTCCCCATCTCCCCCTGGGCCAGCCTTGACCTCACTGCCAGAGGCAATCCCATCCTCCCTCCCCTCCCTCACTGACCTTCTGGGTCTCACTCAGCCTTATTCATTTTGCTCTTGCTTTTCTCCTGGAAATCTCTCTAAGGTAGGGCTCTAATTTGCAGGGCCACAAAGTATGACCTGGGAAACTGCTGGGGAAACTGCTGGGGAAACCCCAGGGGTTCTTGCTCACGAGTCTGATTCTGTGGCAGTGGTGGGGCCCAGAAACGGTCGTTTTTATGGCATTCTCAGGTCATTCTGAAAGAGGAGGCCCCCAGAACATAACTTTGAGAACCACACCCTTTAAATCTCTTGTATCTCTGGTCCTTTAGACACACACACAGATACACCCTTCACACACACACACCCTTTCCAACAATTTCCACCCAGGATGACTGTGCATGCTGAGAACTCTCATGGGGTAAATAAAAGAAGGGTTTGCTTTCATTTTGTTTTTTTGGGTTTTTTTTCTGTTTTTTAAGAAAAAAGCTTCATAATCCGAACAAATCTTGTGGATATAATCTGATGGTTATTTAACATTCCCCTTCTCATTCAGACTCCACATAATTAAACCTATTGTTAAAAGAAAAACCTTCACTAAATTAAATTTAATAGAGTTTAATTGGGCAAAGAATGATTCATAAATGAATCAGGCTCCCGAGCTGGAGTATGCTCACAGTCTCCAGCACAGCTCCATGGTAGAAGAAGATTTATAGACAGAAAGTGAAAAGTGATGTACAGAAAATGGAATTGAGGTACAGAAACAGCTGGATTGGTTACAGCTCAGTGTTTGCCTTATTTGAACGCAGTTTAAACAGTTGGTCCCCTTTGATTGGCCAAAACTCGGCGATTGACACAGAAGTAGGTTACAGTCTGTTTACGCCTCCTTCTAGGTTATAGTTCACTAGGAACAGAGAAACCTTTAGGTTGAGCTTAAAGTATTTAAGGAGGCAGCTTTAAGCTAAATTTGATTTAACACCATTAAGAATGACAGAGCCTCCATTTAGAAGAGCCTCCATTTAGGTTTCATTATGAATCAAATGAAAAGTGATTCATAGTCAATTAGTTATACTTAAAATAACTTTTGGATTCCTCTTAGGTCCCTGATTTGGAGGGTTTATTCGTTCATTCAGTCCATGTTTCTGAGCACCTGCTATGTGCCAGGCACTGAGAGAAGCCCTTGGGTGTACGGCAGTGAACTAGGAAGGCAAGGACACTGCTCTTAGGCAGAGAACTTCAGGGAGAGTGCCAAGAAGAAAAGAAAAGAAGGCAGCATTAGAGAAAGAGAGTGGAGATTCCAGCCTAGATGGTGACCAGGAAGGACATCTTCCTCAAGGAGGTGACATTTGAGCTGGTATTCAGGTACCAAGAGGTCACCAGCAGCAGCCATGTGGACATCTAAGCAGTCTCCAGTCAGAGGGAAGAAGAGAAGGACCCACCCAGGCAGGCGTGAGCAGAGGGCAGGTCAGTGTGGACAGAGCAGACAGGCAGAGAGCACCAGATGGGGGTGGGAGGGGCAGGACTGCATTTTATCCAAGTGCAGCGAGAAGCCAGTGAGGTGTGTGATCAGGAAGTTCACTGCTAGGATTTGTGACTTTACAAAGGTCAGCCCACCTGCTGGCTGGTGAGGACTCGGAGGAAACAGGAGGGGGTCGCATGTGGAGCACTAGGCCGCCGCTGCAGCGGTTCCCAAAATGGCGGCTTGGAGAGACGCGCACAGATTCTGGAGGCAGCGGATGGGATGTCAAGGATGACCAGGAGAGAGACTAAGGATGCCTCCTGGGTATGAGTGAGTTTACTACATTAAGAAGAACGAAGCTGGAAGTTTCTCTAGCTTAGAATAAAGAATGTCTCCATCTTAGGGATAGGAGGGACCCCAGCCGTCTCCTGGCCCCGGCCCCCGCCAGCATCGGAAATCTCCTCCACAGAGTGTCCAGAGCTGCGGCGAGCCTGCCCGCCTGGAGCATCTCCAGTGTGGAGCAACTCCAGCGGTAATTGTTGGAAAAGCCTGTTTTTGGTTTCCTCGTGCTTTTCTAAAACGTCTACTCTCCGATCTCATTTCTCTCCTCTGGGGCCATACCTTGTCTGCAACCTAGCATTCATTTATTCAGAGTCGACGGAATGCTTATTAACTACACTGTGTCTACACGCGGAGGGTACAGCGGTGAACAAAACAGACAATGCCCCTGACTTCACAGGGCTTACATTCTACTTGGGGAGACAATGAAAACACTAAATATGTGATTAGCCATGTGCTGACAAGTGCTTTGGAGAAAAATATTGCAGGGTGAGGGGGCAGGGAGTGCGGGGGAGGCCTGGCTGATAAGGTGGCATTCCAGCCAAGACCTCGAGTCGTGAGGTTGCAGGCCACGGATCTGGAGAAGGAAGCCTCTCGACAGCAGAAACTGGAGGCGGCACAGGCCCCTTTTGTTTTATCTGTGCCTGCTTTGAAGAAGTGGATGTGCTCTTGGAAAATTCTGTGTGCTAATCAAATATTTGTAAATCAAATCATATTTTAAATGCATCAAAGAAACTTCCATTTAAAGTGACCCTGGAGTAAATGAGTCTGCAAAGTAAATAAAATGTTCTGATGTGAATAATTTATCTACCTTGTAAGTATAGATTTTCACATAACCATTGCTTGATTGTGTCTTTCTAAATTTAATTATTTATTTCTGAAGTGGGGCAGTTACAGACCGGTGCTGAGAGCTGGGGCTTTGCAGTTACAGAGCTGTGGTTTTGAAACCCAGACCTACCTCCTAAAGTGACCTGGGACAAATTATTTAACTCCTATGAGCCTCTCGTGTTGCTTTTGTACAATGAGGATAATAAGACAGCCATGTGCCACCATGTTGGTCAACGATAGACTATATACAGTGGTGGTCCCATAAGCTTACAATGGAGCTGAAAAAATTCCCGTCCCCTAGCGATGCCATAGTTGCACTGCAACATATTATTCATGTGTTTGTGGTGATAAGCCTACTGTGTGGCCAGTTGTCAAAAAGTCTAGTACATATAATTATATACAGTACATAATACTTGATAGTAAATGACTTTGTCACTGGCTAATGTATTTATTATACTATACTTTTATTATTATTTTAGAGAGTATTCCTTTTCCTTATTTAAAAAATTCACTGTCAAACAGCCTCAGGCAGGTCTGTCAGGAGGTATCCAGCAAAAGGCATTGCTCTCTAGGAGATGACAGTGCCACGTGTTACTGTCCCTGAAGACCCTGCAGTGGGGCAGGATGTAGAGGTGGAAGTCAGTGACATTGATGATCCTGACCCCGTGTAGGCCTAGGCTGATGTGTGTGTTTGCATTTTACTTTTTAGCGAAAAAAGGTTATAAAGTAAAAAATAAAAATAAAAAATTTTAAAAACAGAAAAAAGCTTATAGAATGAGGATATAAAGAAAATATTTTATATAGCTGTACAATGTTTGTGTTTTAAGCCAAGTGTCTTTTTAAGAGAATCAAAAAGGTTTTAAAAATTAAAATGTTTATAAAGTTTAAAAGTTTGCAGTAAGCTAACCTACTGAAGAAAATTTTTTAATAAATGTAGTGTAGCCTACGTGTACTATATTTATAAAGTGTGCAGTAGTGTACAGCAATGTGCTGGGCCTTCAGTCACTCACCACTCACTCGCCCAGAGCAACTTCCAGTCCTGTAGGCTCCATTCATCATGAGGGCTCTATACAGTATCATTTTTCTTACCTTTTATGCCATATTCTTAATGTACCTTTTCTATGTTTGTTTTTTTTTGTTTTTTTTTTTTTGAGACAGAGTCTTGCTTTGTCACCCAGGCTGGAGTGCAGTGGCGGCAATCTTGCCTCACTGCAACCTCTGCCTTCCAGGTTCGAGCAATTCTCCTGCCTCAGCCTTCCGAGTAGTTGGGACTACAGGTGCGTGCCACCATGCCCGGCTAATTTTTGTATTCTTACTAGAGACGGGGTTTCACCATATTGGCCAGGCTGGTCTCGAACTCCTGACCTCGCTGATCTGCCCGCCTTGGACTCCCAAAGTGCTGGGATTACAGTCACGAGCCACTGTGCCCAGCCTAGACATGTTTAGATACCCAAATACCATTGGATTACAGTTGCCTCCAGTATTCAGTGCAGTAACATTCTGTGCAGGTTTGCAGCAACAGGCTACACCCCACAGCCTATGTGTGGTAGGCTATCAGATCTAGTTTTGTGTAGGTACACTCTGTGATGCTCAAACTGTGATGAAATTGTCTAGCAATGCATTTCTCAGAACATATCCCCATCGTTAAGTGATGCAAGACTGTACTTACAAAGTTATTGTGAGGTAACCATTGTAAACCCTAGTACAGTCCCTGGCATGGAATGAGTGTGTCATGCTGTGATGTGGTATGACATGGCATGGCATAGTGTGGTGTGATATGGCATGGTATGGTATCACATGGTGTGGTAGGGTGTGGTATGACATGGTGTGTGTGGTGTGATGTGATGTAGTGTGGTATGGTATGATGTGGCATGGCATGGCGTGGTGTATGGCATGGTATGTGTGGTATGTATGGTATGGTGTAGAATGGTATAGTGTACTGCGATGTGATACAGTATCGTCTACCATAGGGTACTTGGGCAAGAGGGCTTTTTATAAACTTATATTTAAAAAACAGACACCAGGACCATACACTTGGGAACCTACACACAGGTACCTAAATGGTCACACAAACACAATCGGAGAAAGATGATGGGCAGAGACCACAGAGCCATTAATATGTGGCCCATGCTATTTGTGTTTTGCAGAAACATGGGCTGAGGCTTCATCTTCGAAACCCCTACTCCTTCACCCCCATGCTGGAAGAGGGTGCAGGCAGCAAGGTGCCCAGGTGCCTTCTGCTGGGCACAGACATGGCAGAAAACCAGAAGCAGATCGCCCAGTTCTCCCAGAAGGATGCCCAGGTAGGGAAGGCGACCAGTGACTGAGCTCCTGCTCCCTCAGCAGCCTAGAGATGGGCCTGGTTGGATTGTCCTAGAACAATTGTTCAAAGGCCATGGACACTGCGCCAGGCCACCCCACGTTCCTAGGAGGGCTCCAGTTGGTGGCAGCTCTTGATCTCAGGCACTGCGAAGAGAAGCGGGTGGAGGATGCTGATTAAGACCAGTGGACTGGGAGGCCTGCTCACCTGCGTGTGTTCAGTATGGGGCCACTGTCAGAGGGGCTGTGCCTGCTGAGTTCAAGAGGAAATGCACTGGCACGTTCTTACACTGGCGTGTGCTTCATGCCCCTCCAGCTTTCAGGCAGAGTTCCAGGTGTTTGTCCACATTAAAGCACATGAAAGCCAAAAAGGAGGATGAGGGAAGATCAGAGAAAATTAAGGATAAATAAACTGAATCAGGAACTTAGGACAGGAGAGTTCTAAATATTTATTCAGTGTGGCATCCCAAGGCTCCCTCCTGGCTGCCCAAGGCAACAAAGTGTCCATGATGGTGTGCAGGTCTGGTGACAGGATGAACACATGTCGGATGGAGAATGCACTTTTTTCCCTTGGAACTGCATTCTAGGAACCTGCTGGGTGGCCTTGTCTAGATGAGCCACTGAGTTCCGTAAGGGCCCTGCCACAGTTGGTTCTGTGGATATAGAAAGATTATTTGAATGGCCATTTTGTACCAAGCCTGGATATTAGCTGAGATGTAGCATTAAATCATATCTCAGTGGAGACATTTTTATAAGAAGAACCTAGGTTAATAGAACCCATGTACATTGCTTTTGTTGTGTTAATCTATTGCTGGGTAAAACTTAGAGAACCACAGACACACAGCCTACATGTCTCTTCCACCAGCAGTTTTCAAACCTGGCTGATGATCAGAATCACCTGAGGAGCTTAGCCTTTTATTTTGTTATTTTATTTTATTTGTTTTTGAGACAGGGTCTCACTCTGTTGCCCAGGCTAGAGTGCAGTGGTGCGATCTTGGCTCACTGTAACCTCTGCCTCCCGGGTTCAAGCAATCCTCCTGCCTCAGCCACCTGAGTAGCTGGGATTACAGGCATTCACCACCATGCCCGGCTATGTTATTTTTAATTTTTTTGTAGAGACAAAAGTCTCACTATGTTGCCCAGGCTGGTCTGGAACTCTTGAGCTCAAGCAATCCTCCCACCTCCACCTCCCAAGGTGCTAGGATTACAGGCATGAACCACCACACCCGGCCTGAGGAGCTTAGCTTTTTTAAAAGTGCTTCTTTGGTGGTTCTTTTGTGCAGCAGATTGGAGACCACCACCTGCATCCTCTCGTCCAAATCCTACCCATCTCAGAGGCACTTGAGGGGATTCTGCACAAGGCCAGGTCCCCGGGCCTGCAGGACACTAGCTGTGGCCCTACATGCCAGCGACCACACACGCTGGAGGCAAGTGCCCATTTCCCATCGTGGAAAGTGAGGAGCTTGATTTCTGGTTTTGTCTTTCCATGCTGTCATATTAAAGGCCTGCTTAGAGAAAGCTGTTTAACTTCATTTTTAATAAGACTTCTCGAATGTATTTTAACATGGAACTTTTCTTTATGTAACACTTATTAAAATGCCATGGGTATATCCATGGGTAGAGATGGACCAAAATTCAAAGTCCAGGGCTAAGAAGAGTCAGGTAGGGCCTCCAGTAGCACAGGCTTCTATCACTGCTCCTGTGCCCTCCAGGGAAAGGAGGGTGGGTGTCAGAAACCAGGCTTTCGAAAGTGGATTCTGACATGGGAGCTTGTGGGGTGAGAGGAGGCAGGCTTCTGTGACTGCAGGTGATGAGACGGCATGGGAGACGACCTACAGACCGGAAAAGAATACAGGCAAAGAGGTCTAACTTCTACCAATAATATAGGAAAGGACAGAAGGACAGGCCAGCGTGGCGGCTCACGCCTGTAATCCCAGCACTTTGAGAGGCCGAGGCAGGCGGATCACTTGAGGTCAGAAGTTCTTGACCAGCCTGGCCAACATGGTGAAACTCCGTCTCTACTAAAAATACAAAAATTAGCCGGGCGTGGTGGCAGGTGCCTATAATCCCAGCTACTCAGGAGGCTGAGGCAGGAGAATCACTTGAACCTGGGAGGCAGAGGTTGCAGTGAGCCGACATCGCACCACTGCCCTCCAGCCTGGGTCACAGAGCAAGACTCCATCTCAAAAAAAAAAAAAAAAAAAAAAAGAAGAAAGGACAGAAGGAAGAAACTTCTAAGTGGTTTCATGATTTATCGCAGAGACCACACCCTAGGATTGTTGCCAGTTTTCTGTGGGTGACACTTCGTGTTAGCCAGCATTAGCTCCTTGTCCCTGTCACCACTCCCAGTGATTCTCCTATTGCCCAGGGTCTCCTGACCACCACCACCCCACCCCATGCACTCTTCCTGGTGTTGATGTTAACCCAGAGACCTGGAACTGGGGGAGCTCAACAGAGCCAAGCTGGGCCACAGCGGGGAATGAGGCCTGAGGAACCGTCAAGCTGTGGGGGGGTGACAGGCCATCTGGGGACAGCATGGAGGGCAGGGATGTGGACAGTGGGGCCTTAATGCAGAGCTCTGTTCCAGGTCTTTCCCAAATATGAGGAGTTCATGCATCGCTTGGCATTAGCCATTGACCCTCTGCTGGATGCGGCCCCCGTGGACATGGCGGCCTTCCAGCATGGCTCCTTGCTGCAAAGGATGAGGTCGCTCTCCACCCTCAAGCCCCTGCTGAAGGCAGGTAAGTCCAAGTGCAGGCACCAGGGCATGATGAGTGACCTTCAAGGAGGTGAGCCCATTGTCTCGATGCCTAGACACAAGCCTGAACCTCCATGGCAGCCTGCCAGCTGGGATCAGTTAACATGCTGCGATCAATTAGGGGCAGCCTGGAGCACTTTGTTGAGAGCATCTTAGGCTGATATGCCTTTAAAATAGAGCCTGAGACCAAGGCTTATGCGTGGGTAGTTCATTTGGAAGGGTGACCCCAAGACACAAAAATAGCAGAAAGTTGGGGTGAAAGTGGACAGAGAAAGAGTCAATACCAGAGTGTGTGATCGCACTAGCCAGCACTGTGGGTGACAAGATGCTGGACCTGTGTGGGCCCTCTGGGAAGCCTTATGAAAAGCATTTGAGGAACCTTCTCGGGAGATGGAAAGGGAAATATTTATCCATTGGGTTCTATCTCCCATTGGCCAAGGGTTGCCTCACAGGGCATTGACTCCCACACTTCTGGGCTGTGCATCTGTGGGTGCCAAGTAGGTTCCCATGAGTGCCCTGCCCTGGTGCCAGAGAAGCCCTAGGGAAGAAGTAGAGAGGCTCACTTTTCAGGACTGAAGTGAGTTGCTGTGGAGTTGCCTGTGTGAAGCTGATCAAAGCCTGCTTGGAGCTCAGCATCATGGCTGTGGCTAGAATAAGATATAGGGGCCAAGAGATTTGAAGAGCTGCCCCCATACAGGAAGAATGCTAGATTTGGGCTCAGCAAGGAGAAGTTCTGTGATCAATTAGTAATGTCTGCCATGAGTATGCGAATGGAAGGCTCATTAAGTGTGCTATTATTTTCTACCCTCCTTGAGGGTATACAGACCAGTTTAACCTCTATATCCTAGAAAAAAAATCATTTGTTTCCCACATGTCTTCGTGGTTCAGCTGATTCCAGCTGGCTCAGCTGATCTGGTTTGGTCTCAGGCATGTGTTTGTGTCTGCAGCAGCTCAGTGGAGGCAGCTCTGCTCCAGGTACCTCTCGTCCTCCTTGTAGAAGCACATGCTGACCTGGGTGTGGACTTTTCACATCAGTGGCACAAGCACAGAGGGCATGCCCCAATGTACAGGCCTGTTTCAGTTCTGGGTTTGTGTCACATCGGCAAACATTCCACTGGCTGACCAAATCACATGGATGAGCCCAGAGCCAAGGAGCCAGGCAGGTTAACCAAGTTGTGGTGGGTTGAGAGGCACTGCAGACTTATACATTGCAAAGAGTATGGAGCCAGTGGAATCTATTACAAATGCAAAAAGTAGACACTGCCTCTCTCTCAGATAACCAGTCCAAGGAGCTCTGTGTGAAAAACAGGCAAAAAACATTTATTGAGCAACTACTATGTGTCAGACACTAAGCTAGGCCCAGGGGCTGTAAGGCTAGAGACCATGATTTCTACCCTGAAGGCCTTAAAGCCTAGTTTCTTTCTGAAATGGTCTGAATCAGGGTCATAGGAATGGATCAGCCATGCCAGCCTTCTCCCAGGATATGGGCCTTCCAGAGTTCGAAATAAGGGAATAAGGTACAAGTTTAAAATTTTCCAAAAATAATGCTAACTGCTTAAATGTATTAAGTACCCATGAACTTGCAAATGCTTTACCTAGCTCATTTAATCCTCACCGTAGCCCTTGGGGTGTAAAATAGGATTCCCATTTTACAGGTAAAGAAGCAGGTTCAGAGATGTTAAAAATGTGTCCCAGGCACTGCAGCTAGTGAGAGGTGTGGCCAGGACTCAAGCTGGATCTGTCCCTGCATTGGCTGTGCTATACCACCTCCTGGCAGGAAGTCTCAGCATCCTCCATGCTTTTATCCCCCAGGCCAGGTCGGAGGGTTTCCCTGTCACCTGTTTCAACTTCTGTTTTGTGGATCTTCTCTTGTAGGCCGCATCCTGGGAGCCCAGCTTCCCCGATATTATGAGGTCCTCACAGCTCCCATTACCAAGGTGAGTGGTTCCCCAGCCTCAGGCCCGACCAGGCAGTGAGAGGGCCCTCCTCCCATCCAGGCTCCTAAGCCCTTCTCTCTGCTGTTGTGCTGTCCAGGTGCTGGATCAGTGGTTCGAGTCTGAGCCTTTAAAAGCCACTCTAGCCACAGATGCAGTGATTGGAGCCATGACAAGTCCCCACACTCCGGGGAGTGGGTGAGTGAGGGGGGTGAGGTGGGACACAGGAGTGGGGCATGTTCCCCAACAGGAGTGAGGACAACAGTGGCAGTGGCAGCAACAACAGCTGCCACTTAACAGAGCTCACCCAGTGAGCCAGGAACCGAGCCAGGCACATCACACACGATCCACTTAACCCTCAGAGCAACATCTGAGAACTGCGGTTCAGAGAAGGGAGTGTCTTGCCCAAAGCCACTCAGCTGGTAAGTGGCAAGGCTGATTTCCAGCTTGAGGTGTCTGACTCCCCAAAATCTTCCTTTTTAGTGACTGTGCCCTACTGCTTCACTAAGAAAAGCCTCTCTCCCACCTCCCGCTTGATAGCTCAAAATTAATATCTTCTTTTCTCTCCTCTTCCCTTCCCTCTTCTACCTCTCCACTCCCGCAAACGCCCATTCTCCCTTCTCTCTCACTGTTCCTTCCCCTGGGCTCTGGTACACACTCACACAGACACCTCAGGATGGACAGGAAGCTGCCTTTTTCTTTATGAGTGAGGGTTTGTGCTGACAGCCCAATCCGAGAGGTGGCAGTCAGACACAGCAAAGCCTGCAGTGTGGTCTGACTTAATGAGCCCCCGCAGAAGCAGGAATGGAAGGCTGTGTGTGTGTGTGTGTGTGTGTGTGTGTGTGTGTGTTGGGATGGAGAATGCAGCCAAGGGTTGGGCCGTTTCCAGTGCACCAGAAGATACAGCTAGAAGCTAGAAGCTAGAAGGCGTCGACGTGGCTTTTCTCTCAAGGGATGAGCACACCCTCGGAAGTGGTTTTTCAACACATATTAAGCCGGCCCCAAATTCCCCCAGGGCGATGGAGATGGGGGCTTGGCAGCAGTTGCCACACATTGGCCAAGCTGTGATCTACCAGCCAATCTGGATCTTCCAGCTGGGGCCTCCTGCCCTTTTCTCTTCGGATCCCTGGGAGGCTTAACCAGTGCTCCGTTTGTGATCTTTAAGTAATCTGTTCCATCATTAATTCTTCCAACAAATATGGATGAGCGCTTGCCTGTGCTAGGTGCTGGGGATACGGTAGTGAGCGGAGCAGATGTCCTGATGGGTGAGAGACACAGAGCGAGTGATGATGATGAAGTGGCGTGAGTGTGATGCTAGGAGGAGCAGCCGGGACACAGCCTGGTCTAGGGTCAGAGAAGCCTCTACATGGAAGAGGTGTTTGATCTGAGACCCAAAGGACAAAGAGGAGTTAACAAAACATAAGATGAGGGAGGGAGGGGCTTCAGGCCGACAGAACAGCAGGGGAAATGCTGGGGTTGAGAGAACGTGTGATCCACCCAGGAAATCGAGAGGTTCTGTTAGTTAGGAGGATGGGATATGGATAGGGGGACAGGATGAGGGATGAGGCTGGAGTGCCTGCTAGAAGACTGGCCATTATCCTAAGAGCAGTGCCAAGCCGGGGAGGCTTGGAATGGTGATAAGTGAGTGGCAGGAGCAGAGCTGGGCTTTAAGATAGGGCTCCAGGATATATGTGGACAAGACCTGCAGGAGAGAAAGTGTGGGAGAGGGGGTCCAATGAGGGGCACTACTGCAGCAGCATAAGGAAGAGAAGAGAGGCTGAGAGGTGGGATGACCTTGAAAGCCCTTTGGAGGCTGAGTTGGTGTTGCTTTGTGGATGTAGATGGGGAAGGATGGTAGCGGTCAAGGCTGACACCTGGATTTCTGTCGGAAACAGAACCTCCTGTTGAAAGGTGCCGTTCACTGGGATGGGAAAGATTGAAGGGGAAGCAGCTGGAGAATGGGGAAAAGGTGGTGGGTTTAAGATGCTGCCAAGAAAGGGTCCAAAGGGAGATATCTGTGGGTAGCTGGACACCGGAGCTGGAGCTCAGGAGAGGGCTGGAGCTGCAGGTTTGGGCATCGTTGCCTTCTTTGTGGTAATAAGCTATGCACATAGACACACTTGTTAGGGAGAGGGTGTAGAGAAGGCAAAGGGCTCTTACAAGAACTTGAGCTCATTGAAGGCTGCTGGGAGAGGGCTGGATGGTGGCAGGGAAGGGCTGAAGATCAAGATGGAAAGGAATAGTTGCACCTGGAACTCTGGGGAGATGAGATCCCACCTCCAGGATCTGAGTCGGATGGTCTGTCCACAGGTATGTGCTGCTGCACCATGTGATGGGGGGCCTGGAGGGAATGCAGGGGGCCTGGGGCTACGTCCAGGGGGGCATGGGTGCCCTCTCTGATGCGATCGCAAGCTCAGCCACCACACATGGAGCAAGCATCTTCACTGAAAAGGTGAACGGCCCCTCTACCCCACCCCAATTATTAGTAAGGATCCCAGGACAGAACAAAGTCTCAGATTTGGAAGGTCCCTTGTTTTACCAATGAACAGAGGGGCCATGAGGGGATGGGTTGCAGAATCAAGAGATTAAGGTCATGCAGTCTGTTAGTGGCTAACCACCCCCTTGGAATTCCCTGGTCACTGAACTGAGACTGAGTGTTTCATGGAGAAGCTGAGGCTTCATGGAGAAGCTGCAGAACTTGGTGGGATGGGTTTGGGATGAAGAAGTTGTGAATGCCTAGGAGCAGCACAGACCATGGAAATCCCGGAAGATCTAACATGGATTTCCCTTCCTGCGGTTTCTGGGGCCTTGTTCTGGTGGGCTCTAGACAGTGGCGAAGGTGCAGGTGAACAGTGAAGGCTGTGTTCAAGGAGTTGTGCTGGAAGATGGCACAGAGGTGAGAAGCAAAATGGTGCTGTCCAACACATCACCGCAGATCACCTTCCTGAAGCTGACGCCACAGGTGAGGCTGTGGGCAGGAGGGTGGAGCTTAGATGTCTGCCAAAACAGGGGTTAGAAATCGTGGGGATTGAGGGAGCCAGGATTGCATCAGGGTGTGAGATGCAAAAGCCAAGTCTCTGCATTTGGGAAACAGGGGGGTAAGGGCAGGTAGCAAACGGGGAAGAAGCCTCACAGGTGGGGAGAAGGGGCCAGAGAGGTGAAGTGACCAAGATTCCGGCCATTGGCAGAGCCAGAGCTAGAACCCAGGTCTGACTTTCAATCTAGAGTTATTTCCACAACTTTCCTACTTTCCTGATTTCTCCCCTCTCACCGCTCTAATTCCATTGTCTTTGTCAATGATCTGTTATATTATCCATGATTATTAATTAATCAATTAACAAAGAGCCACAATACTTCTGGGCATACAACAAGAAATACTGGCACCCAGAACTGGAGACTTCAGTTGATCTTGGTGGATTTCAGCTGCTTAAGGCTTGCTCATGCGTCTGCAGTTGGCTGTGGGTCAGCTTGCCGGCTGCTGATCTTGGCGGGACTCCTTCATGTGCCTGGGAGCTGGCTGGTGGTGGCTGGTCCAGGACCGTTTCTGCTGGGATGACCGGGTGGGGGACTCGGCTATGCTCCATGTGTCTGTCCTCCTCCAGCACGGTAGTCCAGGCATGTTCTCAAGGTCTGGCAAAGGGCAAAAGCAGGCAAGCTCAAGCATGCATGCAAGCATCACATGGTTTGATCTCTTTGCATCCTGTTTGCTAGCATTGGCCAGACCAAGTCTCATGGCCAAGCCTAGAGTCAGAGTGTGAGAGCACTGCAAGGTTACACGGAAGTGGGTGTGCAAACAGGGAGGGGTGAGCTTTGGGGGCAGTTTTTGCAATTGACTTACCCTGTGCTCAAAAGATATGATAACATGTATACGCACATGAAGCTCCTAGCCATTCTTGGGGGCAATTCTTAGGGGCAAAGCACTACTTTTTCTGAGTGATTCCATTACTAAAATTCAACAAACATCAGTAAAAAGAAACTTGTTAAGGCAATTCTGAGATCGTCGAGGCTTCCAAGAGCTTACAGACCAGTAGTGAAAAGAGGCCTGCAAACCACTGACCCCTTTGCAAGCAGGGAGAGGTGCGGACTATTTCACAGTCAGAACTGCTGGCCAAGCGCGGAGGAGGAAGTGGTTAGAGCTGAGTGGGAGGGGATCTAGGAAGGCTTCACAGGGGAGGTGGTTTTGGCTGAGCTTTGAAGGATGAAGAGGATTTCCGGAGGGAGCGACTGAGGGATCTTCCTGAGCAAAGAAAGAAGGCAGCTTCCTTGGGGCCTTGGACATCTGAGGCCTTTCATGGAGCCTTCTCCTTCCAGGAGTGGCTTCCTGAGGAGTTCCTGGAGAGAATCTCTCAGCTGGACACCCGGTCGCCTGTCACCAAGATCAATGGTAAGAGGCACACCACATTGCAGCACTGTCTCCTTTGACCCATCTGAGTGAGAAACCTCCAGGCTGGGGGCAGCTGAACTCAGTCATCATCTCCATTCCCGGACCTCCAGCCTGTGTCCCCCTGCAGCCTGGTCAGAAGGTGAAACACTTGCTCATACTTTCCTACTCCCGTCCGCCACTGAGGGTAGCAGGGTGCTGGCTGTAGAGGGAGGACCTTGTGGGGCTAAGACCTGACCCTCCTCTTTGGTCCCTCAGTGGCCGTAGACAGGCTGCCCAGCTTCCTGGCGGCCCCCAATGCTCCCAGGGGCCAGCCGCTGCCCCATCACCAATGCTCCATCCACCTGAACTGTGAAGACACCCTCCTCCTTCATCAGGCCTTTGAAGATGCCATGGATGGCCTGCCTTCCCACAGGTAGGGGCCCTGGACTTTATGTTCCCTGATGTTCTTCCACATGGGCCTGGGAGGCGGGGCTGTCCATGCCACCCACAGCAGGGATCAGGCCTGGTGTTCAACCTTCACAGTGACTTAGGATCTGCCAAAATCCATACTCCTAAGGACAGGAAGTGCATCCCAGGTGAAAAATCTGAGGATGAGGGCAGGTAAGGGGTGAAGAGCGGCTCAGGTTAGCAGAAGGGGCAGAGGGGCAGAGCACTGCCCAGGAAAGTGCTGGGGCTGGGGAAGAAGAGGAGAAAATGTGTTCTGGGAGAGCAAAGGAAGTTCTCTCATTCAGAGCCCGTCAGAGAGCACGCACTCACCGAGTCCCCTGCTCCGTAGCCTTTCTTTTTCTGATAATCTGCCTTCTTGCAAAACTTCTAAAAGCATTTCCCACCTCCCACTGCAGCTGTATTTCCATTCTTCTGGAACAGGCAGGGGCGCTATAGGAGCAAGTGCCTTTCCATCCTGTCCGCTGTCCAGCACACACTGTTGAAAACCTACTCAGTGCTGGACTCTGTACTGGGTATGGGCTGGGAGAATTAGCGGGGCAGGGGCATGAAACTGACACAAAGCTTATGATAGGACAGGTACACAAATATTTATAGCATGTGGTAAAGAAGATGTGCGCCTGGAAAGAAGGGTATAGGGCAAAGTTCATTCATCCATTTATAAATATTCTGGGGTCTCTATTCTGTGCCAGGCTTGGTTCAGTGAGTGGGCACAGATCAGCAAGCAAAGCCAAGAAAGTCTCAGGTCGTTGACTCTCTATCCATGAGAGGAAGACAATCAACAAGTAAGCACTGATGATGAGCACTGTGGAGAAAAATAGGCAGGGAAGGGGAGGAAAGGCTTCTCTAATAACGTGGCACTTGAGCGGAGACCGGAAGGAAGTGAGAATACAGATCTTATGGGTATCTGGGGAAAAAACGTCCAGACAGAGGGAAGGTCAGGTGCAAAGGCCCTGGGGCAGGAGTGTGCTGCTGTATAGGAGGCACAGGGACGAGGCCAGAGTGGCTGGAGAGAGAGCACCTGGGAATGAAGGGTCTCGGATGGTGCTGGGTCTTGTCAAGTGCCCTGGCTCTTACTCCAGGAAAGTTTGTGCAGAGCCTGCCTTATGCTTTAAAAAGACCAACCTGGACACTGTATGCAGAAAAAGTTAAGGCATCTGTTGCAATGGGTTACTGTTGCAGAATCCAAGGGAGAGAGGACAGTGGCTTGGACAAGGGTGGGGGCAGGGGAAGTGATGAGAAGTGTTGGAAGACTGGGTATGTTTTGAAGGTGAAGCCAACAGGACTTTCTGTTGGATAGGGAGTGGGATGTGGGTCAAAAAAAGGAGCGACTGTGAAATGATGCCTCCATTTACTGAAAAGAGGAAGAGGCGGTGGGGGTGGAGCAGATTTTAGAGGCTAATCAGGCATTGGGGTTTGAACAGGGGATGTTTGAGATCCCTGGTGGACATCCGAGTTCAGCGAGAACATTGCAGCTGAGGGACGCAGGGAGAAGGGGCATTTCCCGTGGCCTTGAAGGAGACTCATATTTGGAGATCAGAGGGAGAACATGCTCCAGGTAGAAAAGGTGTGGCAGGCAAAGGTGGTGGGGTGGGAAGCAGGTCACAGCTCTGCTGGGGCTCGGGGCAGCCCTAGCAGCTCTGTCTTCCATTGGTCTGCTCTGGAAAAGACAGTCAGGCCACTAAAGCCTGGCTGAAATCTGGCTGCTTGGGCGCCTGCTGTCTTAGGCCTGGCCCCTTTCCACACTCCCACTGTCTGTGTGGACCTTCGAGACATTTGCGTTTGGGAGCTGTGGTTAGAGCACAGCGTGTGATGAAGGCAGGCAAGGACAGGCCATGCATTCGGGGGTCTGGGGTCAGGCGAGCTCCTCACAGGTGCTCTGGACCACGCTAGCAGCCGCTAAGCCCGTGCAGGTGGACAACCACTGTGGCTGTAGAGCGACAATCGCCCAGAATTGGTGTCATCTCAGGGCCTCCACTGTGTCCCAAGTCATCTCGGATGCCCTACCCTCCGCACTGCTGCTCTTTAGACCTGCCGTCTCCTCCCTGCCCGCACAGGCCTGTGATTGAGCTCTGCATCCCTTCCTCGCTGGACCCCACCCTGGCTCCCCCTGGCTGCCATGTAGTCTCCCTCTTCACTCAGTACATGCCCTATACGCTGGCTGGAGGCAAGGCCTGGGACGAGCAGGAGAGAGACGCTTATGCAGACAGAGGTAAAGACAGCTGCACGTTCTGCCTCCAGAGCCACAGCCGGGCATGCGACCCAACTGGGCCTGCTCCTCCTCACTGCCCCATTCAGGATTGACAACTGCAGGTGCCATTCCAAAGGGAGGAAATAGTCAAGGGAACCTCAAGTCAACATAGTTGACTGCAGGGGTCAGGAACTGGGCTAAGAAAGTCAAGAAGACACAGTTCCTGCCCTCCAGTTGCTCACAGTCTAGCAAGGGATGGAGGAGACTAATTAAGAAACCTTTTATTACAGCACAGCTGACTGCACGAACCAAAGGAGACGCATGAGCCAGAGAGACAAGGAAGGCTTTCAAAGGAAGGGATGGTCAAGCTGGGTTTCCAAGGATGACTAGGAGCTGGCCAGGCAGCAAAGGGCATTCCAAGCAAGAGAAACAGCTTGATCAGGCCAGGCGTGGGGGCTCATGCCTGTAATTCCAGCACTTCGGGAGGCCGAGGCAGGCGGATCACCCGAGGTCAGGAGTTCAAGACCAGCCTGACCAACATGGTGAAACCCCGTAGCTACTAAAAACATAAAAAAATTAGCAGGGTGTGGTGGCACATGCCTGTAATCTTAGCTGCTCAGGAGGCTGAGGCAGGAGAATCGTTTGAACCCAGAGGCGGAGGTTGCAGTGAGCTGAGATTGCGCCACTGCACTCCAGCCTGGGTGACAGAGTGAGACTCCGTCTCAAAAAAAAAAAAAAAAAAAAAAAAAACAGCTTGAGAAAAGTGAAGAGGTGAAAAAAGCTGCATATGCAAAAGGAGATCAGCAGCTTCGTGTTTAAGGTTGGGGTAGGGAAGTGGGGAAAACTGGGGACTGGACTGGCCTACCCATGCATCTTTGGGATGAATTAATCATTTGCTTGTGGACTGATTTTTGTTTTTCACCTATTGAGGTATAATTTGCATATGATAAAATAAGCCCATTTCTGTGTGTAATTTAATGACTGTTAGTAAATTTGCCAAGTTGTACACCCATAGTGCCTCCTCTTCTTCCTAACACCATCTCATTTCTCTGTTTTTGGCACCCCAGTGTTTGATTGCATCGAGGTCTATGCCCCTGGCTTCAAGGACTCTGTGGTTGGCAGAGACATCCTCACACCACCAGATTTGGAGAGAATCTTCGGGCTTCCTGGAGGGGTATGTATAAGCCTAGGGGGTCTCTCACCATAGCCTTCCCTCTGCACCCTCACTTCCTGGCTATGACCTCTCTGCTTTATCTTGTCCCTCCATACTCAGCTTTCATCAGGAAGGGAGGACAGTGGCAGGGACCCCGGCTGAGAGAGGGCAGAGAAGCGGTCAAACCGAGGGAATGGGGGATCCCTAGTGGGGGCTCAGAAACACAGGCAGGACAGCCCCCACTGAGAAGGTCACCAGGATTGTGGCCCTCTGCCTTGACAACTATGCTGGCTCTGCCATCTGACTTTCTTGAGAGAGAGCACCCCCTTCTCAAGGCAGCAGCACATCCTCAGACTTGTCAATTTATCAAAAACTAGAGATTGGAGACAGGGAGACCAGATAGGAGGCCAGGTTCAATCGCCTCATTGCAGCTACTGAGCACTTGAAAGATCAGAGACCACCCTAGGCAACGTAGTGAGACCCCATCTCTACAAAAACAAAAACCCCGCCAGGTGTGGTGGTGCGTACCTGTGGTTCCAGCTACCCAGGAAGCTGAAACAGGATGATCGCTTGAGCCCAGGAGTTTGAGACTGCAGTGAGCTGTGATGCGTCATTACACTTCAGCCTGGGCAACAGAATGAGACCCTATCTCTAGAAAGAAAATTTAAAAAAAAAGCAAAAGAAAGATCTGAGGCCAAAGTGAGATGTGCTGCAAGTGTAGAATGCACACAGTATAGAAAAAAATGTAAAATATCTCATCAATAAGTTATATATTGATTACATGTTGAAATTATAATATTTTGGATATATTGGGCTAAATAAAATATATTATTGACATTAGTTTCATCAGCTTGCCCTTCCTTCCTTCCTTCCTTCCTTCCTTCCTTCCTTCCTCCCTCCCTTCCTTGTTTCCTCCCTCCCTCCCTCCCTCTCTTCCTTCTAGAGATAGGTCCTGTTCTATCACCCAGGCTGGAGTGCAGTAGTGCAATCACGGCTCACTGCAGCCTCGACCTCTGGGGCTGAAGCCATCCATCCTCCCACCTCAGCCTCCTGAGTAGCTGGGCCTACAGGCATGCACCACCACACCTGGCTAATTTTTTTTTTTTTTTGTAGAGATGAGTCTCCCTGTGTTGTCTAGGCTGGTCTCAAACTCTGGGGCTCAAGTGATCCTCCCACCTTGGCCTCCCAAAGTGCTGGGATTGCAGGCATGGGCCACCACAACCGGCTCTGCTTTTACTTTTTAAATGTAGCTACTAATAAATCAAAAACTACATATGTAGCTCCCATTACATGTTCACTGAACAGCACTGGTCCAGGTATAGAGGAAAGAAGGCCAGGCAGCGGGAAGGAAGGGAATGGCTGGGTACAGCAGGCATGGGGCGGGCAGACTTGAGAAGCCTTGGTGACAGTGTGCACATAGGAGTCAGGGTGGAGGTGATGTGAAGGGTAGGCACAGAGGCCAGGGGGAGGAAGGTGGTGTCATTCACTTATGCAGGAGGATGGGGAGGAGCAGACTCGAGGGAAGAGGATGGCCTCAGTTTGGGGAAAGGTGAAGAGGGCAGTGGGGGAGCACTCCTGTGAGGATGCCCAACAGACGTCAGGCTTCTTGTCCAGACCTGCCCCCTGAGTCTGACCTTCGCTTGTCCCATGCTGCCTCCCTTCTCAGCCTGGGGCTGGTCTCACCCAAGCCAGGGGGGCAGAACCGTGCTCGGGCTCCGTTGCCCCTTGTCTGCCATTCACAGTGATCCTGCTGGAGCTTGGACACCGGGGTCCGGGCTCAGGTGGATGCCTTGGCCAGAGAAGGGAGTTCTCGCAGAGACGCATGCCAACAGCCACAATAAGTCAGACAATTCTGTTTTTCCAACAGAGGGAGAGGGATGCAGAGTAGAGAGCAAAACCCTCTTTTCCTTCCCGTTCAGTTCGTGTTCCCCACCCTGCTTTCTTCCTCAAAAAGCCTCTGGAAAACTTCACTCCCAGCCCCAGGGCATGTGCCCATTCCGTCTCATCTCCTTCCCTTTCTGCATTTTAAAACCCAAGAAAATATCCTGGAAGGAGAAGAACATTTGCTGAAGAACAGGGGAGGGGAAGAAACCCAGCCAGAGCAGGAAAGGCTGTAACTCTCCTGTGCTGATGACTGTGGCCCTGCCTCTGCAGAACATATTCCACTGCGCCATGTCCCTGGACCAGCTCTACTTCGCCCGCCCCGTGCCCCTGCATTCTGGCTACCGCTGCCCTCTCCAGGGCCTGTATCTCTGTGGAAGTGGGGCTCATCCTGGTGAGTGACCTGGAGTCCCACTACCCTGTGGGGACTGGGAGGGCTCACTGGAGGCCAGAGACTTGGAGAAGGAGGAAGTTAAGCAATGAAGGTGGCAGAGAGGGAGGGGAGCAGGGAACTCCCAACATAAGCTGCCCTGTGTTCAGAATTATCCATGCACAGGTGAGCACACAGCCGCTGCCTCCACCAGGCTGACCACAGCCCACAGTTGAGCTCACACCTCCCCTTCAGGAGGCCTGGGGATGCATCCTGGTGGAGGCATCTCACCACATTCCAATGTGGGGTTGTGAGAGACCCATGTCCCTAAATTCCCCATCCGTATATATATTTAGACAGGGCTTCACGCTATCGCCTAGGCTGGAGGTGCAGTGGTATGATCACAGCTCACTGCAGCCTCAACCTCCTGGGCTCAAGTGATCCTCCTGCCTCGGCCTCTGGAGTAGGTGGGACTACAGGTGTGTGCCACCATGCCTGGCTAATTTTTTATTCTTTTGTGGAGATGGGTTTTGTTAGGTTGCCCGGGCTGGTCTCGAACTCCCGCGCTGAAGTGATCCTCTCCACTCAGCTTCCCAAAGTGCTGGGATTAGAGGCCTCCATCCATATTTTAGACCAGGAAGGATGGATAAAGTTAACTTCTTCAACTTTACAATTCTTTCTTGTGCGCATTCCAAGCCTAACGGAGCTGGCTGAGGCTATTTGCTATGCACACTTTCTCTCAGCTGTGTAGACTTGGTACCCTGGAAAGAGTCTGGGCTTACACATCTTCCCCCTCCCCCCAGCCCCTTATTCTGAAATTTTAACTTCACTTACTAAGCGTGTGCCCATCCAGCACGTCCACCCTCAGCCGTTGAGACTGTGGGCTGTGGACCTGGCCCCTCCCCAGACCTTTGGTGCAGGAAGCCTGGAGGGAGCCAGAATCTATTGAGCGGCTGTCTTAGGTGATTCCAGTGCCCATGCCCCCGGACCCCTCTAACCAGCCCCACTCTGCTTTGTTGCTGGATCTCTGTAAGCCCTGTCCCCACCCCCACCCTGGCAGGTTTTTGAGCGGAGCTTTGGTTCATAGGAGATTCCCTTCCAGGAGGAGGTGTGATGGGAGCTGCTGGGCGAAATGCAGCACATGTGGCCTTTAGGGACCTCAAGAGCATGTGACCCTGAACCAGCTCTGACCCAGGAAGAAGACTCCACCCCTGAATTCCAAGTGCTCCATTGGATCAGCTTCCCAGGAAGTTCAGCTTCGGGTTAGTACATAAGGCCACCACAATGCTCAAGAAATTATTTTAGAAAAAACGTACGAGTTACATTTAGTGCAAGTTGACCTTATGCCCATGCCTCCATACATGGACTGGTTCTGTTTTATTAAAACTAATATTTCATACAGATTATTTTGCTTGTATTTTTTCTCTGTGTTAGTTGGTGGGATAGACTTCTCTGGGGTACTCATAATTCTTACATCAGCTAAGAAGCAGTCCATTTAAAGGCCAGGCATGGTGACTCATGCCTGTAATCCCAGGACTTCGGGAAGTTCAGGCAGGCAAATCACTTTGAGGTCAGGAATTCAAGACCAGCCTGGCCAACATGGTGAAACCTCATCTCTACTAAAAGTACAAAAATTAGACAGGCATGGTGGCGGGCGCCTGTAATCCCAGCTGCTTGGGAGGCTGAGGCAAGAGAATCACTTGAACCCAGGAGGTAGAGGTTGCAGTGAGCCGAGATTGTGCCACTGCACTCCAGCCTGGGCGACAGAGACTCCATCTCAAAACAAAACAAAACAAAAAACAGTCCATCTAACCAGTGGAAGAGTCTGATCCAAGCATCCCCTGTCCTTGCCTGGGACCCCCACTACCAACAATTGGAGGACTGCCCAGGTGGGGCCCAGTCAACCGCTGTCACATTCCTGGCAAGCTATAAGAATGGACCCAATTTCCCCATGATCCACAGAGTCACCCTCAAAGGCCACGGTCCTGAACAATGCTGGGCATCTCAAGCCACAGAATCCTCCAGTCAGGCAAAAAGCAGCCAAGGGTGACTGCAAAGTGGATTCCACTGAGGCCGTCTGGGAGCCCGGTCTTCCTGATTCCAGAGCATTCAGGCTTCTGCCTCCCATGAGCTAAGTCTGTTGCATCACCAACACCTTTCAATATAAACCTCTAGAATTCTAAAGAGAGTTGAATTGTCACCCTTGTCCAGGAAAATCCATCCAGAGTTCCCGTGGTAATGCAGCCCTCCCAGCCAGCTTCTCCAGTTCCAGCAGCCAAGGCCACAGTCCAAGCCGTCCCATCTGCAGATAAGGCAGGATCTTCCCTGGGAAAGCTTCCCTTCCTCCATTTCCTGGGCAAATTTATACAGGATCAAATAGATCCACCTCATTACTTAATGTTGGTAAACTCAGATTTCTCAGCTGTAAAAGAGTTGTTTTAAAGCTCACATCAAACAATAGATCATGTTTCCATCCAGTATCTAGCACATGATAAGCATTCAGTACATGGTGGAGCTGCTGCTGTGGCTTTTATTGATGAAATCGTTTTTGTCGTTTTTGTCATTTTTGTATTCTGCAGAAGGTGATCTTTTCTATATACTTTTTAACCTGGCACCCAGAATTGAAACTAGCCCCCTAGAAGCATTGTGACCAGGACAGTGCAGAACAATGTTTGGATCCCCAAGCTTTTTCGAAAGTAGCCAAGCCCCCTCCCTCATTCAGCATCAGGACCATCAACTTCTTGATCTTGTTGAAAATTTGTTTTTGGTCAATATTGCTGGTTTTCTGGAAGGAAAGAAGGAAGACAGGGAGAGAGGGAGGAAGAATGAGAGAAAAAAAGGGAGGGAGGGAGGAAGAAAGAGGAAAAAGAGAAGAAGGAACAAAGAAAGTGAGGGAAGGAAGGAGAAAGGAAGGGAGGGAGGGAGGGAGGGAGAAATGAACATAGAAAATCTTCAAAGGCCTGGGGCAGCTCACATCAGACTTGGTCTTTAAAAATAATAACGATTTTTAGCCGGGCGCAGTGGCTCACGTCAGTAATCCCAGCACTTTGGGAGGCTGGGGTGGGCGGATTATGAGGTCAGGGGATCAAGACCATCCTGGCTCACACGGTGAAACCCTGTCTCTACTAAAAATACAAAAAAAAAAAAAATTAGCCGGGTATGGTGGCACACGCCTGTAATCTCAGCTGCTCTGGAGGCTGAGGCAGGAGAATTGCTTGAACCCGGGAGGTGGAGGTTGCAGTAAGCTGAGATCGCGCCACTGCACTCCAGCCTGGGCAACAAAAAGAGACTCTGTCTCAAAAAAACAAAAAATAAAAAACAAACAAAAAAACTTTATTTATTTATTTTGGTAAACAAAGGTTACAAATGCCTAATGTAGGAAATTTTAAAAATATAATAAGAGAGAAACATAAAATGCACACATAATTTTTCCTGCAGAGATAATTGCAGTTCCCATTTTACAATATTTCCAGGTAGTCTTTCAGGTCATTGGTATTCCGTGTTCTGTATGTGGGCTTTACATCTTTCCTTCATTTCACTTCATGTCATAAGCAGTTTTCAGTGCCATAAAAATTCTTTGAAAACATTATTTTTAATAGCTGCCTAATATTCTCTTGTAAGGATGTGTCATAATTTATTATGGGACATTGGGTTCAGCTTTGGCCTTGATTGCTAATTAGTATAAGCCAAAGGCCCGAAAACTTCTTTTATCACTGCTGTTCCTGTTTTAATGGTTCCCTGTCATTTCTGGGATCACAAGGGTGCAGCTGTTCTCCAGGCAAATGTTCCCTGTAAAGGAGGAGGAACTTGGAGGAGGCCAGGGAGAGAGGGGAAAAAGCACCTTTAGCACCAAGAGGAAGAATTTCCCACTGTTTGGTGACTTCCCATCCTGTGTCTCATGTCTCTGAAAGATAACATTTAGTCCAGACCGAGAGACAAGATAAGGCCTCAGCACTACAGGGTGCCTTGGTTCCTCCAAGCCCCCAGCACATGCCGACCCTGCTGAGCAAGGCGGGCTGGTCTTACCAAAGTGCTGACTCTGCAAATCAGCCATGAACTGGACAAATGTGTCCCTTGCTGGCCCTAATATGTAAAACTTTTAGAAGGATAAATAAGTCAGGGCCTCATTGTTACCTGATTTACAATTGCCTGTTTCCCCAGAGCAGCAGGGAACACTTCCTTCGAGGCATAGTCCTGTAAAACCCTGAAGTGCACTGGAACCTCAGCTGCTTAAGTAGTTACCAGCAGGCCCTCCTGATCTCACAGCCCCTGGGTGATGGTGTCCAGAGACTCAGTGAGATGTGAGGTTTACAGCTCTGGGAGGAATTTGGCCTTCCTGGTGGGAGGAATGACAGATGTGGCTGACCAAGCCGGCTGTGGGCTTGTGAGCGTGCATCTTTCTAACATATGTTCAATTTGCAAGGCAGGTGACAATTACCAAGTTATTCTGTGGGACCTTCGTAATACTCCTGCCCTGATGTCTGGAATGAGGGGAAAAGAGACCTGCTGAGCACAGGATGTCATTCTGTGAGCGAGTGGAGACACATGAAATGAGAAAAAGGAATGCAAAATGCAAAGCAAGGAGAAACGCAAATGGACAGCAAACCTGAAAAAAATATTTAAACTCACAAGGAATCCGTTAAATGCAATGAAAACCAAACAATCATGCTTTACCTATAAAATTGAGAAAAAATATTTGTATAGAAAATTACTGGTGTGGGCAAAAAAGACACTCTTCTATGCTGTTGACAGCGGCATAAATTTGTATTTGATCATGAGACTCAAAAGCCAACATCCGTGTGCTTTGTGGGTTATTCTGCATCTTATCACTTAGCCTAAGGAAAATATCAGAAATGTCCCTGAGGATTTAGGTAGAAGGATATTCATGCAGTATTATTTGCAATGGCAAAATACTGGAAACAGCCTAAATGTCCCAAAATAGAGAATTAGTTAAATTAATCATGGTAACGGCACGTGATAGAATATCAAACAATAACTTTAAAAGTTACATTTTTGAATGTACTTTTCTTTTATCACATGGAAAAAATATGCTAATAAAAAGTAAGATATAATGGGACCTGAATTTTGTTGATAGTTGATAGATGGGTAGACAGATCTCTCATATATATGTAAATATACATTACATATACTAACTATAAAAAACATACTTACCCACACAGAGAAAGACAGAGACAGAGAGAAAGACAGAGATGGAGAGATAGAAACAGAGAGACAAATGGGAAAGAACAAAGTATACCCCAAAGTACAGTCTGCTAGCAGTAGCCTGAAGTCTTTCTGACCACTTGGCAGCAGCTTGGAAAATGTTCCTCACTACCTTCATGGAACCTATCATAGCATAAGAACCAGCCCAAAGTAAATGGATGGGACTTTGAATTTTTGTTTAAAAATGATGGCTTGTGCCTGGTCAAAATGGTGTGTGAATGGCTTATGCATTGATATATATCGATTGGCATAAGTCAGAGCGCTTCAGACCTGGTCTCGGTCTAAGAGATCCTCAGTGGAGACGTGGCGTCTTTGGTCATCTAAGGTCCCTGCAGCATCACAAAGGGAAAGGGCGGCATCTTCTAGTGTTTACACAGCCCAACAGAAATCCTGTGTTCTTGTAAGGAGGTGACCAAGGTGGACCTGAACCTGGATTTTGTCTGGTTTTATCTGAAACTAGGCAATGCTGTTATGTAGGTTGTCAGACCAGCAGCTCTGCAGCTGGCTATATGTGTCTTTGAGTAATAAGAGAATCACTAGAGGAATTAAATGAGACTAACCAAAGGACATTTGATTGGTATGCAGAAGTCTTCAAAACAATGTGTCTCTTAAGAAAAAAAAAAAAGAAGGTTGTCAATAGTGAAAAGATAGGTGAAACCTACACTTTCTGCACTGCACCTGTCGGCCTTCCTTCCTGTCTGATCTTTCAGGACCCATGGAGAAAGTGTAGGTCTGACCCAGAAGGCTGTTGTGTATAAAGAGGATGATGTTGCCTCCCATAGAGGGATGTGAGGATTGTATATACATAAACACAGCTCAAAAAATATGCACACTGTGTGACTCAGCACACCCACTCCCAGATATACCCAGCAGAAATGCTTACTGGTGTTCACCAAAAGATACATACTAGGCTGCTCCTAGCAGCACTACTTGTAATACCTCCAACCAGAAAGCTACCCCAATGCCCATTGAAAGTAGAACGGATAAGTAAATTGCGGCACCTTCGCATGATGGGCTACTATTCAGCAATGAGAATGAACAATCTAGAACCACATGCAACAAAACTATTTTGAGTCAAAGAAACCAGAAATGAAATAATACATGTTGTAGGATTCTGCTTATAATTTATACAGAAACAGTCTAAATTAATAGTTCCTATACTGTTAAAAGTTCACCTTTGGTTGGGCACAGTGGCTCACACTTGTAATCCCAGCACTTTGGGAGGCTGAGGTGGGAGGATTGCTTAAGGCAAGGAGTTCAAGACCAGCTTGGGCAATGTAGCAAGACCTCATTTCTAAAAAAAAAAAATAGCCAGGCATGGTAGTGCATGCATGTAGTCCTAGCTACTTGGGAGGCTGAGGAGGGAGGATCACTTGAGCCCAGGGGTTGGAGGCTACAGTGAGCTATGCTCATACCACTGCATTCCAGCCTGGGCAACAGAATGAGACGCTGTATTGAAAAAAAAAGTTCACCATTGAGGGTGTTAAGGCCTAGAAGGAAGCCTGAGAAGGGCTTCAGGGTGCTAGCAGTGTATCTTCCTGTTTGATCTATGTGATGGTTACATAGGCATGTTCAGTTTCTGAAGAATTCATTGGTTTCTATACTTAGGGTGTTGCAGTTTTCTGTATGTATATTATACTTCAATAGAAAGTTAAAAAAACTAGTGCCTGGAATATAGTGATGTCACTTATTAACATCATTACTCTAAAGCTAATATTTATTGGCAAAGCCCTATGTCTGAGGCTAGACTTGAAAGGGGAAATGAAGAAAGAGGGTAAGGAAGGAGAAGAGGAGAAAGGGAAAGAGGGATGTGGTGGACAGACCTGTAGGGTGCCCCCTACCCAGGACCCCTGCTTACTGGTGCCCATGGCCTTGTGTGCTCCCCTCCCCTCAAGGGTGGGTGAGGTCTATGAATTGCTTCTAACCAACAGAATATGACAAAGGTGAAAGGAGGTATGTGATTATATCACACACAGCATAATCGTGCAGGAATTTCAGTTCCTGGCTGGCCGTGAGGAGGCAGGTAGCCCTGTTGAAAACCCCATGTGGCAAGTAACTGCAGTAGCCTCCAGCTGACTGAAGCTCTCAGACCTACTACCTCAGAGAATGGATGCTGCCAACACATGTGAGCAAGGAAATGGATGCTTCCCCAGTTGAGCTTCCAGATGAGAACACAGCCTGGCCGGCACTGTGAGTATAGCCTTGTGACACCCTGAACAGGGAGTCCAGCTGTGCCTAGATTCCTGAACAGTGGAAACTGTGAGATAATAAATGTGTGTTGTTCAAAGCCACCAAGTTTGTACTAATTTTTCACACAGCAATCAATAACTAATACAAGGGAGAAGGCCACATAGCCATGCACATGATGGGTGCAAAATACGATGATATGAATTGAAATTATGCCCCTAGATTTCAAAGTTTTCCCATTCAAAATGACCCTATGAGTTGGACTTCACTCCCATAGTGGCTGGGCGTCCATCTCCCAGCAGGGCCAAGCCTGGAGTCACTATGACAGAGGGCATCAAGTCAGACACACCTGTGTTTGGATCCTGGCTCTACCAGCATTGGATTTTAGGCATGTTCCTAATGCTTCCAAGTCTCAATTTCTTATGTGACTCATGGAGATGGTAATTTTTTTTTGTCTGGCACAAGGCACACAACAAAAACTAGTTTTTTTCCTTCCTTATACAACAACATGTTACTACATATACTCAGAAGCACAGGAATCAGACAGAGTGAGAGGCCTTCTGGAACATTCTATGCCAACCTGAAGCAGAGGGATGAAATTAAAGCCACCACAAAAAGAAATGGAGCAAGATTTCCCTCGATTAAGGCTTTGGACATCACTCAATTAGAGGGCTCCCAATCTAGGAGCTTCCATCCTGGGACCACAGCACACACAAACACACACACACAACCCTATACAATAAACTACACCAACTCACACATGCAGATCAATACGCCAGGGCAAGAGAGAAGGAAGCAGGCAGGGCAGTTTGCCAAAGGCAGAAATCTGTGTGTGGGATGTTGAGCTGTATTTCTGGTCCAGTAAATCAATCTGCCTTGAAAGGGCTCCTCCAACTTCATGACTGTAATTGGAGCTACCTTCCTCAGGGGTTGTTTGTTACATTTAAGGTCAGGTGACAAGCACTGTTTTTCAGAGTCTGCACAGTCACTCTGCATCTGCCTCTGGGAAAAGTTCTAGCAATATCTGGAGAATCAGCTAAAAATGAGTATGCCTGAAGGCTGTTGAAAAGTTGGGAGAAATGCAATTGGGTTAACTTCTGATTTCTCTCCTTGTCGGATTTCCAAAACTCACTTCAACATTCTCTCCAGGATGCCTCCCCTAAAACCAGGATCTATCTCCATTAATTTGATGCTTGTTAAGACTCACTGTAGCAGAGGCACCAGCCCCAAACTAACCCGATAATAATAATGGCTGCTATTTAGTGAGCCTTGATTTCATGCCAGGTACTGCACCAAGCAAGAATTTCCCATGCTTTAAATCTACAATAAACCTGGGGGCCGATTACTGTACATCTCTGCTTTTACAGAAGAGGAAACAAACACAGTTAGGTTAAATAGTTTCCTGAGGTCACAGAGCTGGTAGTTGACACAGTCAAGATTTGAACTGAGGTCCTTCTGACAGCAAAAATCATGCTCTAAGCAAGAAACAACACTCTGGACACACCTAGTGGACAACTGGTTGTAGGGTCATCAAGTTCCATCAATTGTTGGCCACCTGTGTAGGGCTATACATGAATGTTAAGGAATGGTTCCTTGTTGCAAAGCATTTACAGTCTAGTGGAGGACGACAAAGAACACTCATATAAGAATTATTAACAACTCTAGCTGCATGAATCTGTGTGAGCACACTAGTGGAATTTGGAGAGACAAGCTGCCTGTTAATTGGTAGGGTCAGGAAGTATTTCTCACAGCAGAGGGGACTGAGCTAGAGTGGGGTCAAGGATGCACTAGACATGATGAGTGAAAAGAATAAGGTGGGCATTCAGGGTCTTCTGGGCACCATGTGACAACGGTGGGATGGAGGGATGGGCAGAGAGTTCAGAGCCACAGTCGGACGGGATGAGGATTGTGAAGAGCAAAGGCGAGAATAAGGCCGGATAAGAGGGTCAAGCTGCAGATGCCATGCCGGGCAGAAGGTGGCCTTCATTCTACAGCCAACATGGAGTTTGCTGGAGGAGGTATGGGGATTTTACACACATGGGAGGACGTCCAGTCTGTTAGCCTGTTAAAGTGGCCACATTTGCAGTGTTGGCAGAGGCCAGGGGACAAACTCTTGGGCTTCCTCCTCCCCACCTCCCCTCGCCCTCTCCCAAGGACTCAAATGAGCAGTTGAGATATGGACATGAGTTGGGAGTGGGAGCTTCTCACTTGGAGGCTAGAGCCAGATCTTCAGACTACTACACCCCTCTGTCTGCCAAGCCCAGGTGCTCAGTGGAGGGCCATGAACAGAGGCCAGCGTGGCTCCTTCTCATCTCCATAATACAGCCATGTTCTCTGCAGCCTCAATGCAAACAGCTCCTCATTCACCTCTGCCACAGACAGAAGACGGATCCTGGCTGTGGAACCTGGATCTGGGAAGCTTTAGTGGCAGCACCTGTTTTTGGCTGGAGGTGTTTGTAACACCTTGTAGGTATTGTCCCCTGGGGCAGCATGGACCCCTCTACCTGCTTTGAGACTGTGGATGACCTGCATCTCATCAAGGACCGAGGCAGATGGGGACCTGGGCCTGGATTTCTACTACAGAAGCCAGAGACTCATCTGCACGCTGCAGAAACTGGAGCAGCCCATATTTGGAGTTAGGAAGAAGTTTAATAATAGTACACAAACTTCCTTGGAAAGGGCTAGCCTAAAGGGGAACTGGTTATTAGGAGAAAAAAAAAACCACCGCTGTTTTTACAGTAACCCTCCTCAGTCTATAATGAGCAAACCTCTCTTCTGTATAGAGCAGCCTCCTAATGTGAGTCACTCCAAGACTTGGCTTCCAACCGCTGCCCCTTAGCCCAGGAAGCAGGAGCACAATGGAGCAGCCAGGTGTCAATTACAGGAGACGGTCAGGGCAGGAAGCAAGGTGAGTTATAATAGGAGAGCAAATTAATTTCACATAAGTAGGATTAGTAGTTAAATAAATAGAAGTCCCACCACTAACCCTGTCTGGAATGCTGAGTGTCTGTCCCCCACCAGAGGACAGAAAAAGCTCACAGCTGAGCAGGAATCAGGTCACCACAGGGTTACCTACCCACTGTTAAGGACGACCCCCTGGAAATGTAAAGCAAGGACATGGTTTAGAAAAGACACTCTGAGCCGGGAAAAAGAGATGGTATGTAGGGAAAGATGCCTCCCACTGATGGCTTAGTCATCTATGACAGGGCCACGATGCAGTGTGAAGCAGCTGTACCTAAGAACAGTCTGAGCAGTGGAGGAGGGGTCACCCAGGATTTGGGGTAAATTGCGGGTGGTGAATTCTAAGGATGACTCCATCAGGAGCTTCCATTCCAGGCTGAGTTTGTGTTGGCTTTATTTTTAAATTGTCAACCTCTTGTTTGTTCGTTTGGGCTTTTTAAAGCTTCTGTCCCTTTCCCAGTTTTCAAGTGACCTTTGTTCAGGTGAGTGGAGTCCTGGGTTCCTTGGGACTTCAGGGGCTGAGGGAGCATGGAGGGGAGACCAGGGCTCGAGGTGAGCCAGGTCAGGGCAGCCGGGTTCCAGATCTACAAAGTAGAGTCAGTCATACATCACAGCATTGCTGTGAGGACTAAGGTAAATTAAGTCCAAAGCAAAAAGCCCCTAATGAGAGTTCTGACAGCTGGAGATAAGCTTGAAAATAAGCAGCAGCTTTCTGTCCTCCTCTCCTGCCTTCCTGTCATGCAATGGAGCCAGAGAAGAGAATTCATAGCGGACACTATGCAAAGGAGGCTATACACAAAATCTTCCTAGGGCGGGAGGAACTGCCTGCCGGTTAGGGAATTCTCAGCAAGGACCTCCGGGGAAGCTTCTGAGCTGCTTCTGACTCTGCATTGGCTTAGGATTTTGAGCACGGTCAGGGTGGATCTGCAGCCTCAAGCTGTAAGAGGTAGGGCAGTCTAGGAGTCCTTAACTCAGGGGTTCCTAAACTTCTTTGACTATATCCACTTGAGTGGGGCCAAAGGACACAACGTCTCACCAGTTCCCCCTCTCTCCTGAGTTTGGTAATTATAGGTGTGGGGCTTATGGGAAGGAGAAGAGGATCGCAGAGGAACCAAACAGACATATTGCACTAAACCTGCTGAGCAGGCAGTATACACGGTTCACTTCCTATTTATGTTAAAGAAAAATCTGCCATTGTACACTTGATTTTATATTATAAATGAACGCCCCATGATCTCAAAATAACCCTACTAATTTTATTATGCTAACCTTGATTGCAAGACGAAAGTGATGAAAAAAAAATAGCACAAATTCACCGGCAAGGAAGCCACCAATGAAGTGTCCTTCTATAATAGGGTGACCGACCGTGGGAGTTTGCTCAGGATTCTCCCAGCTTTAGCATTGAAAATTCTACATTCCGGCAAACCTCTCAGTCCTGGGCAAACCACCATACAAGCAAAATATAAAGGGATCATGTATACACCTCCCTTAGCAGTAGGGGTACATGAGTGATGAATTATTCAACTGCAATTCATTTACATATAATGTCTAGAAATTGCACAATTTTATAATAAAAGCCAAAAATTATCAAAGTAAATACTTATTACTACCCATTCTAGGACAACCCCAAACTCTCGCCAGACTCAATGGATAATGAGGGCACAAAACCAATAGTAACTTATAAATATAAAGTATGAATAAAAGCGGTTGAAAACCATGATAACTCAAAATAACTGCTGAAGAGCTAACGAAACAGCGTTTTTCCAAATCTTGGGGAAATTCCAACTATGTAAAGTATAGTGTAGAATAACAAATTGGAGTCCTCAGTAAATCCCAGGAACACTAATTTTAGTTTATGAATACCAAATTTTTGTGGGTTAAAAGCTTTACTTGTACATAAGAAGTAAAGTCTGGGGGCCACCTCTGTGACCCACCTGGAGGAACCACAGGAAAGATTTGCGTGCTTGGGTCACTTCATAGTCATCAGAATGATACTCAGGTCCCACTTTGAGAGTCACTGCATTAGCTCAATTAATAAATGAGAAAACAGAGGCCCCGAGAAGTCAAGTGACTTTTCCAAAGCTACAGGTGCCATGGGTCCTCCAAGGAAGGTTCTCTGAGGGCTGGAGAGGTGTGTTAGGGGGCAGAGGTAGGATTTTAAAATAGTTTGTCTGTCTTAGTCACTCCCTCCACATACATCTGACATAGTGAAAGAGCACTGGTCCTCTTGAACCCTCATAGGGCTTGTTAGGGTCTAATTGTGTCCCCCAAAAAGACATGTTGAAGTTTTGACCCTCAGTACCAATCAACGTGACCTTGTTGGGAAACAGGGTCTTTGCACATGGAGTCAAGATGAAGTCCTAAGGATGAGCCCTAATCCTATATGATCATGTCCTTATAAAATGAGGGAAGTTGGGACACACACACACACACACACACACACACACACACACACAGTGCCTTATGAAGACACAGACACAGGGAGAAGACGGCTGTGTGAAGTGGAGGTGGAGATGGGCGGGATGCTGCCACAAGCCAAGGGTGTCTGGGGTGACCATGGAAGAGGCAAGAAAAGATCCCCCCGCCACCCCCCAGGAGGTTTCAGAGGAAGTGTGGCTCTCCTAACACCTCGAGTGTGGTCCTCTGGCCTCCAGAACTGTGGGATAATAAATTTAAACCACCCAATTTGTGGTTCTTTGTCATAATAGCCCAGAAGACAAATACAGAGACTCGCAGTTGCTCCCCGTGCCTGGCCTGGGTACTCTCCTTCTCACACTCTCTCTGCAGCTGGTTGGGAGCAAAAGCCTCAGGGAAAAGTACAGATCCTCTGGTTTCTCTTTGCCATGTCTCCTCCATGCCTGCCTTAGTAGCATCAGAGAGTGTGCCCCTGGGAGGGGACGCAACTCGGGCATGGAGCGGGTGGCCCAGTATCAGAGACCGTGTCATGCAACAGGAGGGCAGGGGAGCCCGGCTGGCACCCCTTGTCCCTGAGGGTGCTGGGAGGATGAATGCCTCTTCCCGGTCAAGTGCTTCCAGCAGAGACACTTGACATTTTCCTGTCCACACACCATTTGGCAAGGACGAGAGCTCCGATGGGCCATCCTGACCTTTGCTGTATTTTTCTAGGATAAAAGCAAAGAGCTCATCAGATTACAGGGGAAGGGGCCTGCTTCTGCAGAAACTGAGCACGGTATACCTTCCCTTGTTTTACCTTTAACATCTTATAGAGGCAACATAAAGACTTGGTTGAGCTGCAGCTCTGTGATTTGCCTGCCTGTGAACTTCCACCCAGAGGCGAGCACAAGCCCCCAGGGACTGGGATGGCACCAGCCAGGGCAAGGTCGATCTTTATAAATACTCACCAGATGCAGAGTATGATCCCAGTTTTATAAAATAAATGCACTTATGTGTCTATCTGCATATTGAATTGTCTGGAAAGAAAGCGCCAAATGTTATCTATCCAGGGGAGAATTATAAATGTTATTTTACTTCTGTTTATCTCTTTTCTAATATTGCTGCTATAAACAGGAAGGAATGATGTAATAAAAACGGCCAAAAGACAAAAATTATCCATGGTTACGGCTTCTGAGTGCAAATTTTGTTCATATTTCTGAGTGCCTGATAGATAAACAAAAACACCAAAAGAGAGAGACATAATGATATAGCTACACATAATACACAATATTAACCCTTTCTTACTCCAGAAAGGATAAAGATGCTTTTTCCAGTGAAACACTTTTTTCCTCTAGTCTGATGATCCTGTGTTTACAATACTGTGATTTCACTTAACATGCTATCAAGCATTTCCCCATGGTGTTCTAAACCTTTCCATTCATCATTATTATATGTTACTTACTTAAAGTCCTTATAATTGAACATTTTAGTTTTAAGCTTGGAATTTTTAAATTAGGAATGTTACATTTTACTTCTAGCAGCAAAACTTAGCCAGGCAATTTACAAGTTGCATTATCTTTTTTTACCCCACTGGTTTATTTTGATTGATACACACAATAATTTACAATGTAACTCTTTGTGGTCACATATGTATTTATTTATGGTTAAACAGTGTTCTCTCCTTTTCTTTAAATTTCAATTTTTTAATTTTTTATTTTATTTTATTTTTTGAGATGGAGTCTCTCTCTGTCGCGCAGGCTGGAGTGCAGTGGTGCAATCGCGGCTCACTACAATCTCCGACTCCCAGGTTCAAGCGATTCTCCTGCCTCAGGTTCCCAAGTAGCTGGGACTACAGGCGTGTGCCACCATGCCTGGCTAAATTTTGTATTTTTAGTAAAGACAGGGTTTCACCATGTTGGCTAGGCTGGCCTCAAACTCCTGACCTCAAGTGATCAGCCCTTGGCCTCCCAAAGTGCTAGGATTATAGGCCTGAGCCACTGCGCCTGGCCTAAATTTCAATTTTTTCAATTACAATTTTTTAAACGTCTCCAACATTTTGTGTTCCAAGATCCAGTTTGATTTGCTGTCAGGGAGTGGCAACTTCCCTCCTGCTGAGGTTGAGAGAGGGCTTGCAGAAATTTGTTTAGAGCCAGATTCTTGTAACATATCTGGTACATAAAGTTCGCTGCACCTGGTCCAAGGCAGGAGGTGGACGGATGGTTTCTCCCCAACCCCCTACCGTTGTGCCTGCTGACACTCGCCGGCTGGAAATCAGCTTGAGTCGCAGTTGATTGTTTCATTTGGATCTACCCCTGTTTTGCCCCACACCATCCATGTCTGGGGCAGGCATTCTCACTCCTATTTTTCAATTTGCTACTAGCCTTGTTGGTTTGAAAGTGATTTTGAATGTCAATTGATAGTAAAAGAAACACTATTTCTGCCACTAAGTTTCCATTTTCCTAAAAAACTTTCAACATGATTGCTGCCCTCCCTTCATCCATGGGACATCCCTGCCTTTCTGCAAGGAGGGCAAGTATGCGGTTCAGGCCACGCTGCCCCTCCTCCCTTGCTTGTGGCCAGCGTCACCAGATGATCACTGCATTCTCACGGGCAAGGCCTAGACACGGTGTTGATAGGGCTGGCAGCTAGGACAGAAAACTATTTGCTGTTCCTGGTCTTGATGGTGTTAAATATCTTCTTTTAACTCTGATATTCTGTGAATGTTTTTCCAAATTATTCCATTTTTACCTTTTTAATTTAAAATCTGAGTTACGTATGATTGCAAACAGAACCTACGAAGTCTCTGCAATTACTAACACAAATCCTGACAGAGCAATCCTGGCATGAAAAACTGAACATCTCTGCAGTGACTGATGTGGAGCAGCAGCAGCTGGAAGTTGGGATATGAGACCAGCAACGAATGCACAGACAATACCTCCAAACCGGGCAGAAACAGAGACACTTCCTTCACCACACTTGGCTGGGATTTTCACCAATCCGTGGTGAGGAGTGATTGGAAATTAATCTCAGAATCCCACTGTGCGTTTGTAGTTCACAACATATAATTATGCCTAAGTTTACTTTATAGTAAACCATATATAATTCTCATTCCACAGTGCAGATTCTGCCTCAGACAATCCTTTTATTGTTTTTAGAAGCCCTGTGGTAAAAGCCTTACTGGATGATATCATTTTAATTATAAATCTCTACTGGAAGGTCCCCCAAGCGACTGCAGTAGACAAAATTCCAATTCCCAAAGTCAAGGGCCAGGTAATTTAAACCCTGTCCAAAATGCTGCTTTAATAATACTTAGTTTTGACTGGGGAACTACATGTTATAGCAGCATCGGAGAGCTTATACATACAGGCCCTGATACACACACATATCTGTGCTAGGTGCTGGGGATACAGCAAAAAATAAAACAATGTTCATAGCCTCAAAAATCCTCCAGGTAGTAAATAAACCATGAAGATATGAGTCACACTAGGACCTTTTTTTTCTTTCTTTCTTTTACTCACTACTATACCAAAGAGGAGAGTATGAGGATAAGAAGAGAAGGTCTGGAACAATCACTAAAGGACAAGGATGAGGGAGATGATGAGAAATTAGTAAAAGGACTGATGTAAGACCACACTCATATTGTTATGGACCAAGTCCATGGAATCTGTATTAAACACTTAGAATAAAGAGACAAGAGGACTGGCCCTTCTGTTTCACGCTCCAGGAGCGTAAGTGGTGCAAATAGTGAGATTCCAGCAGAGGATTTGGATGGGGTTGCACATTAGGATGTTAGGCGGCAAGTCCCCTGTAGAGCGTGCAGATGGCTTGAAGTGGTGCATGTGAATGAGGAGAGGAATGCGCATCCTCCTGGACTGGGGGAGATGGAGCTATTAGGGAGCGATGTCTGAAAGGCTCATCTTGGAGCACAGCTGCAGGAAGCAGAGCCAACGCGATACAGCAGGCGCTCAAATGGGGCCGTTTCATCAGGTTCCATCTCTGTGCAGTGCCAGCCTGTGGAAGGAAAAAAAGGGAAACTTGGAGACAACCCAGCTTTGTGAAGGCTCAGCCTCAAGAAGCCTCATTGCCAGGAAAGGCTTAGCAGTTGGGTTCTCAGTAAAGAAGACAGAGCTTAGATGAGGCTAATCAGGGCTTTTCAAATTACCGGTTGAATGTATAACTCTGCCCTTGGGCCATTTGGCCTTGGAATGGGTGAAAGGATGTGGTGGAGTTTCATCTATTCACAGTGCTTGAAGTAGAGAGCAAGCTGGAAGCACAGAGGACCCCATTGCCCGGACTTTCACCCTCAACTCCTCCAACCCCCGCTCTTGTTACGGCAGCGTGCAGCCGCCTTCGGCCTCCTGCCACACTCCCAGAGCAGCCTGGCCTCGCTTGGTAATAGTGAAAAGGACCACAATGCCTCTCTGTATCTTGTATGGCTCTCACCGTTTACAAGCTGATGACAATTTTTATTTCATTTGATGGAACAACATACAGATGGAGGCAGAGTACGCGTTATCCCCCTACTGTGCAGCAGAACAGACTGAGGCTCAGAGAGGAGGTGGGCATTTTCTCTCTTACAGCTGGTAATGGTGTTAGAATTCCAACTCAAGAAGTTTCACTCTAAAGACCACTGCCCTAGGAGGAGTCTTTATAAAACAGTGTGTCCAGAGTGTTGATTGTAAGCTGCTCATTGTTCTGCAAACTTACTGCACGGAGTTTTTGAATGAGGACTAATTCCTGAGAGGAGAAATGCTTCCTCCCAGAAGCCAGGTTTGGAAGAGGTGGGGGCCCAGCCCGTCTCTGTCAGATGGAACTGGTGGTGACAATGGTGGCCATTTCAATGTCATGAGAAAGACTCAACCTGCGGGGCTCAGCCCTAATGCAGTTTGGGGCAGATAGAATCAGCCCCTGATACCTGCAGGCAGCACCTAAAAAGTTCCTGCGTGGTTGTCATCTGTGGTTTGGGTGCTCTGTGTCCGTGTCCCCTTTGTTTGATAACAGCATTGGGAGTTGGAGCTCTCTCCTCCGTCATGTGACATGTTGGTGTTCTTAGCTCCCTTGACTTAAGGGTAGGCAAGTGACCCCAATACAACAAATCAGACTGTTTCCTGGGATTCTCTCCTGCACAGAGAGTGGGGGAAATGTTTGGAGCATATTTATTTCAGGGGCAGAATCTCAAGTAAGCTGTCAATTAATTTCTCCTGCCCAGACCCCAGAACACTGTGGTTCTTGACCCTGCTCTCCTACAGTCTACTGGATTCTGAAAGCCACCTGGCGCCCCTCCAATCAAACCTTTTCCCATCTAAGATAGCTAGAATCAGTTTCTGTTGCTTGCAACCAGAGAACAATTGGTGGTCTCCACTTCCCTTCTATTTCCCTTCATTTTCTCTCTCCTCTAGTCCCCTCTCAGGGGGAGCAGAAGATTAGAAAGGAAAAAGTCCTGAAATCGAAGCCAAAAATCTGAATTTGAATCTAGTCCCTGCCACCTCACAGCTGAGTGATCTCAGACAAACTAACCTTTCTGAAAACTCACGAAACATGTGAGTGCTGATGCGAACGTCACCTGTGTGTTGTGAGGGCTACGTGAGGTAATATATACAGGCCCCAGGGTAGCACCCAGCACATATTCGCACCTTCCTTCCTTCCTACTTTTCAGCTCTGCTCCCCGCCCTCCCCGTCCTGGTCATTTCCATCTCTCCACCTCTCTCTCCTTTCCTCTTTCATCTCCCTCTCTTGTAGCACCTCCATCTCCTGTCTCAGCAAGTAACCAGCAAGCTGATGACATTCGGGGCCAGGCCTCAGCTTAACAGCAAGTTCACAGTGAGCTACACACACACAGGACACGTGGAATGGTGCTTTGGTCAACAGGTCAGGAGACGTCAGGTCAATGAGAAACAGCTTCGGAGAAAAGTAAGAATAGGAAGGAATTCATAAAGCTGAGGGTGAAGCTGTTTGCCCTGGGGGAAGAAGACAGAATGAAAGCAGGATCTATACTCCTTCCCTGACCTATAAAGGGAGCATTGTCTTAGGTACTTTGGGAGAAAAAGAGGATAGGCCCAGAAATATGCCCTATGAAGAAGGGTAAAAAAGCTGGCACCCTGGGCACCAAGCGAGACAACTACCCCTTTTCATTTGGGGATAAAGAGGGCAGTGAGTCTGTGGCCAGGCGGGTGGCGGGTGGGTTCAGGTGAAGTGGGAAGTTCCGGCTTCGTCAGGCTGGCTCCGGGTCAGGCGGTGTGCGGCTGAGCAGGTCTTTCCTGCTGTGCTTCTATTTCAGGGTGTGTGTAAGATGAGGGGTCACCGAGGCTGTGTGCAGGCCTCTGCGCCTTACCCAGCGGGGTATGTGGGCTCCTGGCTGTGGCCAGGCCTCAGGAGGTCAGCCGGCCACTGAGACACCAGGGCTGTCTGGCACTGGAGGCCTGGGCTGCGCAGATCCCATCCTGCTGTTTTGGCTGCTGTGAGCAGCTCCTGCTCTTCTCTCCCACCTGCTTTCCTCTGAGTCCCTGTCCACTGAACTTGAAAACTGCAATTTTTTTTTGGTCTTCAGTGACAGTTAGCAATTGACTTGGCTCCACACAGCCACCAACAACCCAGGAGGCAGGATCCTTCTATGCAGAAAGACGGACGGAAGTTCTGACGGGGGGCCTGACTTGCACTTCCTTTGTTCTGAGCCAGAATTCAGCTCAGATGACGCCTCCATCAGGGGACCTTGTGAAATTCAGATGCACCTGCCCAAGTGAGCACCACCGTTTGGGCCACGTCAGTGGGCATTCTGAGGCTTTGTATCAGATGAGAGCTGTCTGAACGGGGCCTTTCATGTGGCCCATCTAAAGCTGTGTCTCTACGTAAGCACTTTCAAAATTGTTAAAAAACAAAAAAAGAAACAAAACAAACAAACAAACAAAACCTCAACTGTGTGTGAAAGCATGGAAAGGGTTTGGGTGGCCTGTGAGCCCTCAGAGGGCAAAGCCTGACATTGGAAACGGAAAAAGGAAAAGGTTTTTTTCACACGCCCCCACCGCTGAGGCCATCAGCATCTGGGACTCTGGTCCCATGCATCACATCGCTTCCCCTTCTCCCTCCTTTTTCTCTTCATCCCCAGTGGTGAGGAATATAGAACTGGCGTACCAGAGGATATCATCGCTGGTGATACATGTTGGCCTGGAGAGAGACCATGCCCCCTTAAGTAAGGAGCAGGATCCACTTCGTAGCTTCATTCACAGGCTTCTGTTTGATCTCCTGTAATTCTCACTGTGACTCACTTATGTCATACTCAGAGTCACTCTCAGAGGGGCAGGCTCCGCCCCGCTCCCCAACTCAGCAGGTACGAATCCCCACTCCAGCACCTGCTAACCACATGGGCTAGTGACCCACGTCTCTGAGTGATGCTTCTTCATCAAGGGACAGGGATGCCAGCACTTCAGAGAATTGTTGTGAAGCTTAAATAAGATGAAAAGTAAAGCATTTGGCACATAGCAGGTGTTTAATAAATATCAGTTCCCTTTCCATGGTTGACTGATGATAGTAAAGGCCACAGTTTGCTCCCTGCCCCCACACCCTTTGGTGGGGCCTCCCACACTGACTGTGGGCTTGGCCTCCCACACTGATGCTTTGGCCAGTGGGACAGTAGTGAAAGGGAAAATCAGGAACACGTGAGAAGTGGAGAGCCCAGCGGAGCACAGTAAATTATTTTAGGATAAGAGCTGTAGCTTTTGGGAGTGTATCAGAGGCTTCTCTCTATGTGGCACCACTGCTTGGTCCTGGGGCAATGGATCCTTGGCTTTCCAATCACTAGAGACCCCTCCAGGCCTGGCTGACCATGATCTCAGCAGATTAGTCAACCAATGGGGAGTGCCCAACTGGGCACTCTGCCCAAGGCTGGGCTAGAGGTTAAAGAGCAGGCTGAGACCCCTGCCTTAAGTGGCTTACACTCTACCTCCTGGAAACCATGCCAACCAGATCCAGAAACGTAAGTTCAGGGCAATACATGGAGAAAGAAGTAGGAGCCGAATAGTTCAGTACACGTGTCTGGAGGAGAAAGCCTAGAATCAGACCAGGAGAAGTGATTAGAATTTAATAACAGAAAAAAGCTTTTGGCCTAGGATCAAGACAGGTCGGCGCAAAAGGGGGCCATCCAGGATGGACAGCGTCTGCACACATGGATGACAGCAGCAGGCCCTCTGTGTGCCCTCTCTGACCTGGGTGACAAAGTCCCTTTGATCTTAACAGTCCCTGACTAATGACACTTGGTTTTTAGATACGGCCATGGCACCCACAGTCCATGTGACCTGGAGTGATCAAGGGTGGGGAGAGGCAGGTATTATACTTACCTTGTCTGGGTTTCTCACCTAGAAAACTGAGGCATGTGTTAGACTGGTGAAGAATCCTCCCAACTGCAAACATGCTGGCCACCACGGGCAAACAAAGGAACAGCCAGAAACCCTAGAGAATAATAGATGGAAATAACAAAATTAACATAAAATTCAGACTTACTTTTGGGAAGAGGAAGGAGAATTCTACTAGGGAGGGCTTACAAGAGTATCGGTTACTGGTGATAATTCTGTCTTTTAAGCTTTCTGGTAAGTGCTTGGATATTTGTTACGATTTGTATGGATTTCATATGCACTTTTAAAAATATATTTTGCATATACATATAAATGCACAGTCACATGATTAGATCAAGTAAGAGAAATAACAGACTGGGCACAATGTCTGACATCAGCCTTGTCTCAGCTGGGCGTTTTCCTCCAGGGCCACCTCCTGTCTGGTTCCTAGTTGAAGGACCCGTTCATGACTTCCAGTGCTGTGTGGCAGTAGCGACCCAGGACTTGGAGTTGGAAGACCTGTTCTGCCACTTATTAGCTATCCACATTTTACTATTGTTGACATTATTGTTCCCGGACCAAACTGAGGGTCAGGCTGCTATTTCTCATGGCCCAATAACGAGATGCAGATGAACTAGGGAGGAAGATAATTTTTATTTCTGCAACCTGTTACAGAAATTTTTATTTCTGCAACCAGGGAGAAGGCCTGGAAATTATCACCAGACCAACTCAAAATTACAAAGTTTTCCAGAGCTTCTATACCTTCTAAGCTACATGTCTACATGGAGGTGTGCATTCATCTAAAGACATAAGTGATTAACTTCTTTTCATCTATAACTAAGGTCTGAGTCTTGAAGACCTTCCTCTGGAGCCTCAGTAAGCTTACTTACTCTTGCTTTTTTTTTTTTTGAGACACAGTCTCGATCTGTCGCCCAGGCTGGAGTGCAGTGGTGCGATCTCGGCTCACTGAAAGCTCTGCCTCCCAGGTTCACGCCATTGTCCTGCCTCAGCCTCCCAAGTAGCTGGGACTACAGGCGCCCGCCACCACAGCTGGCTAATTTTTTTTTTTTTTTTTTTTTTTTTTAGTAGAGATGGGCTTTTGCCGTGTTAGCCAGGATGGTCTCGATCTCCTGACCTCGTGATCCTCCCGTCTCCACCTCCCAAAGTGCTGGGATTACAGGCATGAGCCACCACGCCCGGCCAGCTTACTTACTCTTAATGGGTCCAGTTGCTGGAGTGATTACCCTTATCTTCTCTCCTGCTGAATCACAGGTTTTAGGAGTTCCTCCAGACCCCCAATAAACTTGTTTAATCCTAAATGGGTCCTGTTAAGAATTCCTTCATTATTCTGTCATGCTTTAAGGCCCAGGAAAGGCCTAGACAAAACTCTTGGTGGGCTTTTGTTACATCCTAGCCTTTGTATAAAGGCACTGGCTTTTAATATTTAACTTAACCACTCAGTCAGTACTGAAGCGGTTGTTATGGAGGCCTGTGTGAAACTTGGCCTGCTACAATATTAGATTCTCCTCAGTAAAATGGGGATAGCAACTGCCTGCATTAAAGTGTTGACATGGCTGGGTGCCGTGGCTCACGATTGTAATCTCAGCACTTTGGGGGGCCGAGGCAGACAGAACACTTGAGCCTAGGAGTTTGGGACCAGCCTGGGAAACATGGTGAAACCCCATCTCTATAGAAAATACAACAATTAGCTGGGCACGGTGGCGCATGCCTGTGGCCCCAGCTACTGTGGAGGCTGAGGTGGCAGAATCACCTGAGCCCGGGAGGTCAAGGCTGCAGTGAGCTGTGATTGTGCCACTGCAGTCCAGCCTTAGCAATTGAGTGAGACCCTGTCATAAATAAATAAATAAATATATAAATAAATAGTGTTGACATGAGGGTGAGAGATGATGATGATGAATACCAATGTTCCAGAAAGTTCCATGTTTTATTAATGGCTTCCATGACCACCATCTCCAAGGCTCCAGTAATGTGTCTCTGTGCCTCTGGCGCCTTCTTCAATCTTCTATGTCCCAGTTTGCCTCAGAAGCTCTGGTATTGCAGTCCTCAGAAGCTGGCTGACATTCCTCTTCTGATCAAGCCAGGGAACTGCCTCTTAACAAAAGCTTTGCCTCCTCCGACCCCAGGCTGTCAGAGAAGGGACCTCCTCCTCTGGACATTACCTCTCGTTCTTTATCCCTAGACGACACCTGCCTCTGGGGCCCAGAGCCCCAGAAACCAGGTGTGTGTGACTCTCTCCCAGGCGACATAGTCCCTCCCTCCGGAAGATGCTCATCTCAGGCTCTCTCTACTTTCACTCCTTTTAGGAAACCACACGGTGGCCTTACCCCAGCTCTCTGAGCAGTGCCTAGTCATCCCAGCTGGCCTCATTCACTTTCAGGAGGCACTAGGGCATATTAGGCAAAGCCCCACTCAACCCACGTATCTTCATTATCACTTGCTGTGTTACGAATGACTCCAAAACGTTTATTATCTTGCAGCACTGTGAGTCAGGACTTGAGAAGTGGCTTAGCTGGTGGTTCTGGCTCAGGGTATCTCATGAGGTTGCAGTCCGGTTGTCAGCCAGGACCGCGTCATCAAGAAGCTTTCCTGAGGCTGAAGGATCTGTCTGCAAGCTCACTCCCAGGGCTGGCAACAGAAGGCTCTTGTTCCTTGCCGGCTATTGGCTGGAGGCCTCAGCTCCTCACCATGTGGGCGTCCCTCTATGACATGGCAGCTTGCTTCCCAGAGGGAGTGATCTGAGAGAGCAAGCAACGCCAAAGCCATGGTGTCTTTTTAAATATTTTCAGATTCCTCATTATCTTTTATTTGGTATTTTCAGAAACCATACATAGTAATACTGACAAACTCGATTTTAATGTTTGACATTAGAGTTCAGACCAGATCATAGAGATCTGCTATACTTTGCAATGTGATTTTTGTTAATTTATTTATTTATAATTTTTAATATTTAAAAAAATATTTTGCAATGTGATTTTTAAAAAATAACAGCTTCAGGCCGGGCATGATGGCTCCCACCTATAATCCTAGCACTTTGGGAGGCTGAGGTGGGTGGATTGCCTGAGCTCAGGAGTTCGAGACCAGCCTGGCCAACATGGTGAAACTGTCTCTACTAAAAATGCAAAAAATTAGCCAGGCGTGGTGGCAAATGCCTGTAGTCCCAGCTACTCAGGAGGCTGAGGCATGAGAATCGCTTGAACCTGGGAGGTGGATGTTGCAGTAAGCCAAGATCACTCCACTGCACTCCAGCCTGGACAACAGAGAGAGTCCCTGTATCCAAAATAAATAAATAAATAAAAATAAAAATAAAAATAAAAATAACAGCTTAATTGATATGTCATTTGTGTACCGTACAATTCACCCATTTAAAGTATACAATTCAGTTTTTAGTATATTCACCGAGTTGTGCATCATCACTGTGATTAATTTTAGAACATTTTCATCACCCCAAAAAGAAACCCCGTAACCATTAGCAATCACTCCTCATTTCTCCCTAAGCCTCCCAGCCCTCGCTAACCAGTAAGCTATTTTCTGTCCACATGGATTTGCCTATTCTGTACATTTAATATAAATAGAATCATACAAAATATGTGGCATTTTATAATTCTTTCATTTAGCATAATGTTTTCAAAGGTCATCCTTATAGTATGTATCAGTACTTCATTCCTTCTTATTGCTGAATAATATTCCATTGTATCGATATACCACAATTTATTTATCGATTCATCAATTGATAGACATTTGGGTTATTTCCTCTTTTTGGCTACTACAAATAATGCTGCTATGAACATTTATATACAACTTTTTGTGTGAACATGTGTTTTTATTTCTTTGGGTATTTGCCTAGGAGTGGAATTGCACAGTCATATGATAACTCTATGTTTAACATTTTCAGGAACTGCCAGGCTATTTCTCAAAGTGGCTGCACCATTTCACAGTCCCATCAGCAATGTATAAGGGTGCCAGTTTTTCTACATGCTTGTCAACACTTGTTATTATCTACCTTTTCTATTATAGCCATCTGCATGGGTATGAAGTGGTGTCTGCCAGGTTTTGATTTGCATTTCACTGATGGTCAATAATGTTAAACAACTTTTTGTGTGTTGGCCATGTGTATATTGTCTATTCAGATCCTCTGCTTGTTTTTTAGTTATTGGCTTTTTATTATTGAGCTGTTAGAGATCTTTATATACTCTAGATATGAGATCCTTATTAGATATGATTTGCTAAATTTTTCTCCCATTATTTAGGTTTTCTTTTCACTTTCTTGACCAAGACTTTTGCCTTGAAGCACAAAAGTTAATTTTGGTGATGTATAGTTTGCTTTTCTTTTGTTCTCTGTACTCTTGGTGTCATATCTAAGAAACTATTGACTAATCCAGAATCATGAAGATTTTCTCTGTTGTCTTCTAAGAGTTTACAGTTTTAGCTCTTAAAATGGGTCTTTGATACACTTTGAGTTAATTCTTGTATATGGTGGAGATAAGGATCCAACTTTATTCTTTTCCATGGGAACACAATGTATTTTATAACCTAATCTCAGAAGACATTTATCATTATTTCTGCCATATTCCATTGGCCACATAGGCCAAGTCTGTTACAAGAAGGATGAGAACCACATGTCTCTTTCTAGTCATGAAGACCAAGAGGATAATTGGGCACCATCTTTGAAGCTGGTTACCATACCACAGATTTTCAGTATTCATTAATCAGGGAAAATTGATGATATTAGCTTTACTGAATAACAAAATGAGATTAAAATATTCCCTCAGTTTTAAAGGCTAGCTAATTTATTCCTCTATTATTGATTTACTTTCTTATGTGTCCTGATAATAACAAGATCTATCATTTCTTGAGCAACAGCTTAGTTCCTAACACACAGCCAATTTTTCTATATGTTCTTTTTACGCCCCACTTATTGGATATTAAAACAAGGAGGGTTTTTTTTTTTTTTTTTTTTTTTTTTTTTTTTTTTTGAGACGGAGTCCCACTCTGTCTCCCAGACTGGAGTGCAGTGGCACTATCTTGGTTTCCTGCAAGCTCTGCCTCCTGGGTTCACGCCATTCTCCTGCCTCAGCCTCCCGAGTAGCTGGGACTACAGGCTCCCGCCACCACACCCGGCTATTTTTTGTATTTTTAGTAGAGATGGGGTTTCACCATGTTAGCCAGGATGGTCTCGATCTCCTGACCTTGTAATCCACCAGCCTCGGCCTCCCAAAGTGCTGGGATTACAGGCGTGAGCCACTGCGCCTGGCCTAAAACAAGGAGTTTTTAATCTTCCATTTATTGATAAAGAAACCACAGAAGAGGTTAAATGACATATCCAACGTCACTCAGCCAGGAAGTGGTAGTCACGTTATAAAACCTTAAGTTGGTTCATCAGACTTTAGAATCTACCTTTCCCTCATCGACTGCTGCCCAACAGTCTCCCAAATGTGTAGGTTGGGGCTGAGCCTTGCCTGATTCTCCGTCCTCTCCATGCCACACAAAGCTGGCTGTTCTTAAAAGCAGCTTCCTCAAAACACTCAGAAATATAGACCACGGAGCCATCAAGCTATGAGATTCACTAGATCAAGCTGCAGGATTTGGGCAGTGATGCCGTGACGGCAGATAGGTCCAGTGGGATCTGTTTGATTCAGTTACCATTCTTGTAGCTTCAACAGATTTCTAAGGTATTGTACCAAACTTCAAAATATAACCCAAGCACATTTTTATTTGCATTTTATAGTTTATTTTGAATAGCTGAGCTACTTAATGGTTATCCAAAATAGTATTTTCCTTTAAAAACACACTTTAAAATGTTTCACAGCATTAAATATGATTTTATTACATCTCAGAATCAGAATGCTTTCTAAAATTAAGGTATAATTTTATGACTCAAGACTATCAGAAAATAAGCCTAGTTACACATTCAAAAATTACATTACTGGACACTTTTATGTGTACCCATTTCAAAAGGAAATATAATACATCTCTCTCTTTCTCCGCACTGCCCACCCCTCTGAAATTTCAAGGAGAGTCAGAGACTAGCTCATGGGCATTAGAAACAAGAGGAATAGTTTTGGTCCTCAAAGAAATGTAAAACCATTTTCAAACATTAAATTTCTTGTACCTCTTGGGGAGGGTAAGGTTTTGCAATCTGGGGCTTTTTCACTGTTTAAGCATTTCCCATTAAAATACAGCTGCCGTTTTTCTCCTTTACAACATGCAGAAGAAACCACACAGGCCAGGGGTTCGCCTTGTGCTCCAGTCATTTCCATTCACTTCCCATCCCCTGGGGATTTCATGGTTCTAGGGAGGGGCAACACATTGGAAACCTAATTCACCTAGCAAAGCTTCAGGCAGATAGAGAAAAAGCAAATACATTAGTAAAAGTGCCTCATTTATTTTGCTGTATTTAGCCACTTGATGGTCCTCATGTGGCTGTCAAGTTCCCCAGGTCACAGAAACAAGCATCTAGTGCCAGAGTGCTGCCTGCAGCTCCAGGGGGCCTTCTACACATGCAAGCACACAGGCACCCCTCATTTATACAGGCTCATTCGTGCGGCTGGAAGGTGGCAGCTCGCTTAGACCACTGCAGCAGCTTCCCAGCTGGTCTTCCTGCCTCTGGTCCCTGCCTCTGCTCAGACCCCCACACCATTGACTGACCTTTCTGAAATGCCTACACTTCTCTCCTGATATGATTTGGCTCTGTGTCCCCACCCAAATCTCACCTTGAATTGTAATAATCCTCACATGTCAAGGGCAGGACCAGGGGAGATAATTGAATCATGGGGGCGGTTTCCCCCATGCTGTTCTCATTATAGTAAGTGAGCCTCACAAGATCTGATGGTTTTATAAGCATCTGGCATTTTCCCTGCTTGCACCTATCTCTCTCCTGCTGCCCAGTGAAGAGGTGCTTTCCCCCATGATTGTAAGTTGCCTGAGGCCTCCCCAGCCATGTGGAACTGTGAGTCAATTAAACCTCTTTTCTTTATAAATTACCCAGTCTTGGGTACTTCTTCATAGCTGCGTAAGAATGGACTAATACATCTCCCAAGCTTAAAATCACTGTGGTGGCTCACACCTGTAATCCCAGCATTTTGGGAGGCCAAAGTGGGCAGATCACAATGTCAGGAGATTGAGACCATCCTGGCTAAAATGGTGAAACCCCATCTGTACTAAAAATACAAAAAATTAGCTGGGCGTGGTGGCAGGTGCTTGTAGTCCCAGCTACTCGGGAGGCTAAGGCAGGAGAATCACTTGAACCCAGGAGGCTGAGGTTGCAGTGAGCCGAGATCGCGCCACTGCACTCCAGCCTGGGTGACAGAGTGAGACTCCATTTCAAAAAAAAAAAAAAAAAAAGTCACTGTGATGGAAACAAGAGGGACAACCAGGCATTATGAACCTCTTGAAGTTGTATTGAAAAAAAAATCAAACCTGAATATAATGACATCTGTAGCTCAAACTTCCAGTTTATAGGAAGCACACAGATAGAAGCACATGTTAAATGACATCATGAGATGCAGCTCACAAAATCCAGACTGCAGGAAACTCTACAGGACAAATGACAGAAAAAATAGATGGAAAGGGACTCTACGGGTTGAAGGAGACTTAAAGAAAGCAAGGTATGAACTCTATATGGACCCTAAATCAAATTAACAAACTGTTTAAAAAAAAAGTCAATAGACATTTAGGGAGATGTGAACACCTGACTGAATATTTGATGATATTAAGGAAATATTGTTAAACATTTTAGATGACTTAATGGTATTGTGGTTGTGTGTTTTTTAAAAAAAATCCTTATATTTTAATCCAGAAACATATTGAATATTTTCTTTAAGATTAGCATCAAATCAAGCCTGAGGTTGTGGGAAGAGGTGAAGGTGCAAGTGAAACAAGACCAGCCACAAATTGATCATTGTTGAAGGTGGGACATTGAGTTCATTATATTATTACCTCTACTTTTGGTATGTTTGAAAATCTTTATAATAAATAACTTTTTAAATGAAAAACAATATTCCAATAGGTCCCCCATGGCCTATATCAGCATTGATGGCTCTGGATCTCATTGTGACCCTGAAGGAGTATGTAGACTCTCCTCTTAAAAAATACATTTGCACTCAGATAATTGCATATAATTTGAGCAGTTACAGACCCTGATGTCTCTTAGACTTCTGGCCTTTAGGTTCATGTGTTAACCAATTCCCTCTGTGGCCTGGGCTGACCTATCCAGGCTCTCCCCAACTCCCTATCATAGGCTCTGTCACACCTGCTCCTCCATGCCTCTACTCATGAGGTTCCCTCGGTCTGAAGATGCTTTCCTAAGGCCCATGCCAAATCTCACTTTCCTTCCAGCCAGCCACACACCCACTGCCCTGACCCCAACCCAGGAATAAATTCTTCCAGCCCTCTTGCCCTCTAGCCCCCATGTATCCCACCCTATAGTGAAAGCCAGAGATCGCAGTTTGCTTCTGTTACATCATGATCTCCCTGTGGGGCCAATTCACCATTTTCTTTACTGTGCTGAGCCCAGAGCTTTGTACACACCCAATTAATGTGGGTTAAAATGAATTCAATGGGAAATTTAAAGCCTCAGGGTCTGAGGAGAGCTAATGGGATCTCACAGCTCAAATACCAATATTACTGATATGTCAGAGCAGGAGAACAAAATGCTGAGCTCACCATAGCTAGGTCTTTGGTCATATTTGTCAGATGAGGAGTCTGTGCCCTGGAAGTTGTGGAGGTGGAAGTGGAATCTCTGGTTGGTGACTGACACAGCCTCACATGTGGGGACTCTATCCTTGACCTCACCTAAAAGGCAGAAGCTGCCAAAGGTGGGGGGACATTTGACTCCTGCATTTGGTGTTTTTTATTCTCTCTCTTGACAGCACTGGAGAATGTTTGGGGTGGGGTTAGGCGATGCTCTTGGGCAAATCACACTGAAGACAGGTGCTGCCCATATCCCCTCACCGCACTCCACCCATGACCTCTCCTTTCCTCACCCCTTCTGTACTTCTGGGCTGGAAACATTCCCTAATTAAGTCTCATTCACCCCTCAGTGTCAATTAGTGCGGTCTGCTAGCCCGAGGCAAGATGAAAGACTTTGGACATCCAGGAGGCAGCTCAGGCTTCTGGGCTGCAAAAACAGGGAAAAGAATTCAGAAAGGGAAGCCCAACCAGAACAGATGGGCCAAGGTGAAGTCCAGGACAAATGGAGTGGCTGGAACCAGGAAAGAAGCCACCAGGAGCCAGAGGAGAGTGCATAGGGCTTGTCAGGAACAGACAGAGTCGGTGCAAGGCCTGAAGGTGAGTCCCAGGGTCTGCAAAGCTCTCCCTGCACCCCAGCACTCACCAGGGCTCTTGCCTGGCACTTGGCCTTTCTTTTAAATGGTGTGGCCTTTCCTATTTTTTAAAAGGCATCCTTGGGCTTGACAAGATGAGAGAGGAATAAAGGGATAAAGCTCAGACATGCTTTCTTTGAGCTTGCATCGACATCTAAATGATGATGGTAGGGACAGCCTGGACAACCGCAAACAAAGATTCTATCTGCTCATCCAGGCACCTTGGCTTCCCTCACTGCAAGGGAAAGGAAAATGTTTCTTGAGGGCAGTACTAGGGTGTAACTCTGGCCACTTCACCTGCTCTCTAAGGTGGTCTTTATCATCCTCTGCAGGAGGTCGTGTCATTTCCATTGTATAGTTGAAACAGACTCAGCAAGTACACTCAGAGCAGATAAGTACCTTGTCCAAGGACACGTGGTCAGCCACTGTCACTTTTCACTTGTTGCTGATTCTTTTAAGGCAATGAGGCTCTAGTCTTCTTCAGATGATATACTTGTGCCTTGAGTCATTCCGTCAGCTCCCTCCACTAACAGTAATGCCGTTCAAACACCAGCCCTGGTGTCCAATTAAAGTCCTTGCAGATATAAGATGGTATGGACAGGGGAACTGGATTTCCCAGCTGTAAGGGATGCAGACAGGGAAGCTGACCCCAGCAGGTGAGTGTAGGGTCATACCTACCACTGCCAGCGTGGCCAGCCTTTGCTCTGTCTCCAGGTCTCTCCCTCTATGAATGATGAGTCAATTGCTAGTGGAAAATTCTTCAATGAACTTAACCATTCTGGAAGCAGTAGTCCCCTTCCAGGGCTTCTGTGTCCCTGGGCAATGTTTCTGCTTTAAAATCCCCATTTCCCCTTCCAGCAGTAGCATCTTACAGGGACCCCCAAATTGTGTACCAGTCTTAGTCACACCCACGTTTGCTGACAGATCTGGAAATTGCTCTTATTAACCCTCATTATCTCAATAGTGATTTGGTTGTGACTTGCCGTGTTTTGTTCTTCAGAGCTCCTGTGCCATCCGCTCCCTCCTTCCTATGGCTTGATGAAGGAAGGACTTGCAAAGAGAGCTGGTCTTATTCCCTCCTCCTCCCTTTCTTGTTTGCAGAACTATAGTTCCCTTATTCATTCTTTCATTTCTGCTTTAATCACAGGTTCCTGCATCCGTACTTTCATACTTTCCATTTCCTCCTCTTTGTGCTTGGAAGACTTCCTGGGGATCTCCTCCGTTTCCTGAACCTGTTCTGTCCAGAGCTCACGTCTATGCGTATTTTCACAATGACTTCCTTTGTTGATTTTAATTCCTATACAGCAATTCCAGCCAGCTGGGTAAAGGGATGATTGTAGATGACCCACCTCCCTCGCCTCCTTACCCCTTCCCTCTCCCAGGAAAATGCTCCCAGACACCAAAACTTCTGCCTCTTCACATATCACAACAGCAACATTCAGTAGCATTCCAGAGGTGTGGTTCAATGTTCAAGGCCTGTTCACTGTTCCAAGTGAACCTCCCAGCCACCCCAGAAAGAGATTTTATTCTTGCCATCCCTATTTCACAGCAAGGGAAACAAATTCAGAGACAGACTCCTGAGGTTTCCCACTGGTGAGAGGCATTGGAAGGAGCATGCAGCAGGTGCCTGCAGTTCAGAAGCGCCCACTCCTTTCATTTCATTGATCTTTACCAGCAAAAGCCTGAGATATGCAAGACACACTCTTCCACAAAGACCCAGTTGTAGACATGTGTGGATCTTCCAAACTGAATTCCCCAAAAGCATTGTCCATGCACACCCCCACCATCATGTCTGGAAGTGTGTCTGTTTCTCCACATGCTCACCAAAATTGGAAGGGTAGGATTTGGGCTGCCTGTTTGTTATTCCTGCGAAGGAAAGATGGTATCTGCTCTTCTTATTCCTAGGATCCTGGGCTTCAGGTCTTCTCTTCTTTATGGAAGACAAACGAGGAAAGAAAGGAGTTAGAGCCTCTCCATATGCTCATCTGCAACCAAAGTTCCCATCTCGGATCAGAGGTCCTCTGGCAGCTGGTGTAAGTGACGCTCCCCCAATACTCCAACCTGATCAAAATCCTGAGGCGTCTTCTCCGCAGACTGCAACAGCACCTGCATTTTACAATCTGCCACAGATAGGATCTACTTTTCCTTTATGAACATTTTAAAATACTACCTATCAGGTTCACACGGAGGTCTCTTCCATGGTCTAACTCAGACACGAACATCCTTGGTAACCGGGTCCTGCCATTCACCTCCCCTCTTCTTCCTGGGCTCAGACATTTCCCTTGATTGCCTCTACCCCCTGGAATCTCTCCCTGGTTCTTATCACTGAGCCTCTGGAACTTGTCAAAGTTTAAAACCCTCCATACTTGTTGCTTTCCTTCTTGGTTTGGACAGACACAGAATGTTTTCTCATCCTTGCTGGAACAGAATTCCGTAGCTCGAGCCATCACATCTTTCAAGACAGGACTTTCGCCTGAGCTCATGCTCACAAGCTTGGCACATCCCCACAGTCCACACCCTATGGCCACCAGCAAAACCCATTATCCTCGGCTTCCCTCCAGGGCCAGGCATGTGGGACTGTGGAGAGCCCTGCTCACGTAGCGAGGTCGCCCTTCAGCACGAGATTCCCCCTGCATAGCCTGCATGTGTCTTACTGGGGGTGGGGCAGGGGTGGTGGAGCTGCCTGGGGTCTTGCTGGGGTGGGGCAGGGGTGGTGGAGCTGCCTGGGGTCTTGCTGGGGTGGGGCAGGGGTGGTGGAGCTGCCTGGGGTCTTGCTGGGGTGGGGCAGGGGTGGTGGAGCTGCCTGGGGCAGTGATACACCAGTGAGTTACCAGGGGACTGTAGCTCTGAGGCAGTCTCCAGCAGAGCCAGGGTGAAGGCTGATGCTGTGAGTCTGAGAGATAGTAATGAACCTGGAGACCAGGGCAGCCGTGAAAGTGCAGCAGGGTCTGCAGCCAGCGCTCGGCAGTCACACAGCAGAGCAGGGAAGGAAATGAAGTCTCCAAACAGTACTAATCCCACCACAGCTATTCCCACCCCATCTCCTTTTTTACCTTCCTGGTCTTTTTTTTTTTCTTTTCTTTTCTTTTTAATCTTGAAATAATGATAGGAAGTTGCCCAGTGGTTACGGGAATAACTATCACACAAAATCTGAACCAGGAATTTGACACCAGGTCAGTGTGTGTGTAGCTCTATGCCATTTCCTCACATGTGTACATTTGTGTAATCATCACTGCACTCAAGATACAGAACTATCTCATCACTACCAGGAGTATAGCTATTCCTTTTATTGGACCCTAAAGGTATTCCAGCTACCATGCTAAGCATGATTTTGTTTCTTCCTAAAACACCCTAGAAAATAGGGTCTCCAATTATCTTCATTTCACACATCAGAAGACTGAGGCTCAAGGTGGTCATGTTTCTCACCCACATTCTCATGGGTAATAAGAGCAGAGGACTCAAGCTGGTGTCTTGGTGTCTCCATTACACAGCCAAGCATCATGTACTGTCTCTGCACGTGGGTCAGGAGGATGCTTTTAGTCTAGATCTGTCGGGTATCAAGCTGGACTGGACACCTTGAGAAGAATATCATCCTCACATCTGTCTTGTCTGATTTCATCAACAAACGGGTTCATGTTGACAAACCTTTAGAGTGGAAAGTGGTTTGTGGCAGACAATGGAACAACAGCATCATTAAGGAGCATCGACCCTAAACAAGAGAATGAATTTGTAAGGAACAAGATCAAGCAAGAAGCACGTTTTCTCCAGGATAGCAAAAAAGGGCAGGATTAATCAGAGTTGTGAGTCAGGGGCTGAAACAGCAGATGGGTGAGCGTAAGAGCCATATAGCATGAGAGTTGGAAGGGAACCAAAGCACTCAGCAGGTGTGCTCTGGAAGGGGCTCCCTTCCCGCCTCCCAGGTTCAAGCGATTCTCCTGCCTCAGCCTCCCAAATAAGCTGGGATTACAGACGCCTGCCACACCTGGCTAATTTTTGTATTTTTAGTAGAGACGGGGTTTCACCATGTTGACCAGGATGGTCTCAGTCTCTTTACCTTGTGATCCTCCCACCTCGGCCTCCCAAAGTGCTAGGATTACAGGCGTGAGCCACCGTGCCCAGCTGCAACATATTTTTTGAAAGTCAAATGCAAGTCTGTTTGGCCTGGTGCAGTGGCTCACACTTGTAATCCCAGCACTTTGGGAGGGCGAGGTGGGTGGGTCATTTGAGGTCAGAAGTTTGAGACCAGCCTGGCCAACATGGTGAAACCCGGCCTCTACTAAAAATACAAAAATTACCTGGGCATGGTGACAGGTGCCTGTAGTCCCAGCTACTCAGGAGGCTGAGGCAGGAGAATCGCTTGAACCCAGGAGACAGAGGATTCAGTGAACTGAGATCACACCACTGCACTCCAGCCTGGGTGACAGAGTGAGACTCTGTCTCAAAAAAAATAAAAAATAGAAAAAGTCAAATGCAAGTCTGTTTGAGACTCTAGCAAGGACTGTGGTCAGGATCTCTGGTGCAGTCAGTGTAGCTGCTGGCAGAAAATCACTAATTTTGAAATGTCTCAAAGCGGTTTCCACTTGAGGAGCAAGATAACTGCTGTTTAGTGAGATGGGCTTTTGGAAATGGCTTGATGTGGCCATTCACGCAGCCATAACTTACGCATAACTTCTCTCTTTTTTTATGGCTGCAACATTTTATGGTTACATGTTAATCACATTTTCTACTTCCTCCTCCCCTAAGCTCAGCCCAGGCAGTGATGTTTAAGAGCCTCCTCTCGGCACGAAGTGAGGATGCCTGAGATCTTAGTTGACGGCAGCTTGCAGACTTGGAAGCGTTCCCTTCAGTTATCCTAGAGAATGTGGGCTTGTCTGAGGTCAGGATGCAGGAAGTGTCTGTGTTGGCCCGACCTGCTGGGTCCCCAGGGAGCCATATTTCAACAGCAAGAAAAATGCATAGTTCTTGCTTTTAGTTTCAAATCCAGATGTGCACACTCTGAGGAGGCAGCGTGCTGAGAAGTGTTCGAGGTGAACATTCAGGGCAGCTGCTCTTCAGAAGCAAGGCTTGTAATGTGGTCCCCAAGTACCCTCTCCTGCTGTTGGTCTGGAATCGACATTGCCGGTCCAGATGTTTTGAGATAAGCTGTAAATCTCTCCCTGCCTCTGATTTGATCTAATGAGAGGGCGTGACTCGTGGTACTAGTGGGCGGGATGACTCCTCAGTGGGGTACCTCCAGCCATCCTTCCGGGGTGGCCTCAGGGTGTGAGTTATGGCCCCAGCGGATTCATCATTACTTGAAAGTTTTGCACATGGAATTGTTACCTACGTCTGCAGATACCAGGAGGGCAGGAAAACTTAAATGTTCCAACAGACTGGTTGATTCTTTTAGCTGTGATCCCAAAATTCCGTGGAGAAAAGCACAAGAAGCTCTGGGATGTGAATCCTGGAGACACGGGAGAGGCTGGTATTGCTGAGAGACGAACACTCTTATGCCAACCCAAAAGGTAACTGATAAGCAAATGGGGACTTCAAGGCCACTGTCCAGAGGAGGCAGCCTCGAAGGGGGCAGGCTGCTGTTGTTTTATCAGGTGATCACACCGAGAAATTGTTACTGGGGTTCCTTGCTCACAGAGCTCCCAAGATGGTGGTGAGCCGCTTCCAAGATGGTGGCAAGCCTCGTGTTCTCTGACCTGGGGGTCTTGGCCTCACGGATTCCAAGGAATGGAATCTTGGGCCATGCGGTGAGTGTTATAGCTCTATTGGAAGCTGTGGGTCATGGAAGAGAACTGTAGAACCCAGTGACTAGTGTTCAGCTCGATTAGGATGAACCCAGGCCCTTAGCCATGCAGGAAAAATGGCAAGCCTTTAGCACGATCGGGAGTGGCAATGGGTGCCTCGCTGGATCAGGAGCACAGCGGACACCCTGCGGGATCTGGAGGGATTGAAGTGAGCAGCGGGTCTGTGACTGTGGCAAACAGCAGTGGTGGACTGTGAGCGAAAGCTCAGCTCAAGCCATAACAAACACAGAAGAGTGCAGTTGCAAGATTTAATAGAGTGAAATAGAGTGAAAACAGAGCTCCCATACAAAGGGAGGGGACCCAAAGGGGGTTGCCATTGCTGGCTCGAATACCTGGGTTTATATCCTGATCATTGTCCCTCCTGCTGTGCTCCCAGGCAACAGATGATTGGCTATTTCTTTACCTCCTGTTTTTGCCTAATTAGCATTTTAGTGAGCTCCCCTTACTATCTGATTGGTCAGGTGTGAGCTAAGTTGCAAGCCCCATGTTTAAAGGTGGAAGTGGTCACCTTCCCAGCTAGGCTTAGGGATTCTTAGTCGGCCTAGGAAATCCAGCTAGTCCTGTCTCTCAAAATGTTCTAGTTTCAAGATGCAGGTATCTTCCTTTAAATCTAACTTTTTCTAAGTGTTTTACTGTGCCCCAGATACCCACATGCAGATTTTTCACTTGATCCTCATAATAGCCTTTTGCAATAGGTGTTATGATCCACATTTTACCAATGACCACAATGAGGCTCAGAGAGAAAAATAACTTGCCCAAGGCCCCTCAGCTTGTAAGTGGCAGAATGAGCATCCAAATCATGCTTCCTCCTTGAAATTTTTTTTACCAAGGGAGTGTCTTAGTCAGCTCAGGCTGTTATAACAAAATACCACAGACCAAGCAGCTTAAATGGCAGAAATTAATTTTCTCACAGTTCTGGGAGCTTGAAGTCCAAGATTTAGGTGTCGGTCCATTTGGTTTCTAGGGAGGGCTCTCTCCCTGTCTTGTGGACAGCCGCATTCTTGCCATGCCCTCACATGGCCTTTTCTCTGTGGCAGAGAGAGGAGAGAGACAACAGAAGCGCATCCTGGTGTCTCTTCTTGTAAGGACACTAATCCTATCAAGTCAGGCCTGCACCCTTGTGACCTTTTTTAACCTTAATTACTTCCTTAAGGGCCCTATCTCAAAGTACAGCCACACTGAGTTTAGGGCTTCAACATATTGTTGGAAACAGTGAGTTCCTCTTCAAAGGTTCAGCTTGTCCTCTATTTTCAAAGCCTAACTTCCTTGCCTCCTTGCCCCCAGTTATGGTAAACAACCTTCCAGCCATTCCCAATCTGTAACCCACGTCCATTCCCAATCTGTAACCCACACCCATTCCCAATCTGTAACCCACACCCATTCCCAATCTGTAACCCATATCCGTTCCCAGTCTGTAACCCACATCTGTTCCCAATCTGTAACAACCCACATCTGTTCCTTATTTGGCACCCTTAGTTCAGAAACTGCTCTTCCCTCCACTGTAGCCCCCACCCCTGCTCAATTTTGAAGTAGCCAGTCGGGATCAGCTTAGATGGTATGGTGCGACCCCAGCCAATGGAGACCGGACACAGTAGTAGGGACTGACTGCATTAGGGATAAAAACCCCTTCCCTCCTTTGTTCGGTGTGCTCTTGCAGTGACCAGAAGAACGAGCAGCACCCTTCTGCAGAAGTAAGTTTGCCTTGCTGAGATATCCTTTATTTGAGTGCTCATTTTCTTTGCAACTCTGAGCTCTTATTTCCAACAATGTGAATTTGGGGGTGTTGAGGGACACAAACATTCGGCCTGTAAAAGGGGGCTGCCAGTTCCTGTTCCACATGGTATGTGGAGGTCCTGAACAAAGAACCTCCAGGGTCAGTTCAGCATGGAGTAAACAGTGGTCTTCCTTACACCAAGAGAGAATGCCTGGCTGAAGACGGGGCGATGGGAGCCGAGGCCATGTGTACCAGTGAGAGGTATAGTCTGGCTGGAGAAGGAGGATGCAAGTCATGAGTTGTTCTGAGATGGGTGAGGGTGGTGTCTGATGTTCCTTATCAAGGGGTGTGAGTTGAGGATGAAAAGAATTCTCAAGGAAGGGAAATGGCAGAGATCCCAGATCATTCCTCTTTTCCCTTCCCTCTTCCCTTTCCTCCCCCTTTCCCTTTAATTAATTAATTAGTTAATTCATTAACTTATTTTGGACTTTGCCTCTGGAACCCTGCAGATTAGAATAAATTGTGGCCATGGAGGCCCTATTATATCTCATTTAATAACATAGTTCCTCAGTTTACCTACAACATTAGTGCCACAAATTCATCCAGCCTCTTCTTGAATTTCTCCTCTGTCTAGAAACTCACCACCTCCTGAGCCAGCCCATTCTATTCTCAAGTGTCTTTAACCAAAACAAACGCCATCTCTCTGTAGGTCCTGGTTCTACTTTCTGGGGCAATAAAAATGGAGTCAGCTTTTTAGAAGACAGAACAAATCTTGTCCTACTCAATATTCACAGATCTCTTTTTGTTTGTTTGTTTTGAGGTGGAGTCTCACTCTGTCACCCAGGCTGGAATGCACTAGTGCAATCTTGGCTCACTACAACCTCTGCCTCCTGGGTTCAAGCAGTTTTCCTGCCTCAGCCTCCTGAGTGGCTGGGTTACAGGTGCACAGCTAATTTTTGTATTTTTAGTAGAGATGGGGTTTCACCATGTTGATCAGGCTGATCTCAAACTCCTGACCTCGTGATCCACCCGCCTCAGCCTCCCAAAGTGTTGGGATTACAGGTGTGAGCCACTGCACCTGGCAATATCCACAGATCTCTTATCTGATCTTCACACTTGGTGTTTCCTTCCATATTTTGATCTCCAAGAGGACCTGGTTACTTTCTAAGATATATTTCATTTTACACCAGCAGCAAATTCTCATTAAAAAAGCTTGCAGGCTGGGCGCAGTGGCTCACGCCTGTAATCCCAGCACTTTGGGAGGCCGAGGCAGGTGGATCACGAGGTCAAGAGATTGAGACCATCCTGGCCAACAAGGTGAAACCCCATCTCTACTAAAAATACAAAAATTAGCTGGGCATGGAGGCTGAGGTAGGAGAATCACTTGAATCCGGGAGGCAGAGATTGCAGTGAGCCAAGATTGCACCACTGCACTCCAGCCTGGGTGACAAGAGTGAAACTCTGTCTTAAAGAAAGAAGAAAGAAAGAAAAGAAAAAGAAAAAGCTTGCATTCCCCAGAATTAAGCTCATTTTAACTGTTCCCTACATTGCTTCCTTCTGAGCCATAAGGCCACCATTCATCCCCTCAAAAACCACTTAATGACATTTTCTTTGTTCCAGTACCCCTCAAGGCACAAGGAACATAGCTCTGAGCAAGATGGACAGAGTTCCTGATTTCAGAGGGTTTACAGTCTAATGGGGGAGGCAGGGAAGACGGGCAAACAAAGAAGAAAGTCAGGTAGGAAATGCCATGAAATAATAATGTTTTCTTTCACAATCAGACTACAGTTCTAATGCCTAGTGAGCACTTATTTTCAGCAAGGCACTTTGCTAATTATGAAACGAATAGTCTTGTATGCAAGTATAGCTTTCTAAAAAAAAAAAGTTCATAGGGCTCTGATCCTAGCAAGAACCTTGTAAAGTAAACAGGATAAGCATTATTCTGATTATTAAGCCCACTTTGCAAATGAGGAAACTGAGACTTATTTTAGTAGCAATGCAGCCAGTGAGGGTGCAGGAACTCATAGCCTCTGACACCAGCTGCTCTCTACAGCGCCTCACTGCCACTCATTGACGAGTTTGCTGATGACTTACCCTCATTTCCCAAGCCAGCTCTGGTTTAGTCATTAGTAGTATTATCTGCCGGTTTTTTGGCAAATGTATGCATTCACACATTTATGTGATGACTTTGGTGGTTTGGAAAACAGATCTTGCATCTCAGCCTTTGTAGGGAGGACGTTGATGCAGGGAGCCAGGAAGAGGCTGGCCAGCATCCAGAGGCCCTACTCTGGATAGGGGGTAGATTTCCACATCAGGAAGTGCAGAGTGAGACATCTGGCGAAGTCAAGTGGCCACTCAGTCAATAGCCAGGATTTGGGGTCAGGTCATAGCAACAGCTGAAGGAAACAACCATGCTGGGTCAGCGGGTCCTGGGGCTTTGGGACAAGCAAAATGTGAAATCTCCCAACCACAGAGGAGGAGGAGGAGGCAGTGTTTGGAAGTCAGCTAAATGAGGGGCAAAAAATGTTTCTGCCTCCATCACTCAGCACCTCCCCTGGCTGCTGTGCCCTTGAAGGACTGACTCTCAGGCCTTCCTTCTACTTGCTCAAGAAGGGACGATCCCAAAATGAATGCACCCGTCTTTCTTCGGATTTCTCATTATTAGTCTTTTCTTGAATAACCTACATAGGACATGTTTTATTCATCTCCTAATTGGTTCCTTAGTCACTCTGCTGTGGAACCTTTTCATGACATACCTGCATTGGACATACATCAATCCCTCGTGTTTGCAGGGACTGTTCAGTTACCTAGACCAGGGCCAAATAGGGGAGCCCCGGGATTTGACACTGAGATGGTTCGGGGCTCTGCCAAAGACACCAGGTAAGACAGAGGCATAGTGGGAAGCAGGCTCTCTACAAGGAACCAAATAGACTCGAAGCAGACTTTAACTTTGCAAGGGAAGGTAAGATGAAGCGGCATGACAGAGGGGAGCAGAGGCTTTTCATCTTCTTCCCTCCCACCTTCACCAGCTGGATCTGGACCCTGCAGAAGGTCATCTTTTCCAAGTAGCCTGGTCCCAGTAGCAGATTCAAGGCTCTGAGCTGTGGTAATTATTATTATTATTAGGGCCTGGGGCCAACTGAATGAGCATTCCCACCATGCACTCAATAGTTAGACCATATTGGTCTATAGTGAGCAGCATGAGTTGTCCTTAAAATGACATGTGGGGTGGAAGTAAAATGAAAACCAGGGAGTCAAAAGCAAAGTAAAAATGTAAACTAGGGATCCAAGCCAGCGAAGCTGTGATTGGTGGGGATGGCCTTTGATGTGTTCTTTTCTTTCCTTTTCTTTTTTTTTTTTTTTTTTTTTGAGATGGAGTCTTGCTCTGTCACCCAGGCTGGAGTACAGTGGTATGATCTCAGCTTACTGTATCCTCTGCCTCCCCATGTTCAAACAATTCTCCTACCTCAGCCTCCCAAGTAGCTGGGATTACAGGCATGCACCACCATGCCTGGCTACTTTTTATATTTTAAGTAGAGACAGGGTTTCACCATGTTGGCCAGGCTGGTCTCGAACTCCTGACTTTGGGTGATCCTCCCACCTCAGCCTCCCAAAGTGCTGGGATTATAGGTGTGAGCCACCACGCCCAGCCTGATGTGCTCTTTAATTAGCCCTGGATGACTTTCATTAGCCCTCTGAGCCTATTTCCTTGTCTGTGACATGACAGGGATGAACCAAGTGAACCCCAAGGTCCCATCAAGCTTGAAGACCCCAGGTTCCTGGGAATAAACCTTCAAGAGGAATGAGAAAGCAGAGGAAGACTTACAAAAAATTATTTAAGGATAGGAGATGTTTCCAAATGTTGCAAATTTGCCTTCTATTTGCATTTACATTTCCCAGTTTACAGTGTTTTCACAAATACTAGTTCCCTTGTTAAATCCCCACAGTGACTATGAGCCCCCTGGTCTTATAGAGATGGAGCTGATGTGGTTCTATGGAGTTAAGAGAGTTGTCCAAAGTGGCATCTAGCATGAACGAGGATGCAAACCCAGGATGACTGGCTTGGCCGCCCTTGGCCACCACCTTGACCTTGAACCCATCATATCATCCCTCTTTTCTCTCTACTCCGTCACCCGCTCCTCATCTCATGGGCTCTCAGCCTCTTACCTTGACTCCTGCCTGCAGCATATATTCATCCCTGTCTGTGAGGGACTGGAATTGTTCTCCTTTTACCCTCTATGGTCTCCCTTCTCCCACCACAATCTGTGCTCAGCTTTAGGTCGCCTTTGGTTGTTGACCCAGGTAATATTCAGCTCAGACCCTGAGACTTGGCCTGGTGCTGGCCGATATGACCAGTATCCATAAGAAAGGATTTCAACAATCGCCACACAGAAGAATTATGCACACAAAACAAGAGGGTCTTTCTGCCACATCTCTGAACAGGAAAATCAATTCAACAAATATTTATTGGCACTTACTCTGTGCAAGGCATAGTCTGTATATTAAAAAGAGAAATGGTATGGCCTTGAGGTGGTGGAGAAAATAAAAACATGGTTCAACCGATTTGTAAATGTCTGAGAGACTACAGGGAACAAGGTAGACTCCATAAAGTGCTTGTCCAATCAAACTAATATCTCTATTTATTCCACAATAAGAATAATGACAGCTGGAAAGATATGTCATCCCTTTGGACAGGTGTATGACTTCTCTTCCAGAAGCCAAACAATGAGCTGCATCCAGAGGCGTCACTGCGCCCGAGGGAGTGAGTGGAGGGACCAGAATGCAGGCGGGGGAGGCAGGCACGGGCAGGCACCCATGGGACTTGACTTACAAGTGAAGTGGCTTCCATAGTTGAAGCTGCAGGGGGAAGGTTAGCTGGGAATGCTTGTGCTGATGGTTCCTCCCTGGCAGGAAGGAGGTTCCTGGAGTCTCCTCCTTCCAACTCTAGTATCCAATTTGACTCCATATAGATCTTGTGTGTTCTTTTTTCTTGTAGAAGAACTGCTGTGCATACCTTCAGGGCACAGGAAACTACAAGATTAAGTTATGACTTGCAGGACTGTATTTGTCTGATGGAAATTGCAGGTGGCTGGCCAGGCGCGGTGGCTCACGCCTGTAATCCCAGTATCTTGGGAGGCCAAGGCGGGCATATCACGAGGTCAAGAGATGGAGACCATCTTGGCCAACATGGTGAAACCTCGTCTCTACTAAAAAATACAAAAATTAGTCGGGCGTGGTGGCGGGCACCTGTAATCCCAGCTTATTCAGGAGGCTGAGGCGAGAGAATCCCTTGAACTTGGGAGGCAGAGGTTACAGTGAGCCAAGATTATGCCACTGCATTCCAGCCTGGTGACAGAGTGAGACTCTGTCTCAAAAAAAAAAAAAAGAAAAAAAAGAAAAGAAATTGCAGGTGGCTACATGTTCTCACTTAAAAAAAAGAAATTGCAGATGGCTGCATGTTCTCACTTATAAGTGGGCTAAGGAATGTGTACACATGGACCTAGTAGAAAGACACTGGGGACTCAGAAGGGTGGGATGGTGGGAGGGGAATGAAGGATGAGAAATTACCTAATAGGTACAGTGTACACTATTCAGGTAATGGTTACACTACAAGCCCAGACTCCACCACCACTCAATATATCAACATCACGAAACTACACTTGTAGTCCCCGAATCTATAAAAATAACAATTAAAAAAAAAAGAAACTAGAGGTAGAAATGAAAGAAAGCTGTCAGGCTAAAAAAAGTATCTGCCAGGGCATCCCATGGAGTCACAGAACTGCAGGGACCCCAAGGGCAAGTGACCACTTTGCAGCAAAGGGCACCAGCCTCAGCTGGGACATCTGCCCTGGCCCTGGCACACTGCCTGTGCTGGCTCACCAGCCCACCTTCAGGCAGCTCTGCTTATCAGCACACTCTTTCTTAATACTCACTTTCATCACTTCCACTCGGTGATGGCAGCTTCTGCTCCTTAAGGCCATAATGAACAAGCATAATTCATAGACTTTTTAGTGTTGGGGACTCAAATGCAAGATTAAGAACTCCTAGAGTGCAGGGACCAAATTAAACGTTTGAGATTCTTTTAAAATTATGAAAGAAATACAAGCTGCTGGTATAAAATTCAAACCGCACAGAAGCAGGCATAGTAAAAACATTCTAGTCTCCCTTCGCCCCTGCCCCAGAGACACTCACTATTAACAGCTTCCAGACTTTTTATTATGCATTTATATTAATGCGAGCTGTGATTCAGTCCAATTTGCACTTTTAAAAAGCTCTCTCTGGTTCCAGGGTGGAGGACAGACTGGAAGAGCCAGGGGTAAGAACAGGAAGTCCACTTGGCCAAGGTGAAAAATAACAGTGACCCAGACAAGGTGGCAGCAAAGGAGATAGAGCTGAGGGGGGAGATCCGATGTCTTTGGGGGTGGTAGAACCAGCACACAATTGCTGAGTGACTCACTGGACCAGTGTTCACGGTGATCTTCCCTCCCTTCTCTGCACTGCTCTTTTGTCCAAGTTCTCCCTGGCAACAGTCAGAGAAGCAGAAGGTTTTAAAAATAGACCTGAGCTTCCCCTCACCTGCCACCAGAACGTGGTCTCAGAATAGCAGAGCAAAAGACAGAGCAGAGAGCTGCCCCCTACTAGAGGCAAAGGAGACATTTCCTTTCAAATCTCTATTTTTAAATTCTGAGCACTTACTAGAAAGTGACCCGCTAATGTACCTGGGTATTTATTTCTTGATGGTTCCCAACCCGTGGGTAGAATTTGGAGAGGCTGGGTATTTGGGAAAATAACTGACTTGTACCACGTTTGCAAATGCCCCAGATTTATCCCTGGGGTGTGAACCTATTTGCGGATTTCTTTTCTTTTTCCTCTTTCTTTTTTAGATTGCCTGAGCCATTCCTATACATAGCCAGAGAAGAGGCTGACTGCAAATAGCTGCTTAAAGAAACAGAGCAATTTGGAATAAGCAAAAATAGCTCTTTGTGGTAACTTGAGTGTCTCATTTTCAATATTGATTTCCGTGTCCTCTTGAGTGTGGTTTTCTGGAACTGCATGGGCAGGCAGGTGATGGTACCACCCTGTTTATTTCCGGATGCACACAACACGCAGTGGCCCTCTGGTCACGTGTGCTTAAATACTGAAATAAACCCAGGGAGCAGACTTATTTTCACATGTGGTTGTTAAAACTGTGGGTACCACACTCACCTTGGCCCACAGATGTCTTACAAGGTCTTTCAGGTGCACAGAGCAGCCCATAGCAGATCTTCTATGGAATGTGATTCCTACCATCAGGTGCTACCTCAACTCCCTTTTTTTTTTTTTTTTTTTTGAGAGAGGGTCTCACTCTGTTACCCAGGCTGGAGTGCAGTGGCACAATCTCAGCTTACTGCAACCTCTGCCTCCCTGGTTCAAGCAGTTCTCCTGCCTCAGCCTCCCAAGTAGCAGGGATTACAGGCACCCACCACCACGCCTGGCTAATTTTTGTATTTTTAGTAGAGACGGGGTTTCTCTGTGTTGGCCAGGCTGGTCTTGGACTCCTGACCTCAAGTGATCTGCCCACTTTGGCCTCCCAAAGTGCTGGGATTATAGGCATGAGCCACCACGCCCAGCCTGAACTCCCTTCCTTTTGCTTATGTGTTCACTGCCCAGGTGAGTTTTGGAAATTAGTGGCATTACTTCAAAACAGAGTTTCACAACCAGGCCACACTTCAGACCTTTGAAGCCCTGGGGATGAAGTCTAGGCACACGCAATGTGAAAAAGTTGCGTCCAAGAGTCTGGTGTGCACCCTGGTAAGTCCTGTGGCTTTTGAACCAGCTACACTTGCACATACTGGGACACAGGGAGCATCAGAGTGCTCAAAAGACAAGTGTTAGAACCCCCAGGCAGCTGCAATAATACACTAGAAACCCCAGCCGGGACTTTGGAGAAGCACCCCACTGGCCTGCATCTCTCATTTGGAAATACTTTATCCACCATGCGCAGAAAGAAAAAAAAAAAACAGAAACCAAGTTGAGATTCATCCAAAGATGGATGGATTTCAAAATAATCATGCTGAGTAAAAGAAGCCCGACAAAAAATGAATCATATGGTATGCTTCCATTTATAAAAAGTTTAGAAAATGCAAGCTAATCGATAGTGACAGAGAGCAGATCCGTGTTTGCTGGGGGACAAGGAGAAGGGAGGGATGGATTGCAAAAGGGCAAAGGAAACTTTTTGGGGTGATGGATCTGTTCATTATTCTGATAGTGATGATTTTCACAGGTGTGTACCTATGTCAAAACTCATCAAATTGTACACTTAAATGTGTGTAGTTTATTGTATGTCTGTTATATCACAACAAAGCTGGAAAAAAGAAAGGCTACTCCAAAAGTGAGTTCGCTAGGCGGTGCTATTCCTGAGTCACAGGAAGGTCACTAGACTGTAAGAATAGTTCACCTTCAGCACTATGCCAGGCCCGTGCTATGCCTTTACAAGCATTATATCATTTAATCCTGAAACAACCCTAGGAGGAAAGGGAGGCGTAGAGATGATGAGTAGTCTGCTCAGATTCCCTCAGTGGGTCAGTGGAGCTGGGGTTGGATCCATGTCAAAATGACGCCACAGCCCAAGCTCTGAAATCCAAGGAAGCATTTTGTTCTGGCTGCACCACTAAATGGCCGTATGACTGAGTTGGGAGGGTCCTTAGGCAAATATCCTTTTGGGAACCTACATAATCCCCAAGCAATATCTCTTTATAAGAATTTCTTTGGGGGAAAAGTCACCAACCCCAAATTAGTCAAAGCTTGTAGGTCTTAAATAGAAAGCCAGCTAATATCTCATAAGTACAGTGTATCGTTTTGAACTTAGGAGTCACTGGAGGTTTGAAAGGTGCGTTGGGCTTTCAGCTGTATACTTGTTTTTTCACCCTGAGACAGAGTCTTGCTCTGTCATCCTGGCTGGAGTGCAGTGGTGTGATCTCAGCTCACTGCAACCTCTGCCTCCCGGGTTTAAGCAATTCTCTTGCCTCAGCCTCCGGAGTAGCTGGGATTACAGGCACCCGCCACCATGCCCAGCTAATTTTTGTATTTTTAGTAGAGACGGGGTTTCATCATGTTGGCCCAGGTTGGTCTCGAACTCCTGACCCCATGATCCACACACCTCAGGCTCCCAAAGTGCTAGGATTACAGGCGTGAGCCACTGCATCTGGCCTCAGCTGTATACTTTTAAGGGATGGGTGGGTTGCTTGTGTCTGGGCAGCCAGCCCCTCAGTGCCTGGCCCCTCTCAGCAAGAGTCCCTGACGGCCCCCTACCTGGGGCAGCCAAGGTAATGACTACAGTACGAGGTCGGTGCCACTGATGCTGGCCCTCAGGGCCCACAGACACAAGGGCTGCTCCCTTCCCACCAGGGGAGAAAGTTTCAGGATCTTAGAACCCTTCACGCCTTCTCCACAGCCAGGTGCTCTCACCCGACGTGGAGGAGGAGTAGGTTTTCTTTCTCTCTTACTGGACCACAGGCTAGTTTGGCTCACACCCGGTAAGTCTCCAACTATTCTCCCACCCTCTGCTTTCCCCATGTAGTGGCAAAAGGACCTGCTGCGAATTCCCCTCTGAAATGAGCAAAGGATCCTCTAATCAGACGAAGGGCATGAACTTGAGCTTCAGTCGTCCAGTTTCTTCAGATCTAATAAAAATAACAATTAATTAGTTAAATGACATTGGGCAAATCACCTAACTTCCCTGTGCCTAATTTTCCTCATCTGTAAAATGGGATACAAATAGCAACTAACTCATAAGGCTGTAGTAAGAACTACATGAAAAAATGTAAGCGAAGTGCTCAGAACAGAGCCTGGTGCATCAGACAGATCTGTTGGCTGTGGGGGAGTTGTTGTTGTACTTTGCCATTCACAAGGATTTTAGGTGTTAGTTTTACCTCCATTTTACAGAATAGGGACCTAATGTTTGGGAAAGTGTAAGTAACTTGCTTAAGGAGTACAGAGCTAGAACTTGAGCCAGGAATTGACTAGATAATGAAAAAGTGTCCTCTTGATCCAGTACTCTGTAGTCTTTCTTCTTCCTGACATCAGTGATGATAACTTTGTAATCTCCTTCATAAAAGGTCCTCCAAATCCCTTTCGACTCTTGGATTTACAGGGAGGGATGAGAGGGGAGTGGGCAGGAGGGACCCTTTGTGCTACACTGTCCTGTTGGCAAGGATGTGGGGAGGGGTGAGCAGGTGGCACTCCCAGGGGCACAGTGCCCCTTATTAGCAAGACCCCTAACCCTGAGCAGCCCCTCTAGTTAGCAGTCTTCTGCTCATCTGCCATCCACTACTTCCTAGAAAAGGGGTTAACTTTCACTTCCAAAAGTTGCAGCTAGTGAATTTGCAAACTTTTTCTGATATGAACTCTGAAGTTCTTTGGCACTGGATGTAAAGCATGCCCAGGAATGTTGAATCAACAGCAATCCTGAAGGATACCCAGACATTTGATTTAGAAGGCATCTTTGTGAATCAGGCTAAAACCCTGGGATGGCAATGCCAAAACTATAACTTCTGATTTTTCTTTATTTACTGCTGCAAAATCCCAAATCTTATCTGGCAATTCAGTGGTCCAGTTAAGGGGAACATTTTTCAGGGACAAAAATGTTGAACTGACTTTGCCTTCAAAATTGAGAGAGGAAAAAAATAGCTGGCTTTTGCTTTGTTGTTGGTGCCTTAGCTTCTTGGTCAAGTAGTAGAAATCCACTTGGACGGATTTCCATAAAACAGTTATGGAAAGAGCAAGAGGCATCTAAAGGCCATGCCACAGACTCATGTAACTCATGTTCACATTGTTTTTCTTAAAGAGGATCCACAAGTTGTACAAGCTTCAGGGCCCACAAAAGCTGGCGGCATTCTGTGTGCCATGCCTCTGTGCTCTCTGCAAGGGGTCCCTCCTCCCGTGTGCCGTGGCGGAAGTGGCTGCCTCGGGCCAGACTATGTGCCATTCACTCAAGCCCGACTTCGTGGCCCAGAGTCTCTACCACCCTCAGCTCCAATCCTTGATGGAAAGGATCAAGCCAATTGCTGACCTACCAATACCTTGACTGCCCCTCCCCCCCACACATCCAATGACCTGGAAGAGTGGAGGGGACAGGAATCTTTTGGTATAAAAATAGATCCAGGCAAGGCATGGTGGCTCACACCTGTAATCCCAGCACTCTGGGAGGCCAAGGCAGAATTGCTTGAGCCCAGGAGTTCAATACCAGCCTGGACAATATATAGACACCCAGTCTCTAAAAAAAATAAAAACATTAAAAATAAAAATTTTAATTAGCTGGCATGGCGTGTGCCTGTAGTCCCAGCTACCTAAGAGGCTGAGGTGGGAAGATCACTTGACCCTGGGAAGTCAAGGCTGCAGTGAGCCATGATCCTACCACTGTACTCCATCCTGGGCAACAGAGCAAGACTCTGTTTACAGAAAAAAAAAAAAAAAAAGTATGTCCTCTCTGCATAGCCTGGGAGTAAGTGTGGTCCCAAACAATGGTGGCTCCAGATTGTGTTAACTACACAAGAAAACAAGACAGAAAGACCCCAAAGAAAATGATCAAGGCTTCAAGCTGCTCTTCCTCCTCCTCTCCCTCTTCCTTTCTCTTTTTTTTCCTTAGAGGTGGTGCAGGGCCAGGGCCCTGGAAGTGGCTGTGAGCTGGATGGCAGTGGCAGGGCCAGGGACTCAGAGCCAGTTGGCATCGTCAAGACCTGGGTTACATTAGGGGGACTGACTGAAGGAATAAATAAATTGAGGTTAATTGGAGCTAGGTTTTTCACCATTGGAGAAGGGATTGACATATATGGAAAGGGGGAAAATAGAAAGAATCCTGAGGTGATAAGATTGTAATTAAAAGTGTCAATGTAACCTTGTGATCAGATAGATAGATGATAGATGATAGATAGATAGATGTGTTTATGTGTATTCATACATATAAATATATACTACACAGTGAGTGTGTGCACATATATACACACATATAATTCCTAGCTCTGCCTGCCAAGAGGGCCTAGAAAACAATAGCACTCCAGGAGGAGGGAGCATCCAGTGTTTGGTTTCTAAACACCACCCTCCACTAAAAGGAACCAGAGCTTCTTGGAGAAATGACTGATTCCAGGGCTGAGGCAAGAAAAGTACAAGACAAGGGTGGAGCATCTTGTTCCAGAAAGTTCTTTGATATTCTTTATGTCAAAGAACGATGTAGACCTGTCAAAAGGACACAGGAGGCAGCTTGAATGGGCTCATTAGTCAAATCTGTGACAACTGAGCACCGAAATAAATAATGGTATTCATGGGTTACAATTCATTTTCTATACCAGGGGTGCCCAATCTTTTGGGTTCTCTGGGCCACATTGGAAGAAGAATTGTCTTGGGTCACACATAAAATACACTAACACTAATGATAGCTGATGAGCTAAAAAATATATATTGCAAAAAAAAAAATCTCATAATGTTTTAAGAAAGTTTACAAATTTGTGCTGGGCCGCATCCAAAGCCATCCTGGGCCGCATGCAGCTAGTGAGCTGTGGGTTGGACAAGCTTGGTCTATACTGACATGCATAGGTAGATAGGTAAGTAGATAGGTAGATAAGTAAATCAGAAGAGATGGCTCTTCTTTGCCATGAAATATCAACAAATAAATGCAGACGGAATGGTGGAAATCAATTATCACCATTTGGCAACAATCACTGAGGTTGTAAATAAAGGCATTAACAGGCATAGTAATTGGTGGGGAGATACTCAGAGGCTCTGCCAATATCATGTTCATTGATCCTCTACCCAGCCCCTGATATTGGTGTAGCCTTGGAATATCTCTCCACCAAATACTTGTCAATCACAAAGAGGGAAATGGTGAGTTTATGGTAGAGAAGTCTGGCAGACACCGTGACCAGCAGACATTCAAGGATCACATCCCAGTGGTGTGAAGGGTCAGTATCACGTGTCCTGATGAGATGCACTGAGAAGAGCCCTAATTTCTGTGATGTTCCATCAAAATGCACAGCCTGAGCACGAGGCACTGGAAGCACTGGAAAAAAACAACGAGAAATCTGTACTCTTCATAAAATGTCAAGGTCAAGAAAGATAAGGAAAGATTGAGAAACTGTTCCATATTGAAAGGAAATAAACATGACAATCAAAGTAGCATATGATCCTGGATTGGAACCATGTGAAAAGAAAGAAAAAGAGAAAGAGAGAGGGAAGGAAGAAAGGAAGGGAGGGAGGGAGGGAGGAAGGAAGGAAGGAAACAAGGAAGGAAGGAAGGAAAGAAGGAAGGAAAGAAGGAAAAAAAGAAACACTGATCGGAAATTCATTGATGGGAAATGTTGGCAAATTCTGAATGAGGTCTGTGAATTGGATGGTCATGTTGTATCAGCATCTTTTCTGGATTTGGAAGGTTTGTGATTGTTATGTAGGAGAATGTCCTTGATGTGGTGAAGTATTTAAAGGTATGGGGTATCAGGTCCACAACTTATTCTCGAAAGTTCTGAAAGAGACTAATGCTAATGGGTTGATGTATATAGAGAGAGGGAAGACAATGGAACAATTGGGGTAAAATGTTAACAACTGAGGAATCTGAATACATGGATATGGGAGTTTTTTATACTTTTCTTGCAATGTTTCTGTAAGTTTGAAAGTGCTTCAATATAAATATTTAAAATGTGTTTATAAAACCACAAAGTGCTGGAATTGCTATCCATGCCCACCAGACTCTTGATAAAGAGCAGGGAGCTCTTCTCCCCTGTTTGAGCAGAGCCTCCTAAAAAGTTCTAGCCATTATCCACTTCAGTGAACCAAGCACATCCCCCTCTTCTGCTGACTGCTGCAAAACACCAAACCAAATAAAACAAATTTTAAAATCTCTCACGAGAATAAATGAGCACCCGATACTGCTTTGGTAAGAGACTATAAAGTAACCCTTTGTTTACAATGTTAAAAGCAAACAACTGATTCATGCCGGAAACAGAAAGCATTTAAAACTTTAGAATTAAGTGCCTCTGGCAAACAGTTGGAGCTGTTTGTCTCATGCCAAGGCCAAAAGTATCGGGCTAAGCATTTTCCTCTGCTTTAGTCATGTTATCAATATTGACACCAAGGGAGATGGACCTAGTACTGCAGAAAGAGTTCAGTCTCCGGAGTCAGACAGTGATGGGTTCACATTCAGATCCCTCCACTTTCTAGCTGCATGGCTACAGGCAAGTTACTCAGCCTTTCTAAACCTTGGTCTCTTCTCCTATGGGGTGTGGAGGACAGCAGCTATTTCCCATGGCTGTAGGAAGCCTGGTGAGATGGCACGTGCAAAGCGGCCCGCATTCAGAAGACCTCCATATAGACCTGTTCCCTTCCTTTCTGTAAAACACATGGAGAACCCATGTGTCCCATCCACATCCCCAGGCCACACTGTAAGAACCATTCTAACAAGGAGACATGTCACCAGCTTCATTTGGGTCTCTTCAAATCCAGGACTCCTGTCGCCTGTGATTTCTTTCTTTCACTCTTATGACATTTTTTCCTGCCTGTCTTTATTTCAACCAGACATCCCTTAATCTCATGGCACAAAGGCCTGGTAATATTTGTGACATGCCCAATGTATTCTTTTCTCTTGAAGACACATCCTTTCACTTTTGTGGCTTATAACCTAGGGAGACCAAGAAGAAAAATGTTCGTCTGTCTTAGCCTGTCTACAAAGAGGAGCAACATGGGAAGAAATTGAACCGGGATGAATTTTCAAAGGGCTGAACTTAATAGCAAAAAGCCAAACAAATCTCCTGGAGGGTACACACAAGATGCAGGGGCACTGCTTTGGGTCCCTGTCTCTTAAAGCGGGTCTTCCCTGAGAAGAACATGTCATCTTTCAAAAGCTAGCCTGACATCAGGGTTGGCGATTGTTGTTCTTGTTCTTGCTTCCTGGCATTCTCCACCTCCAGTAGGGGGCATCACCCACATGCCACTGTCTCAGAGCAAGCCCCATAATCATCTCCTACCCGAGGAGCAGGAGAGAGAGGAGGGAAGGGCGGACGTGCTGCGCTCTCATGCAAATTGCTTCAAACCCAGGGAGGGACACAAATTAAAGGACAGAAGAGACAAATGGCCCAGAGATGCCTCATCCTGTTCAGCTCCAACTTCCTATCCTGAAACAGGGCAAGCCTCTTCCCAATGGGGTCCTTAAAGATCATCCCAACATTACGAGTGTTCCTTTAATCTTCCTCCAGAAAACAGAACTATGAAATAGTACTACTTTGAAAAAAAATGCATTTTCTTTCATTTTGTTAATTACCAAAAAAAAGTCATAATAGAAAATTTAGCAAATGCAGGTAAACCAGAAATAGGAATAGGGAGGAGAAATGAAAATCATCTATAATCCTACTGATATATACATTTTTCCTTTTTCCAAGAATAGAAAGGTCCTGCACATGAGCTTTTGAAACCTGCACTTTTTATTTAACAGAGGCCCATAAAACAGCCCCTTGCCACTAGGCATCCTGCCAAACCGTCCTCTGTGAAGGTTGTACTGTGTTCCTTAGGACCACCATTTATTTAACTACATCCCTAATGGTGAAGATTTAGGTTTGCTAAATGGGGAGTGAGTTTCCCCACATTTTGCTGTACAGATAATGCAGTAAAGAATATCTTTACAGCTCAATCTTCCCATGTGGCCATGATTATTTCCTTAGAATAAGTTTCCATATGTAAAATCAACGTAGTGAGGGCAGGCACGTTTTTAAGGTTTTGCCACATATTGCCAGTTTTCCTGCCAGAGAAGCTGTGCCAATAAAGCAAAATGTTCTTATGATCAGGGGTCACAGCTGCCAAGCTCCTCCACGTCTTCTTTACCGTCTGTGAAACCACACGATGCAGAAGGGAAGGGTTAGGTTTAGTAGCTTGTCAGAGAAGCAGAAACAGGAATGAAGATTTCCATGGCTCTGAACGTCTTATTCCCACCTGCTTGGAAGGATGTCTGTTCAGGAAGACACGGACCATTGCTAGTGATTCCTCTCCACAATTTAAAGACCTCAGAAACAGGATTTAGGAAAGAAATTTTCTTTCTCTTTTTTTTCTGTTTATAAAATTATACCAGCTCAATCAATCTTAGAAGATTAAAAAGTAAAGAAAATTATAAGGAGAAACAATCCTCCAAGTTCCCACAACCCAGAGTTTACCACTATTAACATGCTGGTGATTTTCCTTTTAGTGTTTTCTCTTTGCATATATGTTTTGTTCACATAAATGAAATGTGATGGTTGTAGTCCATTTTGTGGCCTGATTGTTCACGTTTCTTCCTATACTAAGGGCTTTCTTGCCCTTCACCCACTCAGGACTCTGCCTTGCTTAGCGATCCTGCTTCCAGGAGGATGTGGGCCATACGGTGCCCATCCGGGAGTCCTTTCTCAGCCTGGCTCCAGGAGGAAAGCCACACGTCACTCCCAGTGTTTGCCCTTTGCTCCAGGGCTGACCTTCTAACGCTCTAACTGGGCCTGTCTCTTCAACAATCTATAAGCCATTAGCTGGGGCTATATTAAATCTAGAAGGGTTCATCCCGAAGACCTCAGCTTTTATCCAGGGTCGATACAATAAATGACCGTCTGAAGAATGCTTCTGCATCTTCTGCAGGAGTCTTGGAGGAGAACGTCTGTTACGGGCCTCACTGTCCCCCTCTATTGAGTTTCTCATGATAAATTTGTGCTCACATTGAGTGTCAGGGAAAAGTTTGGCTCTCCTGACAAATAGCTATACTTCCCTTTATCCAATAACTCATCATATTTTCCCTTTCGCTTTAGCTCAATTTAATGTGCAATTGCAGTAACTATCTTCTGCAAGGTTTCTGGTTTAATCATTTCTTCCCTTCATCCCTATGACTTTCGATATTTTATCTTTAATCTTGCTGTCCTGGGGCCCATATTTTTAATTGTCAGTCATCTCAAATTTGTTTGGAAGTTAAGAGGAATACAAATCACAAATAAAAAAACAATGATCATGACCCCTAGGCCATCTCTTTAAAGCCATGCCTACCTTAGTAATTAATAATCCCCTTCACCAATACCAGGTTCCCTCCTGGCATTTTCAGGCAAGTGCACTTTAAGAGCCATTTTAAGATGCATTTGGGTACATTTGGCCTGCCTGAGAGGCATGGAAATTTTAAGGAATGAATTGTTACACAGTGATATCACTTAGTCATTTTCCGGTATACCTGAAGTCCTGGTAAGTCTCTGATCAAATACAGCCTCTTTCTGATATAATGCTGGGCGATTTCCCTACAAGGATGCGAGCCATTCCACTTTTATGCCAGCCCACTTGGCAACTGATAAAGTGAAATGGAGAGGTCCTGGCCAGTGGGGCTTCGTGGTAGTGCCCTGGGACCCATGGAAGTGGACACTGTTGTTTCTACCTGAAGCAGTTCTGCTCACTTAACATTTCCTTAAGCCCCACTGCAGACCTTCTTTGGTCTCTGTTTCTTCGGGGATCTCTCTGCCTCCTACATCTACTCCTATCCACTAGGGTTCACTCTTTAAGTGAAAGGTCAAATTGGAGACTGCAATTCTTCACCCCTCCCTGTAACAACATCCTTGCTGTAGCCTCCACATGGGCAGAGTATACTTTCCTTTTATTTGCGGGGCAGGGGGCACGGAATCCCGCTCTGTTGCCCAGGCTGGAGTGCAATGGCACAATCTCGGCTCACTGCAACCTCCACCTCCTGGGGTTCAAGTGATTCTTGTGCCTCGGCCTGCCAAGCAGCTGGGACTACAGGCGTGCACCACCACGCCTGGCTAATTTTTTGTATTTTTAGTAGAGATGGGGTTTTGCCATGTTGGCCAGCCTGGTCTCGAACTCCTGACCTCAAGTGATCCACTCGCCTTGGCCTCCCAAAATGTTGGGATTACAGGCACGAACCACCACGCCCAGCCACTTTCCTGCTCTTTGATTTTTAGCTTGGCTCAGTAACTTGCTTTGGTTAATAGAATGAAACAGAAATGAGTGTGCCAGCTCCAAGCCTAAACCTTAAGTGGCCTGGAAAGCTTCTGCCTGCTCCTTCATGCTTCTGCCACAGCCGTGAGCACAGCTTTTCCTGGGTAGCTGCTGCTCCTTCAGCCTGGGGACCATATGAAGCAGAGCTACCCCAGACAACTCACAGATTCATGAGTAAAATACATGCTTGGTGTAGTGTGCTACTGAGATATTGCAGCTATTTGTTATGCAGCAAAAGCTGACTGATACACTCTGTAACAGATCCTTCCTGGAAGATCTGATTCTTTTTCTTGTTCTTATCCATTTGGCCTTGATTCTTTGGACCATTCAGCTAGCTCCTAAGTCATCTGGAAATTAGACTCCACTCCTATGTGCAGTCCCAGCCTGTGCCAAGGACCTCAGCTCAGGTGAGAGTCCTGGGCCTCCAGCTTGTCCCATAGGATTAGAATCTCTAGGATGTCCTAACGACAAGTAGGAAAGAACATGTGCATCTTAGTCACTGGGATTTGGGTTATGGGCACTAAAAATATCTAACACTTACCGAGCATACACTAACAATGTGCCAGGCCCCACACTCAGGAGCCACATGTGTTATTTCGGGTACTCCTCAGCCTTCTAGTACACACAAAAAGACTGATGCACTCAGAGGACTTTCCTGAGCCTCACAGCCATGTGGAGAGAGAGCTCAAACCCACCTGTGTCCAGCTCCAGAGCCCACACCATGCCACTGCCCTGTGTTGACCTAAACTGTGTGACTCACTCTGTGCCCTGTACACTAGGTTGGCAGACAAAGCCATTTCAATCACAGCTGAGCTCTCTCCCAATCTGTGCTCAGGGCCAGAAAGCTAGGCCCTGGGTCGGTGGTGGCTGCCATTTTTGCCATTGCTCCCTCCTCCCAGTCCAGACCCTGCACTGCAGGTGGATTCCTAGACAGGAACTGTGGCAGGAACCTGAAAAGGACAGATCCCCTGTGCTGCGTCCTGCTGAGCAGCAGCAAAGCCTTGGGGAGCCATTCTGTGGCCAGTAGAACTTAGAACTCAGAGGAAAGGGAGCAGTGGGGTGAGCAGAGAAGCTTTCCAGAAGCTTTTGGGGGGAGCACCATGCGGCTTGTGGGAAGACTGGATCATACTGATCCTCCAGGGAAAAGTCCAAGACCCCTGGTGCTGCTGAGAATTGCAAAACCACAGCAAGACAGAGCTGGAGATGGCCCTAGAGAACTTTGGTTTCAACCTCCCACCTTGCTTTACAGATGGGGAGACTGAGGCCCACTTCTTTGCAATGCAGTGTCTCACTCCCATTCCCAGGAGTATCAGCAAGAGTCATGCTGTCAGGGCAATGCATTAGTCTCCTTATTAAAATACCTATACACTGTTGTCTTTAATTTAACCTGAGATTCTAGCCCTTAATACCAATTCTGGACCTTGCACATTTATTACTATTAGAGTGCTTGATCATTCGCCTGAGCCTGTAACATGCCAGGCCACCATGGGGCCAGACACTGTCCTAGATCCTGTGTGGTTGAAAGGGACACGTCTGCCTCACATGCTGTCATGGAGCTCTGGTTTAACTAGGTGTGGATGTTTATATAGGAAAACCTGGCCCCTTCTGTGCCCTCCCCACTGCACAGGTCCACGGACAGCTGAATCTGTCCCTCCCAAAGCTCTCCCAGGATGGGAGTGTGCTTCTGCACAGACATGTGCCACTGTCACCCGGAGGAGAAGGTGCTGCTCACTCCTTTGCTTGTTTTCCACATCCTCACCAGACTCTTCCCACCTCCCATCGGGGTGCCTCATGTGAGAAACGGTGTTCACTTCCCGGGAGATTTACTCCTTGGAATGGAAACCAAAGGTGGGCTTCATTTCTGGTCAAGAACATTTCATCTGTCTTTTACCAGTTCCCTGGAAGCAAGGAAGAGAGGCCCTCCATCCATACCTTCCCCCCTTCCCTGACATCCATCTCTCCACAGCGGGATGAGGCACCCCAGGTCCCTTGCAGAGAGGGCAGCTGAAGGTCCTCTCATAATGTCCCCAGAGACCACTGTCCAGCGGTCCCTCGGCAAGGACTCTCTGTCCTCACTGCCCTTCAACAAGTCTGACACGGGTGACAGCCTGGCAGTTCTCCAGCCACGGCTTTCGGAGCCACCCGGTACTCCTCTCACCCCTCCTCTGATGGGTGTAAATTGGTTCACAAATCCTGCAATTCGTTTAGCTCATGCTCCGCTGAGTTTCCCCAGCGATTTTCTGGTTTATTGCCCCTTGCCTGGTTGCTAAGATTCCTTGTAAATTGCGTTGCCCTCTGCTGTGTTCTGCCATTTGTCCAGGCTCAATGTGGAAGCTGCTGTCCCGGCACTTGCTATGTGCCGGCCGCGAATCCCTCTAGCAACAGCTCTGCTGCAGGCAGGCCTGCCACCTGAATGGCAAGGCAGCAGCACGGTGAGACAAAGCCCCAAGGGCACAGAGCTAATTTATGCCACCAGGCAGAACTCGTCTTTCTCTCCTGTCTCTTTCCAGAGGAGAAATCAATATATTGAGGTGGTGGGATTGCTTGGCACTCTTGAACTGTTTTTTGACGCTGTCCTATCACACCCTAGGGACTGCAGATGCCTGAAAGACAGATGGACAACCTTCCACTAGCACTACAGAGACAGACAAGATGTGACTGGGAAGAGGCTAAAAGTGCAAGCTTTAGTCAGACAATCTGGGTTCAAATGCAAGCTCTGCCACTTCCTGGCTGTGTGACCTTGGCTAAATTACTTAAGCTCTCTGTGCTTTAATTGCTCTTCTCTAAAATAGAGGTAACAAGAGCACCTATGGCACTGGCCTGTTGTGAGGTTTAAATGAGACGACATGTAAAGCATAGCTCCTGGCATACAGTAAGTTCTTGGTAAACATCAACCATTAGCACTATTATCATCAACAAAATCATCTGCCGGGCTGGGGGACTCACACCTGTAATCCCAGCACTTTGGGAGGCCAAGGTGGGTGGATCGTCTGAGGTCGGGAGTTTGAGATCAGCCTAGCCAACATAGTGAAACCCTGTCTCTACTAAAAATGCAAAAATTAGCCGGGCATGGTGGCAGGTGCCTGTAATCCAGCTACTGGGGAAGCTGAAGCACAAGAATCACTTGAGCCCGGGAGCCAGAGGTTGCAGTGAGCTGAGATCACGCCACTGCACTCCAGCCTGGGCAACAGAGTGAGACTCTGTCTCAAACAACAACAACAACAACAGCAACATCCCAAAGCTGCATGCCAGAAGCGAGTGAACGCAGTCCCCACCTCAACCCCTCACCCAGCTGACGTGTCTGCCTGCTGCAGCACTGTTCATCTGACCACCCCTTTGGCCTGGTGTTCCTTGTCAGTTCCCTCTGTTGTCTGCCTTCCTCTCCTGCTCCCTCTGCTTAACACTGTGGCTTCATATTCTTGAACCCTTTAATTGGGAGAGAGGATCCCCTCATCATAACGAAAAGAGGGGCCCAGCCAGGCTTTCACTCCCACCTCTTCAGAGCAGAATTAAACATCACATTTATATAGATACCATGTAGTTATATAATTATAGGCCACATTTTCATAACATATACATATGAACTTTGATATAGATAAAATCTTTATATGGGTTCCTATAGGAAGGCTAATGTACATTCTCCTGGCATAGACCAATTTCTCAAATGTTCTCAGCAGCCACCAGAGTCTAGTGTGCTGATGGAAGCGTTCTTCTAATTAACCTTCTTTTTAGCTGTCTTTACACAAGGATGTGGCTGCACCCTGGGGTCTCAGAAGCCACTTTTGCAGAGCTCTTCACAGGGACTCAGAGGTGGAAGATACCTTAGAAGTCATCAAACTCAAACTCTTACCAAGCCCAACAACCTTTAGTCAATGGATACTGAAGATCTTCTCCACAGAGGAAGAGCCTGTTCCGCTGATGGATGGTTCCAGAGATTAGAAAGTTATTGCTTAAGTTGAACTGAAATGTATTTCTCTATAGTTCCTCCACCTCTCACCCTGTTCATTCTTTTCTCATGGCCAACAGTGGGGAAGTCTAGCCTTTTTTTTTTTTTCTCCACTGGCAGCAATCTGAAGGTCTAGCCTTCTTAAACACAATAGGCTTTTCAAACAGTTAAAGTTGCTCTCCCATCTCTCTTGGGCCCTCTCTTCTCTAGGCTAAATATCCCAAATTCCCTCAAACGTCCAGACCCAGTTTCCTAACACTTCTTCATCCCAGTCTTCCCTCTGACCACGCTCTGGTTAATTAACAGGCTTCTTAGAATATAGGCCTGGGCCAGGTGTGGTGGTTCACACCTGTAACCCTAGCACTTTGGGAGGCTAAGGTGGGAGGATTGCCTGAGCTCAGCAGTTCGAGACCAGCCTGGGCAACACGGTGAAACCCTGTCTCTACTAAAATACAAAAAATTAGCTGGGTGTGGTGGCATGTGCCTGCAGTCCCAGCTACCCGGGAGGCTGAGGCAGGAGAATTGCTTGAACCCGGGAGGTGGAGGTTGCAGTGAGCTGAGATCGCGCCACTGCACTCCAGCCTGGGCGACAGAGCGAGACTCCATCTCCAAAAAAGGAAATGTAGAGCTGGGCCTGGATGTAGCATGAGAAGCCCAGCGCCCTCCCATAGTCCTATAACATGATTACCATGTTCATTCTGTAATCTAAAACAGAATTGGCTTTTCAGTTGCTATGACAACTAAAACCTCTCTCGGATCTTTTCCACAAGGACGGATGCTAAGCCATGGGCCCCCTAACTGCACTTGCAAAATTCATTTCTGAACCTCAAGGTGGAAATTTACCTGTGTTCCTTGTAGTGTTTGGTTTGGCATCTCAATTTTCCTCTACAAGGAGGGATACAGCTTAAAAGGGAGTGGACGTAACCACTCCAGCACTGAGTGAAGCTCGAATCTTTACAGTGCCCCTGTGACATTTATTTTCACCAGCATCTGTCATGGTGCTGTATACACAGTAGATACTCAGTAATAGCTGAATCTGCTTCTGACCTGCTGTGTCAACTCCTAAATCATAAATTCAAATATATGATAACATGTGAAAGTGCTTTTAGTGTCAAGTACTGTGCAAATATCAGTTATCTTTAATACTGCTGCTATTACGGCCATTAAATGTACTGAAAGCAAGAGTCATGTGTTATTTTTCTCCATCTCCATAGCACCTGGAATGACGTCTTTTGTGTAGCAGGTGTTCCATAAATGTTGGCTGAATTGAATTGAAAGAGCTTGCACAACATCTTAGATATGGACTTAGAAAAAGAAAGTCCAAACATGAATGGAAGGCTCTGGCTAGAGTGGCAGGAGAGAATGGCATAGGATAAGAGGGGACAAGGAAGAGGCCTCTGAAAAGGAGACACTGGGGCTCTGCGGAACATGGAGAGCATAGTTTCCCAAGGTTTCTATACTGAATCAGTTAACTGTCACTACATAACTAACCACCCCATAGCTCAGTAGTCTGAAAGCAACAAGCATTTATTATCACTCATGAGACTATCATTCCACAGGGAAGATCTAAACCAGGCTTGTTTGACCTCAACTGGGCTCTTGCATCTGCAGCTCAGCTGCTGGGGCAGCCTGAGGCCCTTCACACATGTGCCTGGGGGATGGCTGGCCACAGGCGGGGGTGGAGGGGTGGCTGGGCCATGTGTCTGTCATCATGCACTTGGCCAGCTCATGCTTAGTCACTTGGTGGCTTGGCCAGGTCCAAGAGAAAAAGCAGAAGTATGCAAGAGGTCCTGAGGCCTTGGCTTGGAGCTGGTACATTGTCACTTCCACTGCATTCCATTGGCCACAGCAAGTCACAAATGCAACTTAGACTTAAGGGATAGGGGGGAAAGCCCTCCAATTCTTCATGTGAGGAGCTGAAAAGTCACATTGCAAGCGGTGTGGATACAGAGAGACATGAAGAAATGGGGTTGTTTTCATAATGAATTTACCATCCTTCCCTTTGTCTCTCCCTCTCTTCCTTCTATCCATCCATGCTTCCACCCAGTACACATTGATTGGATACTGCTGTTGGACAGGACCATGCTAGGTGCTGGAGGCATGGCTGGAGAATGTATATATTGGTGACATGAGCCCTAGACTTTCGAAGGGAGTTTCAACCAGAAGAAAACCACCATCAAAATGGATTAGTAGGGCCGCAAGTGCCCACAGAGCTGCCTCCATGGGCATCTGTCACCTCGGCCTTGCTGTGGCCACAGAAAGGTGGTCCCTGTGCAAATGCTTGTCAATGCTCACTTGCTTTGGTGACAGGCAGAACCCTGATGCCCAGTCTTGCCGCCACTGCTGCCGGAGTCCTGAACAATTTATGAACTTAGCCAGTCACTGCATACATTGCCACGCCGCACGTCATTCTAGCCCTGGCAAGGACATAGATGACCTGAAGGGCCTCCTAAGGGCCCAAGGAGCTCAGCAGCTGTAATCGACGGCAGAACTCTCCCAGGGTGACTGGGGACAAGACTGAGACCACTGGGCTGGGCGGCCCAGGATAGAAAGCCCTGTGCAGAGTTCTTGGCAGGGCACTGTTATAGCTCAGTTTTATGAGCTCTTAAATCTCAACATTTTCTAAAATGAGGGAGCTGGGCAGAAAGATTAAGCACTGCCAGGCCCTTTAAATCATCAGCGCCAGCTATCCTGGGGGCTAGATTTGTTTTAGACCCTGGCGTGATCTCTGTGTCAAAGACCCATGGAAATGAACAGTGGATAAGAGCCTGAGCTCCTTGCCAAGTTCTACCACTGACTAGCTGTGTGATCTTGAGCAGGTGAACCAACTTCTCTGTGCCTCAGTTTCCTCCTCCAAGAGCCCTGTCATAGGATCTGATGACTCTGAGAGATTTGATGGTTTCTAGCTCCAGGAAGAACCCCTCCACTCCCACCTCACCCCCAATAACCTGGAACTGCAGGAGAGCCAGGAGTAATAGTTCTGTCAGAGTCCCCACCTCTTAAATCAGTCACAGTCAGAAAAAGATGCCCTGAGTCCTTTCACACAACCCAGGCCCCAGAATACCCTGTAATCACTCAGCATCCCTTGGGCTCAGGGTATAGATGCACCTGGGTTACTATCATGCTCCTAACTTGCTGAGTACCTCTGGACAATTCGCTTAGCCTCCCTGAGCCTCTGAGAAGCACCACAATGCTCCCAGGACATCCCATAGAGCAAAAGCACACCAGGTATGAAAATCCTTTGGAGATTGTAAATCTCTGTGTAATACATTCATTCATTCAACAAGCAACTACTGAGCCCCATGCACCAAGCACTCTGCTGGGCCCTCGAGGTAGAAAGATGAGTGAGGCTCCATCCTTGCTTGCCAGAGGCTCATGGCTGCATGGAGAGGGAATTGGCCAGCAAGCACCTATTACAGAGAATCAGGGCCCTCGGGGAGCCCACAGGAGAGGTCTCCCGGGTGCCCGAGGGTCAGGGAGGCTCCACGGACGGGGCACCGGCAGTTAAAGCATCATGGACCCGAAGGAGCTGGCCAGGCAGAGGGGGACGTGAGCGTTCCAGCCACAGAGAACAAGCAGCAGGGGAAGCGCAAGGAGGGCGAGTGCCATGAGGGGCAACACCAAGTGTCTGCCAGGGCCTGGGGCCTGTCTCAGCAGAGAGGTGGTTAAGATGGAGGAGGGGCTTGTGGGCCGTGGTGAGGGGGATGGGTTGTAACCTGAAGGATGTGGGCTGTCAATTAGCAGCAGTACCAGCAGCAGCAGAATGCAGGAGCCGCGCTCGCTGCAGTGCTAACAGCTGGTATTTCCTAGGCACTTAATACGTGCAGAGCCCTGTGCTAGGTCCCTACATTCTCCCGCATGTTCACCACAGAAGGTAGGGCCGGGTATTGTCTGTATTTGGCAGATGAGGTGACTTTGTACTGAGCCTGAGGCCACCCAGTGAATCTGAAGCAGAGTCAGCCGCAGTCCCATACTCCTCTCTGGGACCCTGGATAAAGTGCAGCCTCCCTGCTAGGTTCCCCCAGATCCCCAGGGGCCCCAGTGCAGGCTTCTCCACTGACATCTGCGGTACTCCTCCCTCTGGGCCTGCCTGTCTTCCTCACCCAGAGCCAGCACCACCTGGCCTGCATTTACCCTCCCTCCCCAGGGCCTAGCCTGGAGCCTGCCAGGAAGCCCTGTCCCCAGATAGTGCACTTTGAAATCCTCTTCATTAGGCTCCTAATGGGGGAAATTTAAACCATGAGCTTGAAGCTTTCCAGGGCAGTGAATAATATTTACGGTAATATTGTTTTAGGAGATCAAATATTTATAATAGTGTAGACTCCATCGTATTGCCCGTTGTCTGAGTTTCTGGGGCTGCAGTAGCTGCATTATGAATGGACCCTGTCATTAAAATGCTTTCAAAATGATCTGCGCTCCTGGTAGCTGCTCTCCAGGGACCATGATGTGTCCTAGTGTGAGAGACACTGCCCAGGGCTCAGTAAGCCAGGTTCCTTCTCTAGCAGAGACACGGGGATGGCCACCCTTATCCCTGCTCCCTTGACTGGGGGATCCTGGGTTCCTAGTGATAACCCTTATCACATGACATTGTAATTACCACCTGTGTTAATGGATTCCTCACCGAAGAGTTCATTCCTTAAAGGGCAGGACAGTGTCTGTCTTCTGAACAGTTGTTTCCGCAGGGCCTAGCCCAGTGTCTAACACACGGTAGGGACAGGGTCTGAATAAATGATCACGGAATAAACAACACGCCTCTGAACCCAGAATTTTCTTTAAGAGCCAGTTGTGGATCCATCAAAGGAAGATTTTGCTGCATCTTGTTTTCTCTTGTTAAGTTTTCTGCCTATGCTTTCTCATCATGAACTCCATCTTACAAAGGCACAATTCCTTTTGCCAAAGTTGGAGTCACCCTTTCCAGGCCTAAAGTTCATTCTTGGCTTAACTTGCTTTTTCTGAGCCATTTTCTTCTTTCTCATCCTCATCATATGATATTACTACATTATAATTAAGAGAGGCTTATTTTATTTTTATTATTACTGCATGATTATTCTTTGTTATTTCTCTGTCTTCTTATCACAAATCATTACCCCCTTGGTCTTCAGCAGACTTCTCTAAACCGTCTCCAGTTCGAGGATGCCCAGTGACTAACATGCATTCCACACTCCACCTGGAGCCAGTCCATTGCTGGGTTCCGCAGGAGGCAGAACAATGTCTTCTAGCAGGTGGACAACATCCAGGCTTCCTGGCCTTTAAAGAATGTCTTCCTGCAAATAACTGCTGAGAATAGTTTTCAGGGACTTGAGGACCCTTTGCAGGTTGAATTTGATACCTCAGTAGGATTCAGTTCAGATTAGGGAGACAATGACCCAGATGCCAGGATATTCCTTTCTCCTGAGGACACTTCCCAAGTCAACTGATGGAGCGGCAGACCCTATGAACTCTGGGGCCAGGGCCAGCATCTGTGATGTGGCGTTTACACATGCAGCCTCCATTTACGTGGACAGAATGAGATGGACAAATCAAAGCGTGGCCATGAAGTCACAAGGCTATGTTTATTTCATGAAGTCCTAAGGCTGATTTTCTGGCTTGGCCCTGAGAGCCAAGAGAGGTCTTCAGTGTTTCATATCAATTCTATTAGATGCAAAGTATAATCAAATACTTTTTGAAAATTTAAAATAACTTTCATTTATCAGTTTGCCTGTACACATGGACAATTACCACCTCCCAGAATGCTGATGGATTGGTGACAAATGATTCCTTTCAGACCTCCTGCTTACTTATGTGTTCGATGATTTTACTTTATTATAGATCAGTGGTTCTCAAACTTGCCCATGTGGCTGAGCACCTGGAAGTTATGGGGCTTTTTGCGGAACACCATGAAATACTGATATATTTAATCCCATTATATGAGCCAGGAACAATTTTACGAGCAGAAAATATGACTATATTAATGTGTGCAATATAATATCACAACCACAAACACACGTGTTCTAGAAAAAAAATAATAAGCTGCCAAGCTGAGACTGGCTGCGTGCGAAGTTTCTCTTAGCATCTGCTTGCTGCTTGTTCATTCATGCTGTGGGCTCCTAAGTCTGCCCAGCAGTGGAGGAGAAGTATGTGTAAAAAATTAAGGATCGGGGGTGAGAAGACTGAGCTGTTGTGTGTAGGAATCCAGTCCATGAGAGTTCAGAAAGCCCCTTCCAGCTCCCCAGATGTAGGACTCTGGTGTCAGAAGTGCCCCAGGACTGAGGGCAGTTCCCCCAGGGTCACCAGCACTGTCCTGAGCCCAGCAGCCACCAGCACGTGGTTGAAGTACCGGATTCCAGTGTGACTTGGGCTGCTGCTGAGATGATATGTCTGGGCCCCATGTGCTCACGCTTTCTTAAATCACCTGAGCAGATCTCTTCCTTGTAACCACGGCAAGCCAGTGGGCATAATGGGAAGGATGGAAAAGCAAGAATCAAAGAGAGAGGCACCAGGGCCATCTGCGCAAGATTCGAAGAGAGAGGCGCCATGACCGCCCACGTCACCCGGGATGGTGCTCGCCTGGGTACTTCAGGGTGAGCTCATCTTTGGCCTGAGCTTATGCTGGCCGAGGATGAGGATGAGAGGCTGTGGACCCCTCTTCCTCTCTGTCTTCAACAACCCACCTTGGGCCTCCTGCCTGTTTGTTAGCCATGGTCTTCATGGGCTCAGCTCTTCAATGAATGTTTTCATCACTTAGTTCTGTCCCCACTGGATCCATTTCCGACAGCTGCCATAGCAAATGACCACAGGCGTGGAGTCTGAATACAGCAGAATTTATTCTATCACAATTGTGGAGGCCACAAGTCCAAAATCAGTAACACAAGGTCCAAATCAAGGCATCAGCAAGGCTGCCCGCCTTCCAAAGGCTCTACAGAAGCCTTCCTCGCCTCCTCCAGCTCCTCGTGGCTCCAAGCACCCGTTGGCTCATGGCTGCCCCCCTCCAGCTCTGCCTCTGTCTTCACATGGCCCCTTCTCTTCTATTTCTTGTAAGGATTTAGAGCCCACCCAGATAATCCAGGATAATCTCACCTCAAGATCCTTAATTTGATCACATCTGCAGAAACCATTTTTCAAATAAGGTCACATTCGTAGGTTCCAGGGGGTTAAGGCATGGACATATCTTTTGGGGGCCACTATTATACCCACCAAGAAAAGATCACTCCGAATGGGAAGTGTCATTACCTGGGGTGATGCTGGTTCACCAGTCAATCCCTCCTCTGGGGGTCCCTTTTCCTCAGTCTGACTCTTGCCCAGAGTCTTGGCTTAATATAACTGTGGGGCCTAGAACCTGCCTGGACTCTGTCAGTGGCTGGTGGGGACTGGCCCCACCAGCAGGCAAACCTCAGAGGCACGTTTAGCTTCAGTACTATCTCATCCTAAGATCAGCACACCTGACCTCCTGGAAGGAGAATTTTCCATCCAGACTATGATTGACTCTAAATTGAGACATCATTTAAAAAAAAAAATCTCTTTAAAGATAGCTCTTGAGAGATGATCTTTTGGGTACAAAGTTGACAATACAAAAGAACAAAATAAAGTGTGTATGTTCTACAGTTAGGATCTGACAGAAAGGTGTTCACCATTTTGATTAAAACTGAGTCTTTCTGGGGCCCCTGGAAAGTCTAGTTCCCTCTGCCCCTGGGCAAATATTGTCCTTAAGATCATGAGTATAACAAAAGCAGTGACGCTTGAGAATAGTCGGCCTCTGGGTGATCCTTTCAGGTGACGAAGCCCTCTGCAAAGTCTAGAAAGTGGACGTGGTCCCCCTTCCCCCAGAGGCATTCCACCAGACCAGGGAGCAAGGGTCCCTAACTTCACCCCACTAATCCCTTTCTGTTCTGTTGCTTCCAAAATGCTTGTCACCTGCCAGGGGATTATCATTTCATGTGCTGCTTGTCATCAAAACTGTCAAACTTCCTGCTCTTATATATTCATTTGGCCATTTGGATTTTCCATCTCATTGTCTCTTGTCTGCAGTGCAGAATTGTAAGGAGCCTTGGTTCCTCCTTCCAATCCCAACAGTTTTTCTCTCCTTTCAGAAGGTGAAACCAAACAAGGGAAGATGGCAAGGACCCCTTTTCTGGACCTCAGCCCCCTAGCACCCAGGGCAGAGGGAGTACTTCCAGTCAGACTCCATCCTGAAACAAAGCACAGAATGTGACCTCAGTGCATTTCATAGAGAGCAGGGAGGCAGGAAATTCTGACACTCATTACTCAGTGTAGCTCACTTCCTGGCCCAAGTCATTAGGAAATTATCTGTTTCTTTTAATGCCTGTGCCTCACCAGACTGTGAACTCCCAAGGACAGAGATAATAATAGCACTAATAGCCACCATTTATTCAGCTCTTACTATAAGCCATGCACTGCTGTAAGTACTTAATATACATAACCTCATCTAATCCTCACTGCAGCTCAGTGAGTGGGGTGCTGCCACTGTGTCCATTTTGGAGCTGAGGATACTGATGAGCAGTAAGGTTAAGTGACTTGCTCAGGGATGGAGCTGGAATTTGAATTCAGTCCAATGAGCTCCAAAGCCTCTGTTCTTAATCCCAGCACTCACCACGGTGCCTGGCACACAGTAGGTGTTTAATAAAGCATAGTGAAAGGAAGAAGTAAATAAATGAATGCATTATCCCTGCTTCCCTCAGCTCAGCCTGTGCAGACACCCCTCCCGCCATTAGCACTTCCCAGCACAGTGACTCTGCGCCTGGATCTTGCAACCATGCCTCAGATCTCGTGACCTGAGTTTTCCTGTAAGTTCCTGGTCCTGGTGCCTTCTGTGCTGCTACGATGCATGAAGAGCATGAGATTCTGGGAGGAGAAGAGCAGGTCATAGTTTCTGAACAGGAAAATGTCCATCCAGAGGCCAAAGTTATCTGCAGAGACTCTTATGGGTGTGGCCATCACAGGGGTAAGATGGGTGATTTGGTCCCCCTCATTACCATGTTTCCCCCTCTCTTCTTACCACCTGTCTTTGGGTCTGAGCTGCTGAGAAAGAGGCTTAAAGTAAATATGCCGAGAGTCCTGGTCCCATGGGTGCCCCACTGAGAAGCACACAGTGTGCTTGGATGAGAACTTCAGAGAGCAGAAGGGTTCCTAAGGGTGACTGAGAGGTAGAGGGACAAAGGTGGGCTTTGGAGCCCAGCAGACTGGCACTCCTTCCTAGCTAGGTGGTCTTGGACACATCTCTGTAAACTCTCTAAACCTGCCTTTGCTCATCTGTGAGATCGGCACAGTCGGATGTACCTCAATTGTAAAGATTGGTAAGATGGAAATATATGGAGAGCCCACCTCTTTCTCTCCAGACCTGGCCTGGGAACTGGACCACAGGAGGTGCTTCACCTTGGGGCCTTCCAGAGGGTCTGAAACCCCAACATTCCGAGGATGTGAAGTTCAGGCTCGAGAGCCAGCATCGGGGTTTGGGTCTCAGCTCTGGAGCTTACCAGGCACAAGTTTTCTCTATGCCTCAGTTTCCCCAACTATGAAGTGGGGTGTTGTGCTTTCTCTCCCTCATAGTTGTTGTGAGGATGAAGCAAGATAAAAGGTTCCATAACTGTCCATATTACCAGTAACATCACAGCAACAGCAGAAGCAGTACCCTCATCATGCTCCTACCTCATCACCAGGAGAAAGGGAAGGACCCTTATCTGCAGGGGCCAGGGTGAGAAGGCTGCTTCTCTCTTTGGGGGTACCTAACATAAAAGACTCCAGGAAAGAACTCGGAGCCTCTAGAATCCTGTGCCTCCCTCAGAATGTTCAGACTCCCCTCTCCCCTGGCCAGCCCCCAATAGGAGAATACTTCTTCTCCAGCAAAGATTACAGAACTGAGGTCTGGGGCTCTGCAAAGAAACAGACCTGGGAGGAAATCCAGTTCCATCACATGTAACCTTAGGCAAGTTACTCGACCTCTCTGAGGCTCAGTTTTCTCGTCTGTCAGATGGGGAGAATCATAGTATCCGACCTCATAGGGTTGTTATGAGTCTTCCATGAGATAATGCGTGTAACTCATTGAGAACAGACTCCAGCGAAAAGAGAGTACTCAGTAAAGTTTAGCTGCAATCTTCTCCATTTGTACAGAGCTTTACAGTTTATAAAGCATTTTCACATTGACTTGACAATCTAATCCTAAAGGTAGACCCCAGGGGGCCTCTAAATTCATCAAGAACTGGACATTCGAAGGTAGGAATTATCCTTGTTTTACAGAAAAGCCCAAGGCTCAGAAAGATTACACAACAGGCCCAAGGCAGGGCCAAGCCTGTGTGACACTGGAGAACGTGCCCTAGTCATGGTGCCAGGCTATTTCTCAACCAAGGAAAAATGTCACCACACCCATGAAGGCATTTAATTTTGCCACAGCCTTGGGGATCTAAGTTACTTCCTTGCACTGGCTGTGCTGGGTAAACAGCTTTATCAATGTGTCACCTCCAAGAAGAGGCCACAGATACACGAGGCCAAGGCTTGGATGTTGTGATACTGTCAACAGCTGCCCACCCATTTTCATCCTGCAAATAAGTGCCTGGAGTCTGGCCAGTGGGGCAAGGTGACCTCAGTAGAGATGAAAGTGGAGCCCTGTTGACCAAAGCCCCCAAGCTAGAGGCCAAATGGCCCCTCCCCGTGTTGTTTTCCAGTGTGTTTTCTCTGTTAAAATTTAGGCTGCATCAGTCCCCTGTTGGAAATTGTGCTATTGCATATGTTATGAAAGCTGTGGCCATGTTTGTGTGCCCCAAACACTCGTATGCTGACCCAAGGGATCTCTTTAGCGAAAAGGCTGAAAGCCCTGAGTAATCCCCAATTTTGAAAGACGCCCTTTTAAGTAAGCTACCAAAGCTAAACCCAAGCATCCGCAGATGCATCTTCTGTCCGAGAGAGCAAAGAGCAAGAAGTAATGACATCCCCAAACGATTTATTCTAAAAGAAGAGAACATGTCCATTAGCCTCCCAGGCCCACCATGGAGCTGCCCCCAGGCTGCCGTATCCCATAATGTGTTCCATGGAATATTATGAGGATGTTAGTAAATACTCCACCAGGGGCAAGAGGACATAGGAGGAGGGAGCTCCACTGTTGGATAAGTTCGGGAAACTCTAAAGAAAGATAAACAAATGTCCTTCCTTCTTAAGTCTTTGAAAATGCCAATGTGGATGGGCTACAGGAGAAGGTTCCAGAACTCAATGCTTCATAAACACGTTTGATGGCCCCTGCCAGAGAATTCTTTGTTCTTCCATCTCGGTGGCATGGGGCTGCTGTGTGGTGAGGCCAGAAATGCCAGTGTCGCTGTCCAGGGAGTTCCATAACTGCAGGGACCTGCCCATTCAGCTTTGCTTCCCCAAAGCACCTGGCACAGCACCTGGCTTATAGGAGGCAGTCATAAATGTTCATTGGATTTAATTGAATTCTACAGGCCCTTTAATGGGCATTTGTCAGCAGCTTTCCAAGGTCTTTGTCCTTGGAATTCTAGAAACAGATTTTAACACTCCCAAGTGTCCCTGAGTTCTTGGAACAGCTTCCACCTTGGCCTCAATTAAATGTAGCTTAAAGTCCTGTCTAGGACGTCACTGGCTTCTGAGAACTACTCCCTGGAATTGGTGGCCCTCACCCTTACAGGGAAGGGAGAAGCAATCCGCTCCACAGGGGTTTAAGAACCAGCTTCTCCCTTCCCTAGAGTGACTCAGCCAAATCACAGACTCCGTTTTCACATCTGAAAATAAGTTCGATTAATTCCTAGGCTCACACTGAGGATTTAACTAGCTAACAGAAGTGATGGATCCTGCAAATAGTAAGTGCTTCCTCACTAGTAATTCCTTCCCTTGTTATAGTTCCAAAATCCTGAACAAGGTAGAGACAAGTTCAACCCAAAAGGCTGGAGAGGGGCCCTTGCAGATGGGAAAAATGCAAACTTTTAACGGACAGTTATGACAAGTGCCAAGGAAGGGCTCATAAATGTGAAATCCACAAACAGCGAAGCTATACATATCTTCAGAATCCCAAGGTGAATTCCTGGCTGAGCAAGCCCAGCCTACAGAGGTCCTCTACTTGAGGGAAGGCATTTGCACTTAGTAAAAACCACAGAATGCCTAGTACTTAGCCTGAGGTTTTAGCAAATAATTTATGACCCTACCGCCAAACTCTGCTTCCCATTCTAAGCACTTACGCCTGTGCTGTGTAGCCACAGCTCATGGCCAGCAGGGTGTGGTGGACTGCGGAGGGCCAGAGGAGTGGGCCACACACCTGGGCTGGGGCCCAACTTGGCCACTTATAGCCATGGGATTTGGGACAAGCTAATGTCTCTGAGCGTCAATTTTCCCGCCTGTACAATGGGAATCATGATGCCTTCCCGCTGAGAATGCCATAAAGATGAAGTGAGCTCAAGTGCAATGAAAGGACTTTATAAACCAACAAGAGGTTCTGCCATTCAGAGAGAAGCTGTCATAGTGCTCTTTCTTGGAAGAAGCCCAGTGATGCGCCCAGGGCATCCAATGTGCCCCATGGACTCCCCAGTGGGAGGAGGCTCATCTCTCTGGAATGGAGCTTGCAGTATCAGCCATGCCACAAGTGGGAAGAGGGAGAAACAGGTCTGGTCTTCGGCATTACTAATCTTGCTGCTCTTCTGTTCCTGTCAGCAAGCAACCTACAGGATTCTTGGGAGGTGAGCTGTGTGGGTGCTTGTGGCTTAACCTACATCCCATCACCCAGGCACCCATATGCACCAGTTTACCTGGTTTCCACGTGTTGTCCCTATGTATTTATAAACAAAACTCCCTTTTACTCTCAGAAGTGTCCCAGGTTGGATAACTCACACGGTACTCCCTGATTTAGGACATTTTCCTGGAGCCACAACCAAGGAAATGGAATCCCTTACCAATCCCACTCCCCACGTGTAAACGATAAGACACCACACCTGGGCGCCCCTTGGAGACCTGAGAGTCAACTTGCTTGCTTTATAGTTGAATAAACTAAGGCAGAAAGAGGGCTCAGGTGCTGTTCCCGAGTTCACTCTGATGGGGATCTCCAAAAATCAAGTCTCCCAAGTTCTAGGCCGGTGGTGTTTTTCTCCTGTTTCCTGTCCAGTGAGAGATGCAAGGAAGAGGGTCGGGAGCCACACCTAACACTGTGATGCTGATGGAGGCACCAGGAACCCTAGACCCTGCCTTGAGCCAGTCGTTGCCCTATTAGGTTATCAATAAATGAGGGTGTAGGCTGGCTTGCTAAAGCCTCCTTGTGTCAGGCTGGAGTGCAGTAGCACGATCTCAGCTCACTGCAACCTCCGCCTTCTGGGTTCAAGCGATTCTCCTGCCTCAGCCTCCCGAGTAGCTGGGATTACAAGTGCCTGCCACCACGTCTGGCTGATTTTTGTATTTTTAGTAGAGACAGGGTTTCACCATGCTGGCCATGCTGGTCTCGAACTCCTGACCTCAAGTGATCCACCTGCCTTAGCCTCCAAAAGGGCTGGGAAGGGATGAGCCACTGCACCCAGCCAAAAGCCTCTTTGTGTTCTGATTCACTATTCCCCCTTGCTGGGGACTGGCTGGCAGTTTCCTCCTGGGGACATGACTTGAGGGCAGGCGTGGAGGGTCACAGCACAGGAGATGGGCCAAGGGTTATTCCTCCAAGCAGAGCCCAGGGACACATCTCTCTCAGCTAGGTGCCTCACCAGCAGGACATTCAGGTGCAGTGATGGGCACAGACCAGCGAGTGTGCAGTGGAGGATGTGGGAAAGGCTCCAGCAATGAATGCCGAGGCCGAGGCCTGTCCTGAACCCTGGAGGGAGGCCAGCGTGGTCTGTTTCATCTGGTGCTCCTGACAAAACCCTTCCCAGGGCAAGGACTCTCTGAGTCCCCCCAGAGCCTGGCAAGGGAGGTGGTCTTGGCCCTACCCTGACAACAAAAATTATCTTGGAGAACCTCTGCCATTCCCTGGTGTGCTGAGAAATTCTGAACTGGAACGTCTTGTCCATCCAACATAGGCACGTCCCAGTTCCCCCGTGGAGCCACCTTCATATTCAGTTCCACAAGGGAGCGTGCACGGTGTGCGGGGCACCTTGCCAGGCTTTGAAATGAGCAGGACCCAGCCCCTGACTCTCAGGAGTCCTGTTCTAATAGAAGGGTCGAGGCAAACGCATTCTCCAGAGAAGGACAACGCCAGGCAGGGGAGAAAAAAAAATGCCAGCGAGACACTTTTAAAAGAGGGAAAGTCTGCATGTGCAAAACCATTCTTTGAAATGATGCATTTGGTTATGTGCATATTTGTTATGCATTTGGTTATGTGCATATTTGTTAATCTAGCTCCGTGATTTTTAAGTGTCTTAAACCACAGATTTTTTTTCCAAATAAAATCTTTCCTGAAACCCCCAGTGTGTTATAACAAGACAATGAAGCTGGGAGAAAGGTAAATGCAGAGTTCCTGGGGTGAAAGGAGAAGTTGGATGCCATCACCTGGACAGCCCCTAGACTCAGACTGACAGCCACCAGTCTGTATAATGATGAATCATGCAGCTGCTAAATTACTACCATAAGGATTATGGATCAGCAGGAAAAAAACATTGTACAGTGATGAAAAACCAAGAACAAAAGGCCAGGTGCACCATGGCTCCTACTGAGGAATAACAGGTGTGAGTAGTAGGCTTTGTGGCTGGTTTTCTTTTTTTTTCTGAGATGTGGTCTCGCTATTTTGCCCAGGCTGGTCTTGAACTCCTGGGCTCAAGCCATCCTCCCACCTCAGCCTCCCAAAGTACTGGGATTACAGGCGTGAGCCACCATGCCTGGCCTGCTTGGTGGTTGATTTTCACATTAAAAAATTGTATGTCACTGTTAATTGTGTCTCACAGGGAGGAGGGAGTGAGTACCTGTTCCCTGTTAGGGGGAGTGCTGGAGGCTGGAACCAGCATTTCAGATAAAGGGAGGCATCCAGCAGAGATCTGGGAACTGTCACGTCCTGAGGGCTAAATAGAGGCATAGAAGATGAGGAGGGAAATTGGGAGGAAAGAAACTGGGAGGGAACCAGAGCATAGAAGGGCACCCCATCACTCAGCGTCTTTTTGTGATTTCCAGGCAGCAGAGAGCTGTGTTTCTGAGCAGAGGAGTCACTCGTGGAGCTGCCTTTGTTCCTTGTTAGAAAGAGGTTCAAGGGTGGCCCCCAAGTGTGGTCCCTTGGCAAAGGAGCTCTCCCAGTTCCCCTCCCCCCAGGGCAGATTTGATTCTGTCTCTCTCATCCAGGAGCCACGGCCTGGGATGCCCTTGCCAGGGTCATTGCCAAGCCCAGTTTTCCCAGACTGGGCTCGCAGGCCCTGGAGGCCCTGGGAAGCCGCCTAGCAAAGGCTGGTTCAGGGGTGGCCATAAGAGGGCGGAAGAGGGCTGGGAACGGGCGGCCGCAGCTTACGCCTCCATCCCACTCCCTCTTCTTATCCAACCTTGTGTTTCAGATCAGGAAATTGAGAGCCAAACAACCCAAGGTCACATGGCAGATTTACAGAGAGCAGGGATTGGAGCTCAGCCTCCACACTCCGGGTCCGGGACTGCCGCCGTGCTCATCACCCTGCCTCCTTTTCCCTAACACCCTCCCATCTGCACACTCTGAGATGCTCCCTGAAAGCTGAGCTCCCCTCCCGACCATGTGAGAGACCCCACAGGCATGCGCTTGCTCACAATCCATTGCCAATGCCTGCTCCCAAGACTGCAGCTGCCAGTGAGATACGACTTGTGATTTAACGAGCTCAGTCCTTCCCGAGGCTTGATGGGTACTGTCTCACCACTCCCAGGATCTCTTGGCAGCAAAAACCCCTTTCCACACAGGGGCCCTGCTTTAAGCTGCATCCCCACAGACTGTCTTTTCGGGTGCCTCACCCTCACCTCCTGCTTAGACACGGCCACTCCCCAGCAAGGACTGTCAGAGCTGGGGGCCTCTGAGTAGCTCACCTACAGGTTTTCCAACTGAGCCTAGAGGAGATGCCGGGGCGCTGCAGGGAGGGTGAGGTGAGGTATCTGCAGGAGTTGGGGCAAAGAATGACCTTTGCTTCTGCTAGAGAAGCTTAGCTATCCATCTGTTTCATGTTACAGAGTTCCATGTATGCTTTCATTTGAACAAAGGATTCTCACTGTAAAAACATCTCCAAGCCCCTGAAATGAGCTCAAGCCCCCAGCAGGGCCTGCCTCCCCCTGCGCCGCCGGTCTTAACAGTCTATCAGCGAGACAGACCCATCCTCTCTCCCTTGTTGTCACCTTGTGGATATTTATAGCATTACCGTGTCCACCAGAGAGCGTAATGGGCTTTTTAGGCTAAACCAATTAAACTCTCCTCCCGTAAGTCATGTCTCCTGGATGGCTTCTCTGCCCTGCTCTGAGCTTGTTCTATCTTCATTATCTCGGCTCTTCATGGCAGGGGGAGGACACGGCCAGAGAGTTCACACACTGGTTCCTGGGGGATCTCTGCATCTCTTTCCGGCCCTGGCTGCATCTTGCCAACCACCACCTCTCATTCCTCGGGCTGTGTAGACATGATCCAGACCTGGGCAGTGCAGTCAACCCCCTTGTATACTGGGAAGCAGAATATACTCAAGAGGAGGTAGTCGGTCTTTCCCTCCTTTTTTTCTTTGCCCTTCCAAATATCAAGCAATATCAGCAACAATCTACAAATAGCAAGCATCTAAGCCTATGCAAAACCCACTGGGCTGGGCACCACGAGGCTGTCACCTGCAGAGATGGCTGAGTTCCGATGTACCCCCAGGCGCCTACAGTCGGTGGAAGCTGGCGTGGTGAAACATTTCCCAGTGTGCTATTTGTGATCCTCACGGGCTCCTGAAGATATTGCAAGCATCTGCGTGCTTCAAGGCAATGATAGTATGTTTCATTTATTTTCTAAATCAATAATAAAATAGTTACTTTTCTAAATGGAAGGGCGTGAGTGCTCTGAAGGCATGCCAGGAGAGCACACCTTCCCTGGGAGTGGAGATCAATTTGGCTGTGACTCAGTCTCCAGGCCGTTGGCTCAGCACTCAGCCGAACACCACTAACCATCCTGGTGGGTTTCACTATCATGCAGCATTAAATTCTTTTTATGTTTAGTCATACTCAGTTTAATTTACACCCAGGATGGATGGACCATTGGTTTAAGACAAGAAGCATAAGGAACACTGAGAAGGAAATACACTATCAAGTTAATAAGGAACATAAAAAATAGAATAATTCTAAAAATGTTTCTAGTACCCCATAAACCAATGCTAAAAAGAGAAAACACACTGACAATTATGGCCAATTTGGCATTTTTATTTATTAAGAATAAAGATGATCCAGTCCTGTAATGTATTTTTGAGAAGTGCTAACAAATAGCAGTTTCTGACCTGGCGAGGTGGCTCACGCCTGTAATCCCAACACTTTGGGAGGCCACGGTGGGTGGATCACCTGAGGTCAGGAGTTCGAGACCAGCCTGGCCAACATGGTGAAACCCCATCTCTACTAAAAATACAAAAATTAGTTGGGTGTGGTGGCATGCGCCTGTAATCCCGGCTACTCAGGAAGCTGGGGCACAAGAATCGCTTGAACCTAGGAGGCAGAGGTTGCAGTGAGCCAAGATCACGCCACTGCACTCCAACCTGGGACACAGTGAGACTCTGTCTCAAATCAAAACAAAACAAAACAAAAAAATAGTGGTTTCATACCCTTAATCTCAATATCCAGTGGGAGAAAATCCTTTACATCAAAAAAAAAAAATCTTGCTTTTTGAAATACAAAATTTTCATTAAGTTCAAATATGAGGTCCTAAAAAACATTGTTATGCTGCAAGTTATAATTACAACATTCATTTTAAAATACATTTGGTCCTCAAATGAAACATATATCAAATTAAAATTTGTCAACAAATCACTTTTTTGCATGATTAAATTAAATAGCATTTATCACCTCCTCAGTGATGAAAATGCCCAAATTCGTCTCTATACATTATGGTTATAATTAAAGAGTGATTAAAATATACCTTAAAATATAATTGATCATAATATACTGATCTAAAATGAAACTATTACATTTAAAAATCACTCTATTTCATACCACAAAAAATACAAAATGGTTTTTAAAAGTTTATTAGGGTTGTTCTCTAAATCTTTCTGGTTTTCCTCTTTCTGGGTTCGTGGCAGATTTGTACTTTTTGGGGCCCCTGTGGTGGATCAAGTTTGCGTGGCTACTTATGTCCAGTGACTCGTGAGTGGAAGGTTCTGGGCCCTCCAGAGCTCCTCTTCCCTCTGGCATGGTGATTGGCAACATTACAAATCGTGGCTCTTCCTGCAGCCCAGATCCCTGAGCTGCTGTGATGAACACAGCTCTCTTATTGAGCTGTCATGGACATGTCGACTGAGTAAGAAAGAAAACCGTGGTTTTTAAGCCACTGAGATTGGGGGCTGTTTGTTACTGTATCTTAACCAAGCCTATCCTGACTGATACAATTCCCAAGTAAGAATATGTGAGATTATCCATCTGTTTACTTCTAGTAATAGATCATCTCTGTCTCCAGGAATGACAGTGTGGTGGAACAAGCTTGAGCCTTAGAGATAAACACACCCAAGCTTGGGCTTTGGAGATAAACACACCCATGTTTGAATCCTGGACTAGCCACTTACTAGCTGTGTGGCTTGGGCAAGTTAGCCTCTCTGAACTTAATTTACCCACTGATTTAATTTGAATATATGTGCCCGTGAAATCTCATGTTGAGATGCAGTCCCCAGTGTTGGAGGTGAGAACTGGTGGGAGGTATCTGGATAGGGGGTAGATTTCTCATGAATGGTTTAACACCATCCCTTTCATGTTGTCCTCACGATAGCGATTGAGTTCTCAGGATCTGGGATGTGTGTGTGGCACCTCCTCCAACTCTTGCTCTTGCTCCTGCCATATGATGGGCCTGCTCTGACTTCCCCTCCCACCATAAGTAAAAGCTTCCTGAGGCCTCCCCACAGGCTGAGCAGATGTTGGCTCCACACTTCCTGTAAAGCCTGCAGAACCTTGAGCCAATTAAACCACTTATTTATGTATGTATTTATTTATTTATTTGAGATAGGGTCTCACCCTGTCACCCAGGCTGCAGTGCAGTGGCATAATCATAGCTCACTGCAAATTGATCGATCTCCTGGGCTCAAGCCATCCTCCCACCCTAGCCTCCCAAGTAGCTGGGACCACAGGCGAACACCACCACGCCTGGCTACTTTTTGTATTTTTTGTAGATATGGGGTCTTGCCATGTTAGCCAGGCTGGTGGTGAACCTCTGGACTCAATCCTCCTGCCTTGGCCTCCCAAAGTGCTGGCATTACAGGCCTGAGCCACTGTGCCTGGCCCTCTTCTCTTTATAAATTACCCAGTCTCTGGTATTTCTTTATAACAGGGGTGTCTAATCGTTTGGCTTCCTGGGGCCACAGTGGAAGAAGAATAGTCTTGGGCCACACATAAAACACACAAACACTAACAATAGCTGATGAGCTAAAAAAAAATAAAAAATAAAACTGCCCAGAAAGTTTATGAATTTGTGTTGGGCTCTATTCAAAGCCATCCATGGGCCGTGGGTTGGACAAGCTTGCTTTATAGCAACACAAGAACAGCCTAACACACCCACCTTCACTGGCAATTAAAGGGATTAGAAATAGCTTATGGAAAAGGTCTTACAACAAGTCTAACACGTAGACACTTTAAAAAAAGAAGCCGTTATAAGTTAGTAAACTTCTATGATGTTTATCTGCCCAGCACCCCTTTCTCATGTTCCTTTCTTTTGGCAACTACTCCTCCGTCTCTCTAATTATGATTCTAGTGAGGTTGCCAATCACAGTGGTCTGTGCCCTGGCTAAGAGGATGGACACGTAACAAGGCTTTGTCAATCCCCTTTCCCATTCAGAGTGATTGGCCAAAGGGCTGGGCATATGAACAAGCAGGGCCAATTGGGACACTTCCATGAGATCTGCCATGAGGACTGGGAGACAGGCTCATCTGCCATGGATAGTGACCAATGATGTGATAAGCCTGGAGCTGGGCAGTGGTCATATTCCCTACCCACATAGAGAACCGTTGGATGGAAGACAATGAGAAAAGCTGGGAGGTGAAGTGATGGGGAACAGGGAAAAGAAGAGGTAGAAAAAGAGAGAGAGAGAGGCTCTCATCAGAGTTGCCCCAGATCCATCCAGCTCCTCTGCTGCTAGCACCACCTCTTTCTTCCTAGCTACATGAGTTGATAAATTTCTCATGGGTTAAGCTAGTTGAGTTGAGTTTCTGTCATTTGCAATCAAAAGCATCCTGATGAATCCAGACACATATATAACACATGAGACATGCACACACAACCAGCACAATCCAGGCAGTGTGTGATAAGCACCACAGAAGACACATCAAAGGGGGAGCACAAATTCAGAGGAGGGAGACATCACGCCCAACTGCCTAATGCAGGTGGTGATCAGGAAGGCCTTCCTGGAGGAGGTGGCATTTGAAGCAAAGCCTTGAAGAAGGATAACCTGTCAATTGTTATTGTATTTATTTATTTTACCTTTTTCAGCAAGACAGAGAACTTACCTCCTCTTCCCCACCCCATCATCTTTTTCAGACCTGGACAACAAAACCAGAGGTGATGTGGATTTTCCCTACTTTCCCATCACTGTTGGTGTAAAAGAAAATGTTTCAGAAAGTGTCCAAAGAGATTTTCCTGAAGGCTTGCAGTTTCCCCACATCCTCCCATCCCAAATACAATCAGGTACCAACCAAGTGGCAGGTACTTGGATACACAGGTAAACAAGACTGATATGTTCCCGACCTCATGGAGTGCATACTCTATTGGGAGCAGTGGGGGCAAAACATTATGAATATTGGTGAGAACCCTGCAAGAAAGCAGCAAGGGGCTGAGACGGAAAATAATTGTTGGGGTAGAGGGGGAGGGTGTCAATCTCAGAGCGGGGTCCAAAGTCTGTCTGAGGAAATTCCTCTAGAAAACACCATCACACTTGAGAGGAAACCCATCAGGGCAAAAGGACCAGAATGTTCGGAGGCTCAGAGGTAAGATCAGCAATGTGCATAGAGCCTAATAAGGATGGGGAAGCTGGAGGGGTGAGGTCAGATGGCCAAGAGCTCCACCATGCAGTCTTAATAGCCACGGAAGGAGTTTGCACTTATTGTAAGTGTGCAGGAAGTCCCTATAAAGTTGTAAGCAGGGAAATGAGAAGATTCCTCTCATTCCCACTGCTTTAAGCCTGAATCCTAACTTGTGCCCCATCAGCCCTACATGGAAGAATCTGAAGCCCTCACTCCACCCAACTGGAGTCTCCTCTTGGCAGCCAGTGTCTGCCTTTGTGGCCAGCCCCCACCTCACCTCCTGCTGCCTGAGCTCAGGCTTGACTGCCTCCCCTGCAGCCCCATTGTCTCTGACCCTGGGGCCTGCCCTGCTCTCATCACTTCTCCTGGCTAGAGCTTCTGGCAGTGTGGTCCCTGGAGCATCTGACAGGATCATCCAAGGAGCTTGTATAAAACAAATTCCCAAGCCCCCTCCCCAAAGAGTCTCTTTGGGCAGACCTGGGGTTCTAAATCTGTAGAAGCCCCTGAAGCCTTCAGAAGAGCCCTTGAATGGAAGGCTGGGGGTCACCGCATTGGAACCTTTCCCCGAGCCGGCCACCTGCTTGCTGGATCACCTATTTCACCCTCCCACCAGGCATCACCTGCCCAGCCTTCCCCAACTCCCCAGACTCCTGGGGCATGAGGCACATCTGCTAGGACCATACCCCAGGCTATTTCTCGAGGGCACCCTCTCAGATACTGAACATCTGTCTGAGCCACCAGCACCTGTCTATCCCTGTGCCCTTGTTCCCCAGAGTCCCTGGCTGGTCAACTTCTCTTCTGCACAGCTTGGATCCACAAGCCCCACAGGCAGGTCCACTTCCCACACAGCCCCATGGCTAGGCATGTGAGCTTTACTATTGGACAGGCCTGCGTTTGAATTCTGGCATTGCTACAGACCAGCTGGGTGGCTTCAGGCAGGACTCACTCTCTTTCAGCTTTGGTTTCTCATCTGGGAAATAGAGCTGATAAAATGCAGTAGACTGAATGTTTGTTTCCCCTCAAATTCATCTGCTGAAATTCTAACCCCCAGTGTGAAGGTATTAGGAGGTGGGGACTTTGGGATGTGATTATGTCATGAGGGTGGAGCCCTTGTGAATGGGACAAATGCCTTTCTCTAAGGCACCCCAGAGAGCTGTCTCACTCTTTCCACCATGTGAGGACACAATGGGAAGTCAGCTGTCCACAATCCAGAAGAGAATGCTCACCAGAACTTGATATGCTGGCACCCTCCAACCTTGAGAACTAAGTGTATAAGCCCTCAACCCCCGTCCCACAGTCTACGGTATCTTTTTATGGTAACCCAAACTGACTGTGACACCATAACTGTTACACTTGTGCTAGGAGGAGTAAATTAAATAATACATATAGCAGTACCTAATATTATAGCCAGCACTCAATAAATGTTAGCTATTACTACTATTATTACCATGATCACTATTATTATTCCTGACAACCAAGCTCTCATCCTCTATTAAGTGATGACATACCCCTCCCTCTGGACACGAGCCTCTTCCCCCTGCTGCCCTTCCCTGCATGAGGACACTGGTCTGGGTACTGTCACACAGAGGTTTTGGAGATGGAAGATGGTAAGGAGCACCAGCCCCTCACCCAGGGTAGAGCACATGGCCTGTGCGATTTTTCAGGAAGGAGGGGGTTGCTGAGCCTCTGTCCCCTCCTCCCATTTCTGCCGCTCTGGCTAAAATCTATTTTTATCAGCTTTGCACTCCCCTGAGCTGAGATGTTTGGCTACAGGGAACAGCTTGTGGGGTGGGTTGGGGGGTACATATGGGATACGCATAACCTCCAAGCCTCTATTTCAAATCAATTGCTTGAGTGGTTCTGCTGCTCTGGCACCTTTGCAGGCTCCAGCTGGGAGACCAGCTGTCTGGGAGCTGGGACCACGGGGTCGGGCTGGGGCACGCCCCGCTCCCAGGTGGAAAAGAAGTTGTTTAACCAAGCTGCCTGGGGTTGACCTGAGAGCTCCAGGCTCCAGGGACAGGGCCAAGGTGGACACAAACCCACACGTGAGCCATACTGTCACCTGGCATCTGGCAGAGAGGAGGAAATGCTCTCTGAGCCCACTGTGAGGCAAAGCCATAGCTCCCGGCCTCCCAGTGACCTCCCTGGGGGACTTGTTGACTGGGCTGCTCAGCCGGGTCATCTCTTGCCTACAGGAACACTTCCACATCTGGCTCAACAGCACCCTCTGAGGCTGCCTGTTGGCCCCTGGTCCCACTCTGTTTACTGCCAACTTGCCTTCCTGTTTGTTTTCTTATGGGAAGAGCCAGCGGGGCCAGGTAGGGCCACAGCTATTGAATGGCCCTTCTGAAGAGCAGACTGTTATTCCAGCAGCTTTGGAATGTCTAGGATGAAATGGAACTGCTGTTTGCCGGGGCGAGGAATGAGCTGTCCCCTGCTGCAGCCTTGTGTATCTTATGGTGTCAGAGGTTTTAAACAACTCCATGTCTCAGATTCCAAAGCACATGGGCATCATTTCTCCGCCTGCACCTCCTAATGTCCCCAGGAGTTAAGGTCAATGGGTATAACAGCCACCACAGTCTACATACAGATGAACAGCTGAGATTTGAGCAGTCACATGACTGTTTCAAGAGCACTCAGGTGCCCAGTCTATGGCTCCTATTTTCCCTACCCTGAATGGAAGCTTTGGAAACCAGTGTAGTTTCCCATTTGGGGCAGGGAGGCAAAACTGATAGAATGAGATTTACTTCGTATGTGATGCAGAAAGTCCCTCAGAATTTATGGGGTTCCCAAATAGAGGGTCACCCCAGCCTATACAGCATCTTTAGGCAAAGTAGAGAAAGATTCCCCTTCCACAACATCCTTTACTTCCAATTGTTGAAAAAGTGCTGTCATGTATTGATTTTGTTAGTATAAGATGCCTGATTGCCGGGAACCTGTCATCATTCACTTACACATCTGCAGCGTATAAGACATGAATGGGGCCTCCACGCTGTGCAATGCATCATCTGAATGTGGCAGCCTGGATGGGGGACAGTGCCTCTTTCTGCCTCTCATCTCAGATCCCTCCAACACGGCCCCATCAAGACCTTTGACTTTTCCCTTCCATTCTCTGGATAGTTGGCTTGGCCCAGAATAGATAGCCCACAGTCACCTAGAGACTCAGGGAGTAGACTGATGAAGCCCTGAGACCTGAGAGGGGCCCCTGGTACCTTCTGCACCCTCCCCAGTACAAGAGAATGGCCAGAGGCCGCAGGAACAGGAGCCCAGGCCAACACCTATTGAAAAGGGAAGAGTGAGGTGGGAGGCTGGGCGCTCCTCCTGGCAGTGTAGGTGTGGGGTGCTGGGGTCAGGGATAGGGAGGTAGGCCAGCATGGGGGTCTGCAGGGAGAACAAGAAAGAGGGGCACAAAGCCAAGTGCATCCAAAGAGCATCAAGGCCCTGCTCTCTCCATGAGTGTGGAAGGAAACGTCCTAGCTTGCTTCTCTTCCAGGAGGAGAACAGTCTTGAGTCTCATTCTCTTACACAGGCTGGGGACAGAACCATTAAACTCCTGGATATCCCCCTCCAAAACCTCTCCAAATGGAGGGAGAAAAGTCAGGCTCTAGGGGTTTTGAATTTATATCACCTTGCTTTAGGAACCAGAAAGACCACTTTGCCCCCGCTTCTCCTCAGTAACCCCACTCCTCCCTCCATCTGGACCCTCGCCCTGGTCTCTGCCTCTGGGCTCATTATCTGCCCACTGATATTCAGAATGATTTCATTAACGTCATCACAAATGCAGTCATGAAGAACTTATTAAGGAAGTCTGAACTGGCCAACATTTCCCACAAAGAGTCAACTTAAATACCAAGCAAAAGATCCATTTATGGTGTCAAAGAAAACCCCAAATGCATATAGTTAAAGAAATATCGTTGCTCTTGGTCGATGTAGAGGGCGTTGCCAGAAAAGCTGCAGGAAAATTATTAATATCTATTTTGGGGAAACGCGGATTAAAAATAAACAGCTGTAGTTGAGGTCAGACATGCGACGAAGGAGCAAAAGTGAAAGGCAAGAGCAAGAAGCTTCGGTCGCACATTTCGAGCCTGAATGATTAAGCTTTATTTGTTCCCTGTACGGCTCATAATTTTAACCTTTTATTATGCAAAGCAGTCAGTTTGGTTTTTACATTGCCAAAGGAGAGCTGGCATGATTAACAGATCACATTTACCAGTTGCTTCATCTATGAAAAGGTGGGCTGGTTTGAAAGAGACCGCTTAAGTTATTTTCAACTCTGGATGTGAAGACATGGGCACCCTAAGACAGCGTTCCCTCTCCAAAGCTGATGCGGAGAAAAACATACAGTGGGGTTGGGCTGGGGGGGAGGAAAGGAGATGATCCAAGATAATCCCGGGGTTCCAGGGAATAACCCCTCCTCATGTGTGTGAATAATCCCTCCCTCCAGCCTCCAGAGGTGGAGCTGCCAGGCAGGCCTGTGTCTCCGAGGAGCAAATGTATGTAGTCTCTGTTGCTTCTTGGGAGCTCTCCAGGGTACTGGACAGGCTCTGCTCGATACTCTTGGACCCAGTGGACCCTCAGACCTTGAGCTGGGTCTGCCGCTTCTGCTTTCCTGGATTTTGTCCTCCATACGCCAGCCACATCTAATATTAACAGCCTGCCAGCATCCGCATCCGCTTCAGTCTTACACCACACAGAAAAGCAGCGTGGTGTAAAGAAGATAGGTTGTCAAATCATGCAGACCTGGGTCTGAGTCTCCGTTCTATCCTTCATTATGTGAGTTGAGAAAGGTGTGTCTTCTCCTTGAGCCTCAGTCCCTTTTCTGTAAGGTAAGATAATAACATTTGCCCTTCAAGGTTGTTGAGGAGATTTAAAAGGTTGGTGAATATAAAATACTTATCTTGTGTCTGGCATGTAGTAGGTGCTCAAAAAGAAAATCCTAACATTAATATCCATTATAGCCTCAATGCTCTGCCTAAGCTGCTCTTGTAGCCTTCCAATCTCTGGATTGGTGGGCCCTCTTCCTGTTCATGAGTTAGGGCTCAATGGCTGCAAGTAACAAAATACGGGTGTGGGTTTATGTAAAATAAAATGGGGCTTGACTTAGGACATGGTGGTGTCTTATGGAAGCCAAGAACATGAGTGTCCCACCCCTCAGTAGGGCTGTAAACTAGGAGCTGTAAGGTCACCAGGCCCCTTCACCATCTCCTATCTATCTATCTATCATCTGTCTATCATCTATATATTATCTGTCTATCATACAACAACTTAACAACTTTTAGGCATGGATCAGCATTTGAAAGTGGTTTGTACTGGGAGTTAAAGTAACTTTGTTGGACATGTGTTCATCTATCTTCCCTGGGAATGACCACCGTTCCCCAGGGTCTCCTTATTCCCTCTGTAGGTCAGTTGTCTCTGTTCTTCCATCCTCTCAGCCCATTGTGCTCTCCGTTGTTCATGAGTATCACATTGTAGAGCCAGAACAGACACTGGACAAGATCAGCTTCATTTTCTCAGTCCCAACTCCAATTTATTGGAAGAGAAAATCTGATTGAGCCTGTTTGGAATCACCCCTGGTGCAAACAGGCCAGACTTCACAGGTCACCCAGCAGGAATGTGGCTACTGAGCAGGGGAGCCATTCCCAGGGAAGACAGATGAACAGACGTCCAACAAAGTCACTTTAACTCCCAGTGCAAACCACCTTCCAATGCTGATCCATGTATAAAAATTGTTAAATTATTGTAGGATAGACAGATAGATGATAGATAGATGGACAGATGACAGATAGATGATAGATAGATAGATAGATAGATAGATAGATAGATAGATAGATAGATAGATAATAGATAGATGATAGATATAGATAGATAGATAGATAGATAGATAGATAGATAGATAGATAGATAAAACTTTAGAAGTGATAGCGGCAAAGATGCTTCAGTCACATATTTTTTAAATGTATTTTTCTTGTCATCAGACTCATGCAGAATAAAAAGCTAACGGTCCCTGTCAAAGTGGGACCTACCAATGCCATTCGATAACTCTCACTGCATGGGGGCCATAATGGGAAACACTGCAGACGTCCTATTTACATAGAAGTCCTCAAAGGTGTGTGCAGTCCCAGTCACCCAGTGTCCCTGGCAGGGGAGGATGCCAGAGTGACAGGTCTCTTGGTTTCTCAGTCTATGTTCCAGAGGTGGCATGACCCTGAAAGAGACACTCCTGACCAAGAAAGACTACTCATGCAAAGAGAGATGAGCCCAGTATCTGTCCCCACACAGCCTGTTCTAGGACAAATGTTCAGCCTCCAAGGTTTTAACTATACAACCTCATTCTCCATGTACTTCAGACCCTTCACTGCATGCTTTTTTCTACCAAAATGTGCTAGCAGCCTTCCTGTATACTCTGTTACCTGTCGAGGCAGGGCTTCTCAACTTGGCTGAGCAACAGAATCATTCAGAGAGTGTTTTAAAATACACAGATCCTTAGACCCCCACCCCCAGGGCCTCTGTTTTCAAAGTTCAGGGGTGGGGGCAGGAACTTATTTTTAAACAGCTTCCCAGGTGATTTTGATTTACATCAGACATGAGAGCCCCTGAACTAAAGCAAACTGCCTCGCACCACAAACATAAGTTGAGGTTCTGTTATGTTGTGCCTGGGGTGACAGCTTCAGATGTGATTTCTCAGAACTGGCTCTGCTTCCACCACTCAAAGGGATACAATGTCTTTCCTTTCTTTTGCACAGACAAATCCGCCAGAGAAAAAGGCTTTGGGGAGTAACCTGGGCTGATCAATAGAGCAATCATGTCTGGACTTTTAAGGATGTTGCCCCACCTTCCCAAGAATGCTCAGAAGATGGTACTTACAGACCTGCAATTTGAGAAAAACAGGGTTTTCATGAGAGGCGGCTCAATCAATGCCTTGGGGCAGTGGGGCTGGGACTTGCCTGTGATTCCAGGGGTGTACCCTACATGAAGCCAGTGTTCACATAATCCAACAGGCAGGACTGACTACTAAGGTCCATTGGTAATGGGAAAGTGAGAGCCCAACCCCCTAAGAGGGGCAGAAAACCTTTGGGGCTGGGTCGGGAAGGGCAGTTAGGACAGGCAGAGAATCAGAGAGCTGGACCAGAAATAGAGATAAGAAAGAGCTTGAGGGGTCAGGGAACTCAGAGGAAGCTCAGAGCTAAGTCAGGGGAAGCAAAGCGCTCTCCCCACTTCTCAGGAAATCTAGGAGAGGATGCTGGGCAGAAACAAGTGACCTCTGCTGGCCTGCAGAGACTTGTAGACTGAGTGATCTCAGCATGGCTCCTGGGAAGAGCTGGGAGCTCTCCAGAGACAGGGGTTTTGTCTTTAGCCATAGACTTGCCTCTGCAAGCTGTGTAACCTTAGACAAGCTGCCTAACCCCTGTGGGCTCTGGTTTCTTTAGCAGAATGGCAGGGTGGGGATAGTTGATCTCTGGGTTCTCTTCCAGCTCTGAGGATCTGTGAGGGATGTTGCCACTGAGTTGGGAAAAGCTCAACCCTAACTGTTGCATGTGTTGGAATCTCCTCTGTACTCCCAGTCTGGGCCCTGTGGGGACCCTGCCTACTCAGAAACATGGAGACCATCCCCTGGTAACCAGTTAGGAGGAGAGAGGTGAGCACCAAGGGGCAGGGGCAACCTGGGAGGGAGCCATGGAGATTGGGAGCCTGGAGGGGTGCCTCATAGCCATTTGGGGAGCAGAGGGTTCTACAAGCCTAAGGAGACCCGAGGCCAGTCACTCCCATCATGGCCTTCCTCCCTCTCCTGCAGGGATCTCGAGGAAATCTGCAAAAAAGGAGTCACCAATAAGGACAGAAAGGAACCATAACTTTGCCCAGGATCAGGTTACACAGGCTGACCGAGGTTTCAGGGTTTTTTGCTTTGGGCTGGAATGACCTCGATGCAGTGTAGTAACTGGGTAAGCTGGAAGCCACCTACTCCTTTGAAGGAGGAAAAACAGATGGTAAATTACAGCTTCCTCATGCAGCCTGTTTGGCAGCCGTGGGGTCTGTATCAGTCAGTGTCTGGTCAGGAAAACAGAAACCACAGCAGTTATTTTAACAGAGAGAATTTAATCTGGAGAATTGGTTAAACCTGTACTGGATGGCTGAAAAGGCAAAAAAAGAAGTGAGGGGCACATTGAGGTAACAGAGTAAATAACTACAAAAAGTAGCTAGCACCCCCAGTGCAGGAATAAAGGGAAGGGAGGGGTTATTAGAACCTATAAGCTGGGAGGAGGGGCTGCCTGTGATGGGGGTGGAGCTGGGACCCAGACTTCGAAGAGGTGGGTGCTGCCTGGCTGGTATATCTGAGGAGGCACAGTGAGGCTGAGGCTGATTCTAGAAGTGTGAAAACAAAACAAAACAAAAACGGCTAGAAACTGGAACTGACTCCTGCTGCCAGGATGGAGAACAATCATTGGGTAATGGTGCCAGGACCAAGAAGCAAATCAGGAAGGGGCCAGGCCCAACTCCCTCCTCCTGCCTCTGGCTTCCTTCTGGCCTCCCCATTGGCAGCACCTACCAGCGAGCGGCTGGCAAAGGGAATGTGTGGTTTGCAGCATCCCAGCCTAGGCACTACAAAGCAGAATATAGAACAGTGAGGTTGGGCTGAGAGACACTATCTGGCAGTCTGCTTTACAGCCGGGGGGGCCACAGCAGGTGAGAGAGAATTAAAGAAGCCCAGGGGTGCAGCATGAAAGCTAAGAAGCTAGGGTTTGACTTATCCAGGCACTGTGGCTGATGCCTGTATTCCCAGCTCTTTGGGAGACCAAGGCAGGAGGATCACTTGAGTCCAGGAGTTCGAGATCAGCCTGGGCAACATAGTGAGACACCATCTCTATGAAAAAATTAAACATTAGCCAGGTGTGGTGGCATGCACCTGTAGTCTCAGCTACACAGGAGGCTGAGGTAGGAGGATCGCTTGAGCCCAGAGGCTGAGGCTGCAGTGAGCAGTGATTGCACCACTGCACTTCAGCCTGGGTGACATTATTTATTATTTATTAAATAAATAATAAAATAAAGTTTGCTTTGACATGACACTTTGGAAATCATGGAACTGCAGGGGCCCCAGGTAGCTGGGGTTGGGGTGACACCCAAGCTTGTCATGGTACTGGGCACCAGCTTGTGCCCAAGTAATTCAGGGCTGAACAACCATACTCTAGAGACTGGGAACCAGAAAAGGCTAGCCTACAGGCTCACCCCTTTCAGTCTCAGCATTTCCTCCCCTCCTTCCTCCAGGGGCAGGGGGAATAGTGAGGAATTAACTCCTCGAAGCAGATGAGGATGAGACCAGACATTGTTTTTACTGGGTCAAACTCACTTGCCCTGCTAGAAACAGAAAGGGTAGGGGCTTTTCTTTTTGTCATAGAGATGCCAGTAAAGTGTGTATGTGTTGGGGCATTGGGGGAGGACACATGTACAATTTTGCACTGGCCCGTTTTCTCCAGCTCCATCCCTGTAGGAGTGTCAAGTTAGGGAAGCACCTGTCAACATAGACCAGGCAGCAGAAACATCGCCCAGTGGAGTAGCCACACTGCGTACCTCCTGGAGTCACCTCCTGGGTCTCAGCATCCATGCCAGAGGGTGGGAAATAAGACACCCAGGAGATGGGGACAGGGGAGAGGAGTCTCATGTTTGGACAGGAACTGGCCCTAAGAGAAGACCCAGCCAGGAACACTGGGTGGGCTCAAGCCTCACCTCTGTGGGTGTCCTCAGAAGCCCCTGCAGAAACATGTGACAGCCAGGCTGACTTTTGGAGTCCTGCCCAATGCTCAGGCTTGAGGTTTCTCTGAGTGAGGATCCAGCTGTGCTCTGGTTGATGTGTTTTCCCTGTGACTCTGTCACGCCCATGTCTGCATGACACCCGGCCTTTGAGCTCCAAGCATATTTTTGAAAAGGCAAAATCTGGGTCAGGCAGTCACCGTCTAAGCAAGGTTTCAGAGGACTTTCCATTCCCCAAGCCCTTCCCTTTGAACTTGGCCAAAACTTTCCTCCTGGGCTGGTATTTCTTCCTTGGAATGATAGCTCAAAGGTGAAAAATGCAGGGCAGAGCTCACCGCAAGTGGGCTGAGTTGTTTTTCAGTATGATGAGTAAATGGGGAAAAGTACTAGCAGCCGAAGCCATCAGCCCCAGCCTGCCCAGGATTGCCCAGCTCTGTACCATGGCCTTGCCAGTCACTTGTGCCATGAGCTGCCACTCTGAGGACCACTCCCTTGGGACCACACATGGTTAAAGCCACCACCTGGCCTTTTCTCCTCCTGCCTCCTGATATGACTCTGTGGTACAAGGGCCATCCACAGAGCTCCCAGCTGCAGACATGTGTTCCTGCTCAGACAGGGCCAGAAGGCACTGCCAACCTCGGTGCCATTGCTCTGGGAGCTGACCGTCCTCCAGTTCCTCTTCCTGGAATCCTCGGGTTATTCATGTCTGTGTGCCTGGGCTCCTGGCTAGGTTGGCCAGTTCAAGCTAATTTGATTCTGGAAGACTTTTCCCAGTAGTAGCAGCACGAAGTGACTGCTGCTTGATTCCTGTGGATATGTGTATGATTTGGGGGATGGAAGTGGAAGGGAGGCTTCCTTTCTCTGGAATCCCAAGGAGTGGAGCATAGCTCAAAGGAACAACCATGTGTGAGAGACACCTCTATCACCTGGAGCCATCTAGCTGCCCCCCAGCATCCAGAGGAAAAGGAGCCTCAGAGCCTCTGGGCCACTCCCAAAGGAGTCCAGAGAAAGTCTTGGATCTGGTAGCCTGCTGCCCCCCAACTGCATGGGGAGGTGGAGATGGACTGTCAGCCAGGTGGACGTCCTCCAAGCACTGAGGGAACTGCTGGTGATGGACGCACCTGCCGGAGCCAGAGCCTTAGACCAGGGTTTGTCTTGCTGGTCTGGAGGGTGGAAAGGCAGGATCCTCAGAGATTGGCCGAGCACCAACCTCCTCCACATGAAATCCCTCTTCCTGTGCTGTCAGAGCTAGATTGTTCTGGCAGAAATGGAGCTTTTCCTTTTTCATTTTTACTTTCATTTTGGTGTAGAGTTCCATGAGTTTTAACACATGGATAGATTCACATACCCACCAGCACAGTTCAGGAGTACAGGCAGTTCCGTCACCCCAACACCTCATGCTGCCTTTTCTCGTCACACTCTTCCCCAACCCATAACCTTGGTAACGACTGATCTGTCCTCCATCACCATGGTTTTGTCTTTTCCAGGATGCTTTATAAAGGAATCATCGAGTCCGTAGCCTTTGAGACACGCTTCTTCTATTCCGTGATGCCTTTGAGATGCACCATGTCATTGCCTGTATCAGTAGTTTGTTCCTTGTGTTGCTAAGTGGCATTCCACTGCATGGGCGCGCCGTGGTTCATCTATTCCCCTGATGAAAGACATGTGTACTGTTTCAAGGTGGGTTTTTGTTTTTGTTTTTGGCCTTTGTGAATAGAGCTGCTATAAACATTCATGTACAGGTTTTTTTGTGAACAAAAGTTTTTTATTTCTTCAGGGCAAATACCTAGGCGTGAGCTGTATCCTATGGTAAGTGTGTGTTTAGCTTCATAAGAAATTGCCAAATTCTTTTCCAGAGTGGTTTTACAATTTTGCATTCTCATCAGCAATGGATATCCTTTCTTTTTTACTTTTATTTGAAAACAAAGTCATCTTCCCGCCAAGGTGAAGGGTAGGGACATAAGGAACTGAAATAAAAGCTAAGTCCAGAAATGAAATACAGAGTGATTGTGAGCCATTTGTGGCTTTCCCAAAATACCAGGTGTTCTTAAGGCTGAAAGCACCTCAAGTTGAAGCTCCAGGTGGACACAGTGGGATGTGAACTTTGGGAGAAGAGATAGGGCAGGTCCCTGGAGAACTGGGTCTTAGGGCTCTGCTGTGTGCCTGAGGGCAGGTTACTGTGCTGCTCCAAACCTCAAGTGTTTACTGGGATCAACTCTTGCAGGTTTGATAAGGTCACAATTTGTGGTGTTTCAATTGTTACGTGATCCAGGCTTTGTGGTGAACATCAGAAGAAGCTCTAAATAAAGGTTTAGGATGCACACAGCCTGCTTCCATGCCATGTGGAAGCAAGAACTCCTCCAGAAATATTGAGGCAAAGATACTTTGTAAACATGCAAAAATCCAAAAATGCTTTGCTTAACAACAGAGAAGTTTCCAGTAGTGTGGGAACTGTTCTCAGATGTGTGGGGCCAGGAACAGATCTGATGCAGAGGATACAGTTCCATTCTGGAGAAAGTGGCTGAATACGTTTGTGGTTGTGTCTCTGAACTTTCTCTCTGGACCATTTCTATGCCTTCTGCCCCTCCTCGTCTCCCTGGGATCTTCAGGATCCCAACTTCCACTCCGCAACTAAACAACGAATTCTCCAGAGCATAAGGTTGAGAGCTTGGGCTGTGAATCAGGAAGACCTGGTTTAAAGCTGAGCCACCTTCTCGCTGGGGTAACGACGGATCAATTACTCAACCTCACTGGACCTCACATCTCCCATTTGTAAATGGGGGTAATAAGAATGCCTCCGTCAGCAGCCTATTCTGAGGACTAAATGAGGCAATGCCTGCACAGCCTTTACTGTAGGTCTGGTACACGGTATGTTTGCAGGAAAAATTAGTTATGTTTGTATGTTGTTGGGTTATTTTTTTTTCTCTTTTTTAAAAAATTTTTTTTCTCTTTTGAAAAAATCATCAAAGAAGAACATTGGCTCTCAGATCTCTAAGATCTCTCCCAGCTCTTATGTTACACGTAACAGAGGGGGGCCTACTTCATGCATTCTGGAAATTGAAAGCTATGCCACATCAGTTTTCTGGAAACAAGGGCTACCAGGAAAGAAGGGTCAGTTCGGGCCCCATTTTCGCCACTGAACCCAAACTGACCTCTGCATCTGTTTTGCTGATTGTTGGAGACCGGGTTCTAGAGCTCCCCATCACTGATAGAAGAATCACTCCTGAAAGGTGAAAGGTCCGGGGCCAGGGCTTCCGAAAGGCCTGAACAACAGAGGAAGGGAGGCTCTGTGTTCCTCTCCCACCTGCACAGATCAGTCAGTCACTCTGTTCTACAGGGACTCTCTGTAACTCATGAGAGGGACTCTGGAGGGAGACCCCTCTGTAACTCTCTGTAACTCTTTGAGGGACTCTGAAAACTCATGTATGAAACTGCAGAAGTCTGCTTCTAGACTTTGCCTTGGCCATGTGAGGTAAAGGGCCCTTCAACCCCTGCCCCCTACCTTGTAAATGTGCAAATGGACTCACATTTGAACCTCAACAGGTTCCTGAAAATCGAATAATAAAATAGATTGCTGTAAAGCAGCCCATATTTTCCCATAGCCACAGGGTTGTAATTGGTGATTACTAGCCTGATCAGTGGTAACTCGACAGCAAATTTATCACTGATGTGACCAACAATGTCATAAAGTGAATACTGTGTGTCTCTATAACCACTGAAAATACTCAAGTTATGCTCCAGGTCCTATAAAATGGGCGTAAATACACTGAACACTTCACTGAGGGAAGGGAACCAATGACCTATATGCAATATATGGGCAGCTATAAAAAATACAACCAGGCCATAAATTTGAATGAAAACCAATATTCTAGCCTTAATGGACATGAATTAAACATTTAATTAACACCAGTTTGCCCTACTTGCTTAGAATTCCAAATGAATTTGGAATGGATCATTTGGGCAGGTTGGGTGTCTTTTAAGAATGGCCCAGGGAAGCTTAAGTTGTTACCTTTGTCCCTCAATAAATGAAGATCCCGAGGGGAGCAGTGCCACCAGCTCACGGCATGGAGCGGTGAAAAAGGATGGTGTTCACCCCGCTGAACCACACGTTCTGAAGGCGGGGCTGCCCCACAGAGCACACACCAGCTTCTCCTGCCTCAGCTTAGATGCAGCTGAAGGGGAAGTCGCCCTGCCCAGGTAGCCAGCAGGGCTGGTGGCCTGCTGTCTGGCTGCTAAGCCCAGGGAGGGAGGCAGTTTTGTGGATTCACAGGAGTGCTCCGAGGACCCACCGTTGTCAGGATCCCGGAAAGCTGGCTGAAATGCAGATCCCTCACTCTGACATCCTGCGTCAGTACGGCTGAGAATTCTGCATTTAAGCGACCCCTTGATGCTCATTCTGGTGCACACTGGGGCTTGAGACTCCCTGCAATGGGAGGTATTCTCATCTCAGCCCCCTCCTGGTCATGCATAGTCAGCCACCACTGTTCCCTCAACTACACAACAAAATTGAGTATCGTGGCCTCCTCAAACCCATTTCATAACTATGCAGGCATTCCTCGTATGTGCAGACTGGTTCTGGGCCCCCCATGGATACCAAAATCCACAGGTGCTCAAGCCCCTAATGTAAAATAGTATAGTATTTTCATATAACCTATGCACATCCTCCCATTTACTTTAAATCATGGGTGTCCAATCTTTTGGTTTCTCTGGGCCACATTGGAAGAATTGCCTTGGGCCACACATAAAATACACTAACACTAATGATAGCTGATGAGCTGAAAGAAAAAAAATCTGCAAAAGATTCTCATAATGTTTTAAGAAAGCGTATGAATTTATGTTGGGCCACATTCAAAGCTGTCCTGGGCCACATGAAGCCTGTGGGCCGCGGGTGGGACAAGCTTATTTTAAATCATCTCTAAATTACTTATAATTCCTAATGCAAAGTAAATGCTATGTAAATAGTTGTCATACTGTATTTTTATATATATTATTTCTTATTGTATTATTTTTTATCATTTTTTCCCAAATATTTTTGATCTGCCCTTGTTTGAATCTGAGGATACAGAACCCGCAGACACAGAAAGCTGACTATATTTCTAATTTTTAAAAGTCTTAATTATACAGGTAATAAAGGAATGCATATTAGTTGTTTTAAAAGAAAAGCAGAACACACAGCAAAACTTAAACACACAAAGTGAATGTCCTCCTTTCCCATCTCACTTCCTTCCTTGGAGGAAACCCCTGTCAATCGTTGGTTGCACATCTTTCCATACTTTTTAAAAATGCAATTGCAGGCCGGGCGCGGTGGCTCACGCCTGTAATCCCAGCACTTTGGGAGGCTGAGGTGGGCAGATCATCTGAGGTCAGGCGTTCGAGATCAGCCTGGGCAACATGGCAAAATCCCATCTCTACTAAAATTACAAAAATCAGCCGGGCGTGGGGGTGGGAGTCTGTAATCCCAGCTACTCGGGAGGCTAAGGCAAGAGAATCATTTGAACCTGGGAGGTGGAAGTTGCAGTGAGCCGAGATCGTGCTACTGCACTCCAGCCTGGGCAACAAAAGCAAAAACTCCGTCTCAAAAACAAACAAACAAACACATTTGCATACTCATAATTTGAGCTTCTCCTTCTTTACACAAATGGCATCCTTCTACTCACATTGGTGAGGAACTTGCTTTTTTCACTTTATGTCTGGAAACCATTCCATGTCTTTCTTATACTTTTTTCTATTTATTTTTTATTTTTAACTTTTATTTTAGGTTCAAGAGTACATGTGCCTGTTTGTTATATAGGTAAATTGCATGTCATGGGGGTTTGGTGTACAGATTACTTGGCTACTCAGGTAATAAGCATAGAACCCACAGGTAGTTTTTCAATCCTCACCCTCCTCCTTCCACCCTCAAGTTGGCCCCAGTGTTTGTCGTTCCCTTCTTTGTGTCCATAGGCACTTGATGTTTAGCTCCCACTTATAAGTGAGAACATGCAGTATTTAGTTTTCTGTTCCAGTGATAGTTCACTTAGGATAATGTCTTCCAGCTCCATCCATGTTGATGCAAAGGACATGATCTCGTTCTTTTTCACGTCCATGTAGATTCCATATATGTACCACATTTTCTTTATCCAGTCTACCACTTATGGGCATTTAGGTTGATTCTGTGACTTTGCTATTGTGAGTAGTGCTTTGGTGAACATACACGTGCATGTGTCTTTATAGCAGAACAATTTATATTCCTTTGGGTATACACCCAATAATGGGATTGCTTTTCTCATCCTTTTTCTCTGTTGCTCCATGTTCCATACCAGGGTTATACCATGGGTTATTTGATCACTCCTTTACTGAGGTAAGTCTAAATTTCCTTTTTTCCTGGTAATGAACCATGTTTCTTTGCCCAGGTCCTTGGGTTCATTCAGAATTTATCAAGCACTTCCCAGGCCCAGGCATAGGACTAGGTGCTGAGAGGAGGCAGACAGCACTGGGATTGATCACGGGAGGGCAGGCAGCTCTGTTCACCACCCATACTTCAATAAAAGCCTTTAAACCATTACCAGGCCATTCGCTCAAACATGACCACCTCTACGAACTTGCCTACACCTCAGTGGAGGGTCCTTATCGCTTCATACCTGGCGTGATGGTTAATTTTAAGCGTCAGCTTGACTGAATGAAGGACTCTATAGAGAGCTGGTAAGGCATCACTTCCCAGTGTGTCTGTGAGGTTGCTTGGAGGGGAGACTGGCATGGGAGTGGGTGGACTGGGTGGGGAAGGTCTGCCCTCAGTGTAAGTGGGCACCATCTAATCAGCTGGGGGCCTGAATAAAACGAAAAAGGGCAGAGGAAAGGTGATCGCCTCTCTTTCTCCTAGACCTGGGACACTCTTCTTCTCCTGTCCTTGGACATCAGAAATTCAGGCTGTCAGGCCTTGGGACTCAGAACTTATGCCAGCAGCCCCCAAGCTTCTTAGGTCATCAGCCTCAGACTGAGAATTACACCATCAGCTTCCTTGGCTCTGAGACTGAGCCACACTACAGCATCCCAGGGTCTCCAGCTTGCAGATAGTCTGCTGTGGCACTTCTCAGCCTCCAAACTGCGTGAGCCAGTTCCACTAAGAAATCCCCTCTATATATGAGTATGTGTGTGCGTGTGTGTTTGTATGTGTGTGGAGAGAGAGAGAGAGAGAGAGAGAGAGAGAGAGGGAGAGAAAGAGCTCCTACTGGATTTGTCTCTCGGGAGAACCCTGGCTAATAGACCTGGGATAATTTCCCAGTTATTCTCCCTACTCAGGTGTCTCCAGTTTGTGCAGCTAGCTTGCTCTTCCTAACCCACTGAGCATGGGTCTTTTTAAATGTGCAGCCAGGTTGAAAACCACCGCAACTTTGTCTTTCACCTCCAGCCCTTCCTCTCCTTTCCACGCTGCTTGGACCTGAGGCAGCTCTGGGACCTTCCTGCTGACTTGCACTCTGTTCTGGCCTGAGCCATTGTTTCCTGCCATGATGACTATGGTGGGTGAGGTGGCTTGGTGTTTGTCCAGGGTCACCTTTCCCCAGTTATCGTCCTTACAGAGGGTCACAGCCAATCCGTAGTCCGTGTCCTGTGTCTCCTCTGAGAGGGCGTCTGGAGCCACCAACCTCATCCTGCCCACCTGGGAGCCACTGTATGCCCCATTAACTGGGCTGCTCCTTCCCACTTGGATTCAGGTTAGGCATGGAAGGAGCTGGTATTCTGTCCTGTCTTCAGAAACAATTAAGATGAAAAAGGATCTCGAGCAGCCGCATAGAAAGGTCTGCTTCAGCACGGGGTGTTCATGCGTCCACGAGAGCCATGGTGCCAGCGGTAGCATCCCAGGAGGGAGCTGTATGATTTCCAGAACGAAGGAATCTATAATCGATACTAGGAGACAGCATAGGCGATTGTAATTGATTAAGTGAAGTGCTTAAATAGAACGATCACAGTCTAATTATCTTTCACTGCTGACTCGAGGGATACTCTAATGTTAGAAAAGAAAACAATCTGGCTTCTCCCTAGTCCTTCTGAGGAACCGAGTGGAAAGCAGTAGCGATTGCAAGGGAGGAATCAGGCCAAGAAGAGGGGCAGTAAAACAGGCTCTGGTCCCTGGCCTGCAAGCTGGTGTTTTTTTCTACCCAGGGTCCTTTTTCCTTTTATTGGTACCACACTTCACTTTCCCTTTGAGGAACCCCCCACCCATTCTGGGACTTGGCTGACTCTCAAAGTGTCCCCTTACCACCTGCCTCCCTGTTCCCCCAGAGGCCTGGCACAGAACCTCATCTGGCCCAGTCAGGCCATTTTACTGGCAGCAACCTGGCTCAACTAGTCTTTCATTCCAGCTAATAACCAGGTCTCCTGGGCCATTGGTCTGCCTTTACCAGACTGGATTGTTTAGCTTTTCGTATATCCCTCTGATAACTTCCTTTTTTGTTTAAATTAATCAAAGTCAATGTCTATCCTTTCTAAGCAACACAAGCTCTGATCCATATCACCCACAAGGTCCTGCTAGGAGAGATCTGAGGGGTGATTGGTAGTGAGGCTGCATCCCATGTCTCTGGCCAGGCAGGGCCCAGGCAACTAAGCTACTTTAGTGGAGGCATCACACAGGTCAGGACAATATTGAGTGGATTTACAGACCTCAGATATGGCCAAGTTCCAGCCGTAGTGGGCTGGGATCCATGAGGTCAGCAGATGGCTGACCACAGGAGTGGCCATTTCCCAGCCAAAAGAAGTAACACAGCAACGGGTCAGCTGCTCCAGCTTTGGGGTACTTGGCCCTCTCACAGCAAAAGTTTCAGCCTGTGGCTTATGTATTAGTTTCCTAGAACCACAATAACAAATTATTACACTCTGTGTGGCTTAAAACAGAAATCTATTCTCTCAGAGTATGGAGGCCAGAGGTCCAAAATCAAGGTGTCAGCAGAGCCAAGCTCCCTCTGAAGGCTCTAGGGGGAAAGCCCTTCCTAGCTTCTTCCAGCTTCTGGTGGCCTTAGAATCTCTTTGTCTTGTGGCAGCATCATTCCAATCTCTGTCCATGTGTCTCAAATCTCTCTCTCCTTTCTCTTATAAAGATACCTGTCATTGGATTAGGGTCCACCTTAAAACCAGAATGAACTAATTTCAAGTTCTTTAATTGTATCTGCAAAGACCCTTTACCAAATAAGGTCATCTTCACAGATTCTAGGAGTTAGGACTTAGACATATCTTATTTGGGCCACTATTCAGCCCTCTGATACAGCAGGTATCTGGGAATAGAATCAGCCTCTGCCTACCCCAACTCTCCCCCGAACCCTCATCAGAGCCAGGCAGGACATCAAAACCCCAGAAAAGCAGGCTGCAACTCATAGGAGAGAGCCAGCACTGGAGAAGCCTGGTTGACTAAGAGACCAGCAGAGTTAGAGTCAGGTTAGAATAAACCAAGGCACAATTGTTGGGGTCATAACACAAGCTCAAACTATACTGTAGCTGAAGGACTATGGCCATGCCTGTCATTGCATCCAGGTTCCACACTTGCAGCATGGAGGTCCAGCAGATGTTTTTTATGATCCATGCTGTATCCCCCTAGGTAGCTAATGCCCTGAAGGCAACTCTCCACCAGAGAGGACACAAATGGAGAAAGAATTGGGAAATAAATGTCCCAGCCTCACATCCTTTTGGGAAAAATTTTAGTTGTATCCTTCCAAAGAGAGTCCCTAGTAGGTAGATCCTCAATTACTCACTATGGTAACCAGCTCAATAACACATCTATTGGCTTTTCTCCCTTGCTGGTATCATTCTTCTTTGTCCTTTACTTCTGCCTTCTGGAATGTTCTGCCACGTAAACAATTTGCACACTAGTCCTTATTTCAGGCACTGCCTTTGGGAGAACCCAAACTAATTCCATTGGTACTAAAGTGCACCGTCAGGATAGGATTCTGAAACTGGATTATTTACTGGTTCACACAGCAAAATGACTGCATTAATGGTGTAAGGGTGGGCGTTAAAACCCTTTGTACTATGTTACAGCTCACAAATGTTAAGGCTCTTGCCAGCAGTGTATTGGGATAACAAACAGAAGGGAAAATATTGGCTCATGAGGTACTCTAGAACTCGAATATTGTGGTGGCAATGGTAATAATAAGGATAATGGAATTGAATGATTTTTTAAAATATTATCCTAGAAATATTACAGAAAGAAAACAACAGGCTCAGTCAACTACCAACTCAGCATTCCATGAAAGCCGGAAGCCCGCCCTAGAAGCATTTAAAGAGACTCTCATCCCTGTAGCCATAGGGGAGAGTGCTGAAAATTAGGCACAGGGTTTAATTGTAAGAGTGGTAAAACTGAAAAGGATATGGATGCATTTTTAACTAGTTTCTTATGCTGAACCGTGATAGGGAATAAATGGACCCTAAGATCTAGGATGACACACGTAGGAGAATGGGTATGAGAACAATGAACCCTCAGATTCACTTGAAGCCTCTGGCCTGGCTGAGACATCCCCCTCTCCCTTATTCAAGAAAATCTTCCCACCTACAAGATCCAGCCCCTTGAATGGATACTATTCGAAGTCCTCAGCTGAGGTAGACACCTCACAAGATAATGCTTGTCCTCCTCAAGATCTGGCTTAATAAGAAAAAAAGAGAGAAGACACAATAATACGAATGAAAAAAAAAGCATATCCCTGTAGACCCTAAGACATTAAAAATAAGAGAATGTTAAAAAAAAAAACTATGCCTATAAATTTGAAAACTTAGATAAAATAGACAAATTTATTGAAAATCACAAGCTGCCAAACTTTCATTTACATGAAAAATGGGTAACTCAGCCCGGTGCGGTGGCTCATGCCTGTAATCCCAGCACTCTGGGAGGCTGAGATGGGTGGATCACCTGAGGTCAGGAGTTCAAGACCAGCCTGGCCAGCATGGCGAAAACCCCGTCTCTACTGAAAATACAAAAATTAGCCAGGTGTCATTGTACACAACTGTAATCCCAGCTACTCGGGAGGCTGAGGCAGGAGAATTGCTCCAACCCAGGAGGCAGAGAGGTTGCAGTGAGCCAAGATCATGCCACCACATTCCAGCCTGGCTGACAGAGTGAGACTCTGTCTAAAAAAAAAAAAGAAAGAAAGAAAAAGGAAAAAGAAAAATAGGTAAGTAATCCTAGATATAGTAAAGACATTCACAGTAAAAAAAACGTTCCAACAAAGAGAACCACAGGCTCAGACGGATTCACTGGAAAATTCTACTGAACATTTAAGGAAGCAATAATACCAATCCTACATAAACTCTTCAGAAAATAAATGAGGAGGAAACATTTCTGCCTCTGGGAAGATGAAATAGAAGCACTTTTTTCTGTCTTTCCCACTAAGTGGGAATTTAAGTATTAATACAACTAAAAATCTTGGGCATTATATATAAAATAAACATAAGGAGACCCTTGAAGGTGGAGAGAATAAGGCAACCCAGCTAGAGACCCTGGAGCCCAAGGAACGAATGACGGTGAGTTCTCTGGGTGTTATTTTTGCCTCATGTATATCCTAGACTTATTGCTGAAGAGGCAAGCAACCTGGCTGCACCAACGTGCATAGACAAGAAAAACAAAGCGGTCAAACAAAAACCTGCTCTCTCCAGCTAAAATATCAGGAAAAGGGCAGGTTAGCAAGACAGAAAATGTTCAGATAATGACTGCTCTACTCTAGCCAGACATCACAGAAAAAACTATGGCTCTGTCCCCTACCCCCATCCCTGGCCAACACACATGTACACACACAGAAACACACACACACACACACACACACACACCAGCAAAGATCAGGCAATGAGTCTGGACCTCCATTCTTTCCCAGCTATAACAGGCACCCAGTCCCTCCACCATGGTGGTATCAGAAAAGGTTGAGTAGGGAGCTGGGACTTCCATTCCCAGCAGGCAGTAATGAGCCTCTCCCCACCATTGATACCCTTGATAGTATCAGTGGAGCCTAATTTCCACTCCTAATCAGCAGCAATAAGGCAGTCCTTCCCCTCCTCACCAGGGTGGTGTCAGATAAGGTCTAATGGAGGGTCAGGACCTTCACTACCACCCAGTAAAAATGAGGCCACCCCCTTCCTGTGGGGTCAGTGAAGGCCATGTAAGGAATAGTGACAAGAACTCCTACTCATCCTAGCCAAGGAAGTGTCAGGGAAAGCATAGTAGAAAGCCAACCAGCCATTCCTACCCAGGAGTAATGAGAAGCTCTCCCCCTCATGGGTCAAGGGAGGCTGGATGGGGAACCTGGACTTCTACCTCCACCTAGCAGTAACAAATGATGCCACTCTTCCCCTGATGGAGCAGTATCAGAGAAAGCCAGTTAAAATAAAAGGTTTAAACAATATCCAAAGTGTCCTAACACCCAAAATGTCTAGGTTTTGATGAAAAATCACTCATCATGCTGAGAACCATGAAGCTCTCCAACTAAATGAAAAGGACCATCAGGAGATACTAACACTGAAATATCACAGATGTTAGAATTTTCTGACAAAGATTTTAAAGCAGCCATCATAAAAATGTCTCAACAAATGATTACAAACACAGTTGAAACAAATAAAAAAAGAAAAACAGTCTTAGCAAAGAAATAAAAAGCCTCAGAGGAGGAAAAATAGAAAATATAAAGAAGAACCAAAAGGAAATTTTAGAACATAAAAATACAATAACCAAAATTTGAAATCTCAATGGATGAGCTTGAGAACAGTATATAGGAGACAAAGGAAAGAATCAATGCATTAAGAGATAGAGAAATAGATATTAACTAATCTAAACAATATACAGAAGATAGACTTAAAAAAAAAGAAGAAGAAGAATGAGCAAATCCTCAGGGAACTGTAGGACTATAACAAAAGATCTAACATTCACCATTCTTGCCATCAGACTCCTGGAAGCAGAGGGGAAAACAGGGCCAGAAAAAGCATTTAAAGAAATAGTTGCTGAAAATTTTCTTAATTTGGCAAAATACGTAAACCTCTAAATTCAAGAAGATGAATAAATCCCAAATAGGATAAAGCCAAGTATCTCCATACCAAGATACATCATAGTCAGTGTTCTGAAAACCAAAAACAAGGAAAATTATTGAAAGCAATGAGAGAGAAATGATACCTTACCTATAGGGGACAACAATTTGAATGACAAAGGATTTTCCATCAGAAATCATGGAGGCCGGTAAGAAATGGCACATTCTCAAGACAGAAAATAACTAAAAGAAAAAACTGTCAACCCCAAATTCTATATCAGTCAAAAAAGTCCTTCAGGAATGGAGGGGTAATCAAGATATTTTCAAGTGAAGTAAAACAGAGAATTTGTTGCCAGGGGACCTATCCTAAAAGAATGGCTAGGAGTTATTTTCTAAACAGGGAGGAAATAATAAAAAGAAGAAATGTTGGAATGTCAGAAAGAAAGAAAAAGAAACAGAAAAGTAAAGAGATGAATAAATACCCATTTTCCTTCTGTTCTTGAGCACATCCATTGAGATTTCAAATTTTGATTACTGTATTTTTATGTTCTGAAATTTCCTTTTGGTTCTTCTTTATATTTTCTAATTTTTTCTCTGAAGCTTTTTATGTCTTTGCTAAGACTGTTTTCTTTTTCATTTGTTTCAACTGTGTAATCATTTGTTGAGACATTTTTATAATGGCTGCTTTAAAATCTTTGTCAGAAAATTCTAACATCTGTGATATTTCAGTGTTGCTCTCCCTATACATAACTAGTTGACTAGTTGACTCCCTATATATAACAATATAGAGAGGTTAAAAGTAAATGATAGAAAAAGACATATCATGCAAGCATTAATCAAAAGAAAACAGGAGAGGCTATGTTATAATCAGATACAGTATATTTCAGAGCAAAGATAATGACCAAACACAGACAGGGACATTACATAGTAATAAAAGGGTCAATCCACTAAAAAGACACAGCAGTCCTAAATATGTATGTGCAGACCACAGACCTGAAAAATACATAAGGCAAAAACTGACAGAACTGAAATAAAAAATAAATAAATCCACAATTATAGTTGGAAACATTAACATTCCTCTTTTAATAATTGATAGAACAACTAGACAGCAAATCAACAGGATATAGAATTCAACAACACCATCAGCCAATAAGATCCAATTGACATTTTTAGAACACTTCACCCAACAACCCAATAACAGCAGAATACACATTATTTTCTTTTTATGTCACGCATTTTTTTCCATAGGTTATTGGTGAACAGGTGATGTTTGGTTACATGAGTAAGTTCTTTAGCTGTGATTTGTGAGATTTTGGTGCATCTATCACCTAAGCAGTATACACTGCTCTCTATTTGTAGTCTTTTATCCTTCACTCCCTTGCCACGCTTTCCCCCTGAGTCCCCAAAGTTCATTGTGTCATTCTTATGCCTTTGCATCCTCATAAGCTTAGCTCCCACTTACAAGTGAGAACATACAATGTTTGGTTTTCCATTTCTGAGTTACTTCATAATAGTCTCCAGTCTCATCCAGGTTGCTGTGAATGCCATTAACTCATTACTGTTTACAGTTAAGTAGTATTCCATCATATATATATATATATATATATATATATATATATATATATATATATATATATACACACACCACAGTTTCTCTAACCTCTTGCTGATCGACGGCCATTTGGGTTGGTTCCAGGTTTTTGCAATTGTGAATTGTGCTGCTATAAACATGTGTGTGCAAGTGTCTTTTTCGTATAATGACTCCTTTTCCTCTGGGTAGATACCCAGTAGTTGGATTGCTGGATCGAATGGTAATTCTACTTTTAGTTCTTTAAGGAATCTCCACACTGTTTTCCATAGTGGTTGTACTAGTTTACATTCCCACCAGCAGAGAATACACATTATTTTCAAGTGTCCCTGGAAAGTATACCAAGTTAGACCGTGTCCTGGACCATAAAACAAACCTAACAGGCTGGGCACGGGGCTCATGCCTGTAATCCCAGCACTTTGGGAGGTCGAGGCAGGCAGATCACGAGGTCAGGAAATCGAGACCATCCTGGCCAACATGGTGAAACCTCGTCTCTACTAAAATACAAAAAATTAGCTGGGCATGGTGGCGTGCACCTGTAGTCCCAGCTACTCGGGAGGCTGAGGCAGGGGAATCGCTTGAACCCAGGAGGTGGAGGTGGCAGTGAGCCAAGATCACACCACACTGCACTCCAGCCTGGTAACAGAGCAAGACTCTGTCTCAAAAACAAAAAACAAACAAAACAAAACAAAACAAAACAAAAACCTAAACAAATTTAAAATAATTTAAATCATACAGAGTGTGTTATCTGACCACAATGGAATCAAATAGAAATCAATAAAAGAAATATAACTAAAAAACATCCAAACACTTGGAAATTAAACAACAAACTTCTAAATAATTCATGCATCACAGAAGAAATCTCAAGGGAAATTTTAAAATGCTTTGAAAATGAAAATACAACATATCAAAACTTGTGAGATAGAGATAAAGCAGTGTTGAAAGGAGAATGTATAGCACTAAATACTTACATTAAAAAGGAGGGAAAGTCTCAAATTAATCATCTAATTTCCCACTTTAAGCACCTAAAAACACAAAATAAACAATAAACACAGTTTTAACAGAAGAATGAAATAATAAAGATAGGAGCAGAAATCAGTGAAATTGAAAACAAAAACAATAGAGAAAATCAATAAAACAAAAAGCCAATTCTTCCAAAACATCAGTAAAATTGACAGTCCTCTATCAAGACTGACAAAGAAAAAGAGAGAAGACGCAAATTACTGGTATCAGGAATGAAGTAAGGGATATAACTAAAGACCCTGCACGCATCAAAAGGATAATGAAAGAGTGCTATAAATAACCCTACAGACATAAATTTGACAACTGAAGTGAAATGGACCTGCAGGTAACATCCATATATAATGGTCAAAGACTGAAAGCTTTTCCCTTAAGATTGAGAGCAAGATGGGGACGTTCGCTGTCCTTCCTTCTCATCTTTATACTTGAGGGCCTGGAAAGTGCAATCAGGCAAGGAAAAGACATGAAAGGCACATTAGTGGGAAAAGTGAAATAAAACTGTTTCTAGTCACAGATAACACGCTTTTCTATGTAGAAAAGTCCAAGGAAAATACGAGTTACTAGAAATGAATTTAGCAATTTCACAGAAAATATACAGTCAATACAAAAGAAATCGATTGTATTTTTAGGTACTAGCAATAACCAATCAGAAATTTTTAAAAATTTTAAGCACCATTTACAATATTACCAAAATATGTAATACTCAGGCATAAGTCTAAAAAAATTATGTTTTGTGTGGAATCTTTATGCTGAAAACTACAAATCACTGATTAAAGAAATCAAAGACTAAACTTTGGTTACGAATTGGAAGACCCAATTTTCTTAAAATGTCATCTCTCCTCAAACTCATCTATGAATTCAGTGTAATCCCAATGAAAATCCCAGCAGGTTTTTTTTTTAAATAAATTGACAGGCTGAAATATATATATGGAAAGACATTCTAAAATGTATATGGAGGCTGGGTGTGGTGACTCACACCTGTAATCCCAGCACTTTGGGAGGCTGAGGTGAGCGGAACACTTCAGGTCAAGAGTTCAGGACCAGCCTGGCCAACATGGCAAAACCCCATCTCTACTAAAAATACAAAAACTACTTGGGTGTGGTGGCACACACCTGTTGCCCCAGCTACTCGGGAGGCTGAGGCAGGAGAATTGCTTGAACTCAGGAGGCAGAGGTTGCAGTGAGCCAAGGTTGCACCATTGCACTCTAGCCTGGGTGACAGAGTGAGACTTTGTCTTAAAAATAAATAAATAAACAAATAAAATATATATGGAAAGGCAAAGGAGCTAGAATAAACAAAGCAATTTTGAAAAAGAATCAAGTTGGAGGACTCACACATTCTGATGTAAGACTTACATGGAACTATAATAACCAACATGGTGTGATACTGGTGAAGAAACAGACTGTAGGCCAATGGAACAGAATAGAGTACAGATGGCACACTGTAGAACAGGGTGGAGTCAGGCATTTTCCTCATTACAGAGGAAAGGTAGCACTGTTCTGTGCCTTGAGAGGTGGCAGCTTTAGGAGCTGCTAACCCCCTGGCGTGGACAGCAGCAATTTTTGCAGTGGGCACTAGCCACAAATACTTGAAAAGTTTTTTTACAAAGCTTCTTAGGTAATGAACATCAAGGGTTGGGGAGGGGAGGGTGCAAAGCTGGGTGGGAAGATTATGGAAGATGCTGCAATCTAACCGTGGCTTACAGCCTGCTTTATGAGTACATGCTGGCCACGCTTGAAAACTCCTAGATGCAAACTGAGTGAGAATTTGACTGGAGCAGTGGGTGGGGGGCATGGTGCTAGAAGCGCTCACTGAATAGTAGAGAGAAGAACCAGAAAGTATGGCCATTATCATTAGTGTGACCCCAGCACTGTCCTGGAGCCTGGGAAACTTGGGTTATGTTGACTTTTCTGGACCCCCAAAGTGGCTACATAAATCATGGGTGCTCCATAAATATGTGCTGAATGAATAAGCGAATGAATGATCTCATCTATACAAATAGATTTCACTGGTTTATGTAATTCATATAGTGATATGAACATAATCCATGACTTAAACCGAGGGCAGGATCCGGGTCTTTCTCTCTTGGTGTCCCCATGGTGCCTAGTCAAGTGTTTTCTGTACAGATACAATGGCTCCATGCCCAAGACTTAGCACAGAGCAGCACCCACCTTGAATGAGACACATTCACCTATTAGCTCTGATGTAAGAATCCTTGCCAGAGGCCTAAGGCGTTACCCCAAGTTCCTGTCACACCACCTCACCACAGTGACAGCAATTCAGAGTGCTGGTGGGCAGAAGCTTGTTTTCATTAACTGGTAATGAAGAGGAAATTATTTCTCCTCCAAAGTTATGTTTCTGCTGATATCTTGGTGAAATTCCTTCTTTCCCACCTTGTTTATTGGTATGAAATGCTAAAAAGAGACATCATTTATCTACATTTTTTTCTGGATGGATCAGTCAACACTTTAGAGGTCAACCTGTCCTAAGAAAGGTGGTTTTCAGTTAATGGCTAGGAAATGAAGCTTTTCTTGTCCTTTCTGAGCAGTTTTCTTCTTCTTCTTCTTCTTCTTCTTCTTCTTCTTCTTCTTCTTCTTCTTCTTCTTCTTCTTCTTCCTTTTCCTCCTCTTCCTCTTCTTCCTCTTCCTCTTTTTCTTCTCCTTTCTTCTTCTTCTTCTTCTTCTTCTTCTTGTTCTTCTTCTTCTTCTTCTTCTTCTTCTTCTTCTTCTTCTTCTTCTTTTTTGTAAACAAATCAACAACCTTGCAGCTATTTAACTCTTTTTTGGCCACAAAGACGTATCCAGAATGGTCTATGAGGAAGAATGATATATCCAGAATGGCCCAAGACTAAGAATTATCTCTGCAACTCTGGATCCACTGTGAATTATGAAAGCCAGAACCAACTCCAAGAAGAAGGAGAAGGCGTTTGTAACAGGCTCCGGGTCTCTTCTGCCTGCCCAGAGCTAGGCATCAATGACATCTTTTGGCCAGCTGGTCTCCGGGAAGATCTCAGACTTCAGTCTGATGTTCACAGTGGCACTGACTTTTGTGTTGTTGAATAGATGTTGAAATTCCCGTCATGCAGGAAGATTCTGTCAGAATCTAGATGTTGGCCTGACCTCCCCTTCCTGACCCAGCAAAGGTAGGGCCCCCTGAAGACAACAAGAGGAATTCCCACCACCACAATGATGGGCTCCTTGGGGAAATGGAGGTCCTTATAGAACTCTAAGCAGAACATGGCTCTCCCACTCCACATGAAGAGGTTGGAACCCATTTGGAAATAACTGAGATGTAGAAGGCCGTGCTTCCCAAAAACTGTGCTTCCCCAAAACTCAGCCTGACATCTGTGGAAGAGGTTCCTCAGAATGCAAGAGGGCCCCTGCCTGCCAGACAGGTCTGGGACTCCAAGGATAATTGCACCTGCAGGGCTCCAGACTCTGTCAGACCAAACATTGTCCAAAGGTGTGGTCTAGAAAAGAGGTTCTCAGATGATAGCAGGCATTAGAATTATCTGGAGGATGTGTTAGAACACAGATGCTGGGCCCCATCGCCACCAGGTTTCTGATTCAGTGGCTCTGCAGTGGGGCCTAAGAATTGGCGTTTCAAACACAGTCCTGGGCCATGCTGATGGTGCTGATCCAGAACCACACTCAAAGAGCCGCTGGACTAGAAGTGGGGGTTGCTCTGCTGCCCTCCTGCTCTGTCTGGTGGCATCTGAACAGGTTCATCAGACTGAGCCCTGGCTTCTGACAGGGCTTGTCCTTCTCCTTTCCACCCTCAGTCCTGACTTCTTGCTTGGACTTTGATAACACTTTGATGCCAATGGCTCTACATCTCGCTCCTGGCTCTCTGGCTCTGGTCTTGGCTTAGGTCCTGCTTGATCCAGGGATCTCCCTTGACCTCTGTGTCAGGTCCCCTGCCTCTCTGCCCCTCCAAGTCAGGTCAAGGGAATTCCCCACCAGGACAGCTCTTGTCTATCCCTTCGCGGTTCCTGGAAGCTAAAGATGAGCTGGTTACATGAAAATTAACCTTTGGAATCTGTCAGTCCCAGTCTTGAATGATCATACATTCTGGCTGGTAGATAAAACCAATTCCTAACAAAGAGTCTTTGAAATGTTTACAAAGCTCTACATCAACAAACCAAAATGCAAGATAATACAAGACCGGGTCAGGCATAGTGGCTCACACCTGTAATCCCAGCACTTTGGGAGGTCGAGGAGGGCAGATCACTTGATATCAGGAGTTCAAGACCAGCCTGGCCAACATGGTGAAAACCCATCTCTACTAATAATACAAAAATTAGCCGGACACAGTGGCATAGACCTGTAATCCCAGCTACCCAAGGAGGCTGCAGCAGGAGAATCGCTTGAACCTGGGAGGGGAAGTTTGCAGTAAGCCAAGATCACACCACCGCACTCCAGCCTGGGTGACAGAGCAAGACTTCATCTAAAAAAAAAAAAAAAAAAAAAAGAAAAAGAAAAAGAAAAGAAAAACTAAGATGATACAAGACTGAAGATATCTGTGTTAAGTTCACGTGTACCTCTCTTTAATCAATACCTCTGTTCCTGAAATTATTTCCCATGGAATATCAATTAATTCCAGACATAATTCACAAATAGTGGATTTAGGGTTGGGAGTGGCTCCTAACACTTAAGCATTCAGTTTGGCTATGCCCTCAAATAGTCAGTGATCTTCCCAAAGGGGCCAAGAAGAAGCAAAACCCTGGGCTAGGAAGAACATTGTTCTCCTGCGAAGAGAACATTGTAGCCTGGGAAGTTCCCAGGCTAGCCCACTAAGGCCTGTTGACCTCATCCACCATGGGAGATGCAACACAGTTACTACACCAGTGGCTTTAAAGGACCCAGGAAAACAGCATAGAATAAGAAATGTCTTTTAATTTAACTTGTCTGGTGTTGCTTAAGGAAAAAGGGGTTCAATTACTGGCAAGTGAGAAGGTTGGTGCAGACTTGCATGAGCTCCCGAAGGGACCTCCGGGGCTGTGTGGCTGTGGCACTGAGTCTTCATTCCGCCTCATTTCCCCCCAGAACTTATGACTTTAATTTACCTGAATAGAAGCACATCCAGGCGCTGCGCCTGTGTCCAGCTGCTGAGACAGGGAAAGCGGGGTTCTGCAGGTGGCACTGGGGGTGCAGGGGGAAGAGGGAAATTGGCAGGGGGAGATATATTCTTAAGAGAACTGGAGAGTGGTTGGAGGTGAGTTTAGAAAGGGTGTGTGGCCAGGACGGAGAGGGGAGAAGGTGGGGAAGGCAGCAGGGCAGGAAGAGGTCCTGAGAGGAGAGAGGAAGAGGAGGAGGAGGAGGGGGAGAGGAAAGCCAGGACACTGAGCTTCCCCAGGCAAGGAGGAGTTACATATGAGAAATGGGGTGACATCATGTGTCTTCCTGAGGGGCAGGAAGAGACTCTGGGGAAGAAATGTGTGTTGAGCGATTGATCTTACAAAGTCCAAACTTCTCTGGGAATTCAGGGCATTTGTGCTGGCATTCCTGGAGGTGGAAGTGGGGAATCTGAGTCCTATTCTCTGCCTTTCAGTAGCTTAGAGCTTATTAAACTCCTTCCTGTCCCCTCACCCCAACACCCTTATCAGTTCCTGTCCCCCCCACCTCCTACAAAAAGTTATGACTGTGAAGCGTTAAACCAGCTCAGGACAGTACCTGGCAAGATTAAGATTCCTGTAGCCCAACTCTAACCAAATCCCACTCCTACCCCAACCCTTTCGGAAAGCTGCAGCGGCCCCTCCTACCTGCCAAGCTAAGGCCCTTGCTCAGGTGGCTCGCAGCTCTCTAAAGGTAACCTGGCTGGGCTGCTCCCCCTTCAACCCTCTCCCTGCCAGCATCTTCGACCTGAGCCCAGACCAAATGCCTCTGCCTTCCTCTCCCGCCTCGCCCACTCGCCGCACTGGGGGCATCCTCTCCTCTCTTTCAGCCATGGAGCATTGTGTGTGACCCTAAGGAGGCTCAGTGACTGAGTAGCCCCCTCACTCTCCCCCAGGGCCCACCTCTGAGCCACATTCCCACCTTCACGTCACATCCTCTCCCCGCCCCATACACACATACACACAATCCCACTTCCATGCTGCCCTTAGACCTGGGCAAGGGTCCCTGCTCTGGTCCTCCTGCTACAGAGGGCATCACCGTGGCCCTTGTCAATTACACTCCCTCCACGCCCCACCCCCCGTCACAGGGCAAGGAGGAACTTCCACTCGATTTTCAAACCCATGCTCTTGGAATTCTTTGCCCAGGAGGCCAGAGCCCACTTCTAGACCTTCCTCTTGAGTGCAGCCTGTGCCTGTGCCAGAGTGTGCACCCAGGCATGGGGCAGCCACAGGACAGCTGTCTGTGGGAGGTCTGCACAGAGCCGACGGTGTTGCATGTCTGTCACAGCAGAAGGCCCCTTGCTGTGTGGGATGGGCAGAATATGGTGCGGACGGACACACCAGGGTGCAAGGCCAGAGGCAGACACTCTTGTCATAGCGTGTTCCATACAGAACTCCGAGGAGTGGAAAGTTGTGAATGCAAACCTGACCTTCCAGGTCTTTCCAAAGGTATATTTGTCAAGGTGGGAGGCTAGACCATGATTGACTTAACAATGGATTCATTTGGTTGATGGCTTTAAAATACTTGACTCATGGCATAAGGCCTCCCTTGAGTCTTGCCCTGGGCCCTGCAAATGCTGGGGTGGGCCTGTCCAGCTCCAAACTTGATTGACTTATGCGGGGTTTCTGAAGCTTTCACAGAACAGGGGAGAGGGTGACTTTGCCTATCACAAACCCAAACTTCCTAGAATTTCTTTTTAACCAGCTCTGCTCTTCCGCCAAATTTCCTCTCCTTACTGCAACCAGCTCATCTCTCCTTTCTCCCTAGAAACCGTATCCTTGACTAGCCCCTCCAGGCTTCCTAGATCCACCCTCCCCACTTCCCCAACTTCATGATCTTACAAAACCCTCTCAGCTCCCATCCTCTCCCTGAACAAAAGCCCTGTTTCTGGATAAACAGCTCTCAACAAAGGAGGAGCCTGTCCTTGGCCAAAATGGCTTGTTCTCCCCATTTGTCCTACTTTCTGTTATTACAATCTACGTTCCATCAAGCTATGTCTTTGAGTCATCTCTCTCACTAGACAGTGAGCTCCTTGAGGGCAAACACTGTGTCTGGTTTGGCTCTGTGACTCTTCCAGCACCTTCTACTTTGAGAGCATTCATGCAAGTTTTCATGGGAGATATCACGGAGGAGTTGGAATCGGAGTTAGGCCTGAAGGGTAGGTAGAATATGGAAAATGAAGTGAGTAGAGGCAACTGGAGATTCCTTCTCTCCTGTGGGCAGTAGTGAGCAATTAAAGATTCTTGAGCTAGAGCAAGACAACACTTTAGAAAGACTGACGTCAGGAACAGTGAGATGCAGGGAAAAACTGAGAGCAGTTTGGGGGCTGTTGCCACAGCACTGAGTGTTAGAGGAGGCAGGAATGCAACGGCAGGACAAATAGATGCAGGAGGCAGTACCTTAGGCACAGCAAAATAACTTACCCGAGGCCACACAATTCAGAAGCAGAGCTAGAACTCAGGTTGCCCAGTTTTAAAGCTGTACAGTTTCCTCCATACTGAGTCACAGAGGAGATGAGGCTAGAACTGAGTCCTGAAGGCTGCTGAGGAGGAAGTTTGCCAGCAGGCATGGGCACTGGGCACTCCACCAGGGTCACTACTGGGTTCAACCAGGTGCACCCTGGAGGCCACCGCTTTCTGCAGGAGATTCTGGCCTTCCCACTTGGGAGGAAAGTACAGACCCTGACTTAGGCAGGAAGGGAGGGTTGAGAAGCACCCCATGGGGAAGAGATTCATGTTAGCTCCTTTCCCTGGGAGGAGGCAGGGAGAGGTGATGCTTACACATCCAAGTCCCTGGGTACTGGCTGAGGGATCAGGGGAGCTGCGGTAACTCCAGACACCTGCATGGTGCTTCACGGCTTCCACAACATCGTAAAGTGTTATTCCTGACCACTCCACTTTCCCCCCTCTCTACCCAGTGTATCAGATCCACCTTCCAAGGCACTTCTGGGAAGGCTTCAACCCTCAGACTTCCCTGCCCAGCATCCACACAGCCCTGTGCTTTCGCCGTCATTGATCACTTGCTCCCATCTGCAGATAACAGCTGTGTGATGTTGGCCAAGTCACTTAACCCCTTTGTGTCCCAGTTTCATTGTGTAAACAGGAGATGATGAAAGCATTGTCCACCGGTTTTTCGACCCCAGCCAGCCATGATGATGATAATGGTGATGATGCCTTGTCCTGCTGGTTGATTGTGGCTCTGTCTCCCCCACCACTCTGCAAATTCCTTGAGGACAAGATAGGAAGCACCTCTGGCTTGTCTGTATCACCTTGGGGACCAGAAACTGGCACGCACCGCTAGGTCCATTTATTCAATCCGTGAGCACTTCTGGAGCACTTGCTATGTGTCAAGCTCTGTGACAGGATCTGGGTTTAGAGATAAATAAGAAGCTCGGGGGTGGGTGGGGGTGTCCAGAGTTAAGGCAGACACAGACCATTATATAAAGAGTATGGAGAGGGTCACAGGCGCTGGGCTGAGGCCGGGTGAACATAGCCAGGCAGGAGGGAAGAAGAGGGCTTTCTCAATCAAATGAAAGCTGATTGAGATGAATCCAGTGGTCCCATCTGACCCCTACAGCAATCACATTTAAGGATGAGGAGATGACAACTCAGCCGAGAAAATCCCACTGTTAGTACGCCATGGGCTGGGGCTGGGACCAGAGCCCCTCACTTCTCAGGGTTGGGGGCTCACAGCGCATGCCTTAGAGATCCCCACTTCCACTGCTTCCCAGCCTTGGCCTCTGCCCAGAGTTGTGCAAATTAAAGGACTTCCGGGCAACATCCATTCATTCCCTGGTCTCTATCCTCCGCCCGCCCCTGCGCTCCAGGGTATTTTTAGTTCTGGGCAGCCAGGCCTGGTGAGTGATTGGCAGCAGGCAGAGCCCACGTTTCCGAACCCTCTGTGTTGCTTCTGGCTCAGCATGAGAGGTGGCTGGGCCCTAGGAGAGGGCTTAGGCATACCTGGCACCCAAGCCCACAGCTGCCTCATTGTCCCTGGGGGAGGAGCTGGGCTGCTGCCACTGACCCGAGGCTGGGAGCATTCTTTCCTGCTGATTCATCATGGGGAATGTTTTGGGCCCAGCTGGGGTGGGGCAGGGGCACTGGGGGGACATCTTGGACACGGGCAGCCAGGAGTGGATGGCAGGTCCCTGGCAGCAGGGTCATTAAGACCTGGCTGTCACCCAGGATCGAAAAGGTCCATCTTGACATCCTAGCTCTATCACACTCTGCCTGTCCAGGCTTATTCTTACTTGCACATCTGCCTCCCCCACCAGACTGGGAAGGCCCCCTCCAGCGTCTAGCACTCCAGCACCCTGTCTAGCATGTAGGAGAAAATCAATAAAGGCTTGTGGGATGAATGAACCTTTGGAAGGACGTTTAGGCAAGGTGGGGGCAAGAGGGGGAACCAGGTTGGGCAGCTGTGGGCCTAGGGAGGAAACCGGGAGGCTGGAACCCTCTGCCCATTTTACAGATGGGGCCAGTGAGGCTAAGGGCAGGACCAGGTCTAGGGGAAAGAAACTGGGGGCTTGGACTGGGGTTCAGGCACCTAGGTGCTCAGTTCAGCTGATGGGACTCCTCTCTGTCAGCCATGTCCACATTTCTTTAATTCTACAGTCCCTGCTCCCTGCACTAACACCCTCCTCCCGTGAGTCTGACAAGGGCCAGGACTGCATCATTCAGCTCTGTGAAGGGGTTCTCCCATTCACTGTGTATTGCCTGGAGGAGCAAGTTATGTCGCCTGGGGCTCAGTGTTCCCAGCTGCACAATGGGCAGCGCAGAGTTTCACACGGAGGGCGGGGGGGGGGGGGGGGGCGGTATTCAGTAAACTCTGGGTGACTCGCCTGTTCCTGCAGGAGAGCACCGCTGCACCGCGCCACCTCGACCTCTCTGAACTGAGCCCCGGCCTCCCAGAAAGGGCGTCTACATTGTCCTAAGTGACCGAGCTCGTGAGATTCGGCCCCTGTGACAGCCGGGCGCTCCCGTGCGAAGGGTGCTGTGCCGGGGGCCCTGGCACCCACCAGGACTCACAGACTGGGACTCTAGGTGGGCGTCATTACCTTGTTCTGCAAAAGAGGAAACTGCCTGGGAGAGGGACTCCCGAGGCCGCCGCGGCCCTCCCTGCAAAACAGCCGCGGGCCCAGCGCCGCCCTTTCCCGAGAGCTCCGCTCCCCGCGACCCCCCGCCGCCCCCCCGCTCCCCCCGCCCCCCGGGACTTCCCGGCCCCGCCGGCTGCGGCTGGGCGCCCCCGCCACCTGGCCTGTGTCCCGACGGGGGGCGCCGCGCGGAAGGCCGGGCGGGGCGCCCGCGGACTCCAGGCCCGCCCGGGGCGGGGCCTGCGGGGCCTCCTCCGCGGCCAGCTCGGGGCTGGGGGGCCGCGGGCGGGAGGCGGATAAAAAGGCCCCAGGGCGCCCGGGGAGGGAGCCCGTTAGCGCTGCTCCGCCGCGGCGCCCGCCCAGCCCCGGACTGTCCGCGCTCCATCTGGTGAGCCCCCGCCTGGCCGCGCGTCTGCCTCTTGGTCTGCCTCTTGCTGTCCCATCTGTCCTTCTGTCTCTCTGTGAGTCTGCAGGCCTCTGAGGGTTCCTGGAGACTGGGCCTAGGGTGCATGGGGGATCCCTTGGACCCTCAGCCCGGCCCTCCAGTCGCTCACCAACCTGCTTCCAACTGGACAAGTGACCACGCTGGGGAGCTTGGCCCAAGGCCCGCCCTGAGTGGTGCGCCCAGGCCTCAGGGGTGCCTGCGTGTCTTGTTTGTGTACACGCCGTGTGTAACCATTGCTCTGCCTTCTTCCAGGGAGGAGACAGGGAAGGGGCAAGGCGGGTTCAGATGTCACACTTACGACTTGGGGGACAACGAACCAGGGCTGATCTGGGCTCTCCAACTATCCAGACCGGAGCTGATTATGTTGGGGGGTCGGCGTGTGACAGAAACACCGAAGGGAAGGGGGCAGAAGACTTCAAGCCCCCTCTTTCCTAGCCTGGACAGGTACAGCTCAGAGACCATTTGTTGGCACTGCTTCAGGTCCACAGAGTCAGTAACCCCGGGGAGGCTACAGGGCTGAGAGGAGGCTGCTGAGAAGAGCTGCCCAACGGCAGAGAAGGGATGAGCCATCCTAAAGTTGCTGCACCCTCAGGACAGCACCCCCCATGCTCTCTCTTGAATACTCGGGCATTTGCTGTCTTCAGCCCTCCCTACCTGCGCTAGGTCAGGCCAGGTCCCAGCATCTCCTGGCACACCTGGAGCAGGTGCCTCTGTGCCTCAAGCTGGCAAGATCTTGGATCTGTCACTCGGCATTCAGCGAAGAGCACCCTGCCCAGTGCCCTCACACCACGGCCTGGGTCATAAATCCACCAGAACAGGGTGGAATTTCAGTCGGCTCCCGGCCTTCCTTTCCTCCTCCCCCTCTTCCAACATCCATTCTTGGTGGTTTTGAGAGTCCGGCGTCTAGCCAGGCTGCTTGGGTTTGAATCCTGGCTGGGCAAGTTACTTGACTTCCCTGGACCTTACCTTCTCATCTGTAAAATGGAGATAAGTATTTAATCCGTATTTTAAAATGTATAGTTATTATCCTCACTTCCCTCCCCTCCTCTTTCCCTTCCACCTTCCTTCCCTCTTCTGTCCCCTTCTCCTTTATTTGGGAAAGTAACGGCCACTTTCGAGGCCGCTTCCTTCTCTGAGGGAGGATGCACAGCTTGGTCCTCTGTGCTCAGTGCTAGGGGAACAGACAGGTGGAGTCTGGTTGTGGGGTCAGGAAGCAAACACACAATGTGCTTTGTGGAAGGCTTTGTGGGAGGGCTTAATGGAGGGGGTGGCATTTGAGCTGGCCTTGTGGGATGTGTAGGAGTTTAACAGTCTTAGATAGAGGGAAAGGAACAGTGAGAGCAAAGGCTTGGAGGCTGGGAGACGAAGGCTATAGTCTGGTGTGAGCAAAAGCTCTCGGGGGCCTATAGTGGGCAGGAAGGCCAATAAGAGGGACTCTCCCTGCATCTAACTCTTGGTTCCCGCTGCCGTCCCCCCACCTTCCAGCAGCGTTCATGGAAGGGAGCTTCCCTGGCCCAGACCCCAGGGTCCTACAGCAGAAGCCCTCCCATGCCCTCAGGTTGGTCCCTTGGAGAGGAAGGAGCTGCTGGCCTGGGACTGTCCACAGCCTGTAACAAGACCTCCTCAGTGTGTCAGGGACTTCAGCCAGGAGCCAAACAGCAGACCTGCCCAGCCTACCCTGGGCCCCATCAGAGCATGTCGGATAGGGGGGCTGTCTAGTGCCACCCCCTCATTTTACAGGTTTTTCAGCTGAGACTCAGAGAAAGGAAAATATTTGACTCCAGACACAATTTGGCGGCAGAGATAGAAGCATTCCAACTCCTGGGGGTGGTAGAGAAGGTGTGGTTGTCACTCAGCCCAGACCCATGTGACCACTGGGTCCTAATAGCTGAGGGACCTGAGGCCGATCTGTCCCATCCTTTCTTGCCATCTGGGGAGTGGTTTGGCTCAGTCCCTGGCTGTCTACCTCCTACTCCAGGGAGCACGGAGGAGGGAATGGGAAACAATGGAGAGCACTCTGCTCATGGGACAGCCAGCTGGGAGCCCCCACAAGCCTCTGAGTGACATGCAGAAGACAGTGTTTCAGTCTGGAAAGGAAGCGTGGGAGGGGTCAGAGGGGGAGAGCTGCAGAGGTGAGAATGGGAAGGCAGCCCCTGCACAGCCTCAGGGAGTGGAGAGGGGAGCATCTAGGCTCTGCAGTGTGGGTGGAGGGAAAAGGGGCAAATCTAGAGAAGGCTGCAAAGAGGAGTACCAAGGACTTGCAGTTGAGATCGGACGTGGCCTCCATTTCCTTCTTTGTACAGAGAGGAGGTGGGACCAATCTAGACCAACGGTTCTATCGTCGCTGTCACAGTAGCTGTTAATAATAGTTCATTGTTGGCCGATGTAGTGGCTCACGCTGGTAATCCCGTCACTTTGGGAGGCCAAGGCGGGTGGATCACCTGAGGTCAGGAGTTCAAGAACTGATGTGGTGAAACCCTGTCTCTACTAAAAATACAGATAAATTAGCTGGGCATGTTGGCGCATGCCTGTAATCCCAGCTACTTGGGAGGCTAAGGCAAGATAATCACTTGAACCCTGGAGGCGGAGGTTGCAGTGAGTCGAGTTTGTGCCATTGCACTCCAGCCTGGGTGACAAGAGCAAAAATCTGTCTCAAAAATAATAATAATAATAATAATAATAATAATAATAATAATAATAATAGTTCATTGTTACTGAAGGCTTGCTCTTCTAAGGATTTAATGTTTCTTCACTTAATCTTTACAAAAATCCTATGAGGTAGTTACTATTATTATCCCCACTTTACAGAGGGAGACACTGAGGCAGGGAGAAACTAAATCGCTGGCCCAAGATCACTTCCAAATGAACTGGTGGAGGCAGGATTCGAACCCCAGCAGTCTGACCGCCCAGCCTGTGCTCTCAAGCACTGTGCTGCCACCTCCCATCCATGCAACCACAGATATGAATGAGTGCCACCTACACACCTGACACTATTTTGGGAACTGGGGACACAACACATCCCCACTCCCATGGAGCTTCATTCCCAGAACTTGTTTAGTGCACTTTTAGGAGCCCACTCCACCCAGCCCTGCTGGCCAAGGCCGTTGAGAGGGAGTAGGGCAGATGCCATCCATGGAAGTGAGAGTGGCAGGGGCCTGTGAGAGCCTCCCCACTCAAGCGGATGAGCTGCATGATTCCCCAAGAGGAGCCATGGCCGTGGAAGAGGCAGGTCTCATCAGAACGAGCTTTCTTAGCCCATCTTCTCCATCCCCTGTTCCAGGTCGGCCTTAGCTTCCATCGGCAGCAGAGCCTTGGGGTGGAGGAGCTTCAGCTTCGGTGGCTCCAGAGGTCTCTGACAGCTCTAACCAGCTGAGACTCTCTCCTCTATGCCCTTCTCCACCTGCTGGTCCCGGGACCAAGGCTGCTGTGTGAGGGGGAGAGGACCTGCCCCCAGCCTCATCCCCTCTCTAAGGACCCAAAGAACGTCTGATTACAGCCTCCTGGAGACAGGGGCCCTCTCTGTTTACCGCCTGAAACCCTCCCCTGGCCCCTCGCTTCCTACAGGATGAAGGCAAACCCTCTGTGTAGTACACATGGCCCTTGATCATTGGCCCCAGCTCGTCCCTCCATCTCTTTCCCCTCCAAACCCCCACACTGTGGTCTGGGGGTAAGAGAAGGGCACTTCCTGCTCTTGCACAAACTCACCTCTTTCCCTCTTTCCTAATCCTCTTCTCTGTATCTCGAATGCCCCTTTTCTCACCCAGGAGAATCTTATTTGCCCAATAAGGCTCAGGTTAAGTGTCCCTTCTTTGAAAGGCTTCCCTAATTCTTCTTGCTTGAGCTTCATGAAGGTAGGGAGGGTGTTCGATGTCTTAATTTCTGTGTCCCAGCACCTGGCCTGAAGCAAGTATTCCAAAAATGTGTATTGAATCTACATGAATCATACGCCTAGATGGATGTGAGGCTATCACAGGGTATCCAAGCTGCAGGAGGGATCCAGATGATATGTGGTTCCATCTCCTCACTTTAGAAATAAAGAGTCAGGGCCGGGCACAGTGGCTCACACCTGTAATCCCAGCACTTTGGGAGGCCAAGGCGGATGGATCACGAGGTCAGGAGTTCAAGACCAGTGTGGCCAAGATGGTGAAACCCCGTCTCTACTACAGATACAAAAAAATTAGCTGGGCGTGGTGGTGGGCGCCTGTAATCCCAGCTACTCAGGAGGATGAGGCAGAGAATTGCTTAAACCTGGGAGGCGGAGGTTGCAGTGAGCTGAGATTGCAGCACTGCAGTCCAGCCTGGGCGACAGAGAGAGACTCTGTCTCGAAAAAAAAAAAAAAAAGAAAGAAAGAAAGAAAAAAGAAAGAAAGAGTCAGGACCTAGAGAGTTGAAGAGACTTGCCCAAGCCATGCAGCCAATGAGTGGTGGAGTCCTTGATGCCCATCTAATAGCCCTTTCTGCTCCAGCCTTCCATGTGCCTTCTAGGTGAAGGCGGCACTTCACACATTTGATTAGGGTGCTAGGAACATCAGAAGGTGGTGGCAGTGTCCCTGGGGTAGATAGTCTTGACCTGAGGGCACCCTGGGGGCATCCCCGTGACTCAAATGGTGGACCACCTCGTCTGCCTACACATAAGATTTTAGGTGTATAAGAGCTGCTGTTTATTGTGTACTCACCAATGCTAGGACTTTGCTAAGCACTTTCCATACGGTGTTTTATTTAACACTCAACAACACCGTGAGATGGAGATTACTATCCCCATTTTACAGATGAGGAGACTGAGACTCAGTGAGGTTAAGTTTAAACTTCCTCAAGGTCATGGCGAATGTGGTGGATTTGAACCAAATCAGCTAACCTGGCCCAGACTCAATTAATGCCACTGTGTGTGTGTGTGCGCGTGCACACACACACACATTTGAGGGGGGTTTTCTTTCCTTTGTCTTGCCAGGAGCTGCCAAATTGCTGCAGAGGTCTGAGATCTGGGTAGAGGTGGTGATCACTGTCATGTTTACTCATTCCTCAGGTATCTTGGCCTCAGCTGTCCTTGAAGTCACCATGGCGTGGTCCCCACCAGCCACCCTCTTTCTGTTCCTGCTGCTGCTAGGCCAGCCCCCTCCCAGCAGGCCACAGTCACTGGGCACCACTAAGCTCCGGCTGGTGGGCCCAGAGAGCAAGCCAGAGGAGGGCCGCCTGGAGGTGCTGCACCAGGGCCAGTGGGGCACCGTGTGTGATGACAACTTTGCTATCCAGGAGGCCACAGTGGCTTGCCGCCAGCTGGGCTTCGAAGCTGCCTTGACCTGGGCCCACAGTGCCAAGTACGGCCAAGGGGAGGGTGAGTGACTGGTGCCACCTAGTGGGATGGCAAGGAGATGGTAACAGTCTTCTTGGGCTGGGCTCACTGACACCCACCCATCCTTTAATACCCTGCTCATGTGACCTCCTCCACACGGCATTTCCTGAGTGCCTCAGCTGCACATGGCCCCTACTCCCACCCTCCCATTCTCTCTTGTAATAAGGCCACCGCCGTCACCACCACTAAACTCTAAGTTCCTTGAACATAGCAATTGGCACACAGTGGGTGCTTAGAGAATGTTGAATGAAAAAATGGGCAAACAGGTAGGTCTGATTCCTAGAGCTACCCGGCATTTTCCAAAAACAGATTCTCTAAGAGCCAGCACCCAAAGGAGGTAGCAGGCAGGGTTATAAATACTTATTCCCCAGGAGACCCAAACTTCCTCCTCCCTGCCACTTTCTCCCAGGGTTTGGAAGAGGTGACTTGGTAAGTGTGGGGTCCTATGCAGGAGGCAGAGCCTGTGACCTGCCTCTCTGTGCCATCTTTGAGCATCACCTCCACTCCACAGGACCCATCTGGCTGGACAATGTGCGCTGTGTGGGCACAGAGAGCTCCTTGGACCAGTGCGGGTCTAATGGCTGGGGAGTCAGTGACTGCAGTCACTCAGAAGACGTAGGGGTGATATGCCACCCCCGGCGCCATCGTGGCTACCTTTCTGAAACTGTCTCCAATGCCCTTGGGCCCCAGGTGAGGAGGCTGTTCAGGCTCTGGTCTGAGCCAAGGGCTGGGTCAGAGAACAGAGAGCCTCCCAGAAGACGGGCCTAGAGGATAAGCGAGGGGAAAGGGTGCAGTCTGCACTGAGCATCGTCCCCAGGCCGCCGACTCCTGAGTGTGCCCTGCAGCAGGTGCATAAATAGAGGGCCCCAGCCTGAGGCAAGGCAGGCCAGAGGACCAGAGCTGACCCCACTGGGAATCGCAGAAGCTGCTCCCGTAAGGGAGACAGCATTGGGTAAGGGGCTCCCTCATCCATGAGGCCTGGCCACAATTGCTGCCTCTTCCCAGCACAAACAACCCTGAGCTAAAAACAGCCCAAGCCAAACAACAGGAGCGGGCAGGGCAGGGCTCTGCTGCCAGGCAGCCTCCAGCCTCAGGACAGCTGGCCATGGCCACTGAATGCAGCGTGTTGTGATGGGGACTCTGTACTGGTCTAAGTCATCCCAGGGCTAGGGTTGGGGGTTCTTGTGGGCCATAGGATCCTGCTGTGGTCTCAAGCAGCTGGTCTATGCCCATCTCAGCTCTCTCAGGGTGGTACAGAGAAGGCCCTTCCATGCCCAGCAAAAGCCTCCCAAACTCCAAGGGCTCCCATCCTGATCCCAGCGGGGGCCAGATCTGCCTAGTTCTCTCCAATTTGACAAATTCGAGGAACTGAGGGAAAGGGCTTAGACAAGCTGAGGTTCTGCCTTGCACTTACTCTGTGGCCTTTGATAATGCCTCCCCTTCTCTGGGCCTCAGTTTCCTGGCCTGTTCAATGACCGGGCTGGGTGGGATGGTCTCGAAAAGCTCCAAGCCCCAGCCTTTCTGCATGAAGATCTGCAGCAGGCTCCACTGGAGGAGCAGGAGCCCCGAGGCCCACAGGTGACTGTGCACCCCGCAGGGCCGGCGGCTGGAGGAGGTGCGGCTCAAGCCCATCCTTGCCAGTGCCAAGCAGCATAGCCCAGTGACCGAGGGAGCCGTGGAGGTGAAGTATGAGGGCCACTGGCGGCAGGTGTGTGACCAGGGCTGGACCATGAACAACAGCAGGGTGGTGTGCGGGATGCTGGGCTTCCCCAGCGAGGTGCCTGTCGACAGCCACTACTACAGGTAGGAGGGCGGCTGGCGTAGGCCCCACAGGAGGCAGGGTTGTGGGGCAGGGACTGAGTGTGTGTTCATGTGCGTGCATGTGATGTAGGGTGTGTGCATGAGTCTGAGTGTGGACTCATGTGAGGGGCAAGTAAGTATGCACACAGGCGAGTGTGTGATGTGTGTGGCATGTGGGACCTCGCAGAGTTCAGTGAGTACTGACTGGCAGTGGTGTTGTCTGTGGCAGGACATCCAGCAGGTGTTGGGATTGGGGGAGAGAAAACAGGCCCTACTGAGGAATGTGCCCAGATTTCTTGCTTCACGGGTGCCTCAGAATAATAAACAGGAAAGTGAATAAGGAGGACCTTCAGGATCCTGGGAAATACCTAGAAACAGTCAGAAAACAAACACTGCACTCTCGAATTATGTAAACAGAATTAACTAGGTACAGAACGCCCCCCCACCCCCCGCCCCCGGTGAAAACAGTTGAACATAAAACCGCGTGTCCTTGGTTAAAACACTAGACTTTCCTGCAGATACTTGCAGTGACACCCACGTGTAGAGTTTAGACAAACTGTTCTGGCCTCAGCTCAGCCAGTGACTGGCGTTAGGGCTTTGGGGAGGGCCTCTGAGCCTCCATCCTCAATTCCACTGCGAATATCCCAACGCTTCCCTCCTGAATTTCCTCAGCTCTGATCAAGCCAGGCTGTGACTGGGTTGTGTGTAAGTGAGGCGTGGGGTGGGGCACCTGGAGAGAGGAGACATAAAAATATTCTGTCAGAAACAAGGCGGAACTGTCACAACTGATTGCATCAACCAGTAAACGACAGCCACAGTCATGGTTCTGCCAGATCCGTGTCAGGGAGGACTTGTGTGTTTCCCATCAAGTGAGAAGTCTCCCGTAGTACGTCTGAGTCATCTGCCACCCCAATCAGTTTGATCCTGCTTCCCTAAAGGGTTAGAAGGCCCTTGTTGCAGTGACTTAGAGGAACCCCGTTCTGAGGAAACAGGGGTGCTGGTCAGCCTCTGGCTCCATCCTTGGGGATCCTGGGATGCAGCCTGACTCCCCCTGCCTGGTAATTGCACACCTGGGTCTCGCTGACTTGCCTGCCACCCATGAGGAGGGCAGGCCTGATGGTAGCCTGGGTGTCTCTGGGCGGGCCGCCCCCACCAGCAAGGCCTTCACCTCCCACCTGTCCCCAGAGGGCCCCTTCTCTTGGGCCCTCCCTAAATGCTCCCCTTCCTCTGGACTTCGGAGAGGGCAAGCCTGATCCACCTGCCCCCACTCTAGGACTGGCCGAGGGACCTTGCTTGCCTTCCTTGTAAAATGGTTATTTGTGAGGTGGCCACCCCGTCAGGGCTGCTGTGAAGCTCAGCATTGAAATCAGATTAGTGAATAAGTTTACAAAATGTAAAGTCCTGTGCAAACTTAAGGACAACTATGAGGAACCAGGTGGCAGGGGGTGGGACTTCCACACCCCTTCCACCTCCTATCTGTTTTCTCCCATAACAGGAAAGTCTGGGATCTGAAGATGAGGGACCCTAAGTCTAGGTGAGGAGCAGCACCCTAGAGGGAGGAGGCAAAGGGGTGTGGCATGAAGGGCCTCTATCCCATCCCCTACCCTCCCCTTCCCTCCTTTCTACCTTGGCCTCCCTTAGTCCTGAAGCTCTTCCCTCAGCCCTTCCTCCACCCTCAGTCTCCCTTGTCCTCTAGGCTGAAGAGCCTGACGAATAAGAACTCCTTCTGGATCCACCAGGTCACCTGCCTGGGGACAGAGCCCCACATGGCCAACTGCCAGGTGCAGGTGGCTCCAGCCCGGGGCAAGCTGCGGCCAGCCTGCCCAGGTGGCATGCACGCTGTGGTCAGCTGTGTGGCAGGGCCTCACTTCCGCCCACCGAAGACAAAGCCACAACGCAAAGGGTCCTGGGCAGAGGTGAGCCCTGGGCATCCTGCACTCACACCACAGCTTGGAGGCACGGGCGGGACACTGCCTGGTGGGGGGTGCGGGGAGGTCCAGGACACGCAGGAGAGAGGAACCAGACTGGGAGGAGGAGAGTGAATCACAGAACTGTAGAACCTTGGAATGTATTTAAAAGGGATCATTTATAGCCCTACCATAAATGGAAAGCTGACATCACCCGCCTTGAATAGAAGGTGACCGTAAAAACAGTAATTAAATCCTAACTACATTCCACTGAGGGCTGGTACTGATCCTGAGCCTGCTCCTGAGCCTGCTCCTTTGTTTTAAAGAGGAGATGAGCAAGTGCTTATGAGGTGGTAGAGACGCCTCAGTGCCAAACTGAGATGCCCTCATGAGGTGGTACAGATGCCGTGAGGTGGTACAGATGCCTCAGCGCCACACTGAGATGGCCTCGTGAGGTGGTACAGACACCTTAGTGCCACACTGAGATGGCCTCGTGAGGTGGTACAGATACCTTAGTGCCACACTGAGATAGCCTCGTGAGGTGGTACAGACACCTTAGTGCCACACTGAGATGGCCTTGTGAGGTGGTACAGATGCCTTAGCGCCACACTTGAGACGGCATCCTTGATGAGGCTGTGGGGGTGATTGGTCATTGAAGAAATGGAGATCAAGAAAAACAGCTTATTCAGGGTGACAGCTATGGGAAGTCAGAAGCAGGACTGGAACTCCCCATCCTTGGCTCTGGCCACCGCCATGGAACTTGAAGGAGCCCCGTTGGGGATCCCGCTGTGGGGGCTCAGCCCCTGCTGGTGCCTCCTCCTCAGCCGTCCCTGAAGCAGGTTTCTCCCAGCAGGAGCCGAGGGTGCGCCTGCGCTCCGGGGCCCAGGTGGGCGAGGGCCGGGTGGAAGTGCTCATGAACCGCCAGTGGGGCACGGTCTGTGACCACAGGTGGAACCTCATCTCTGCCAGTGTCGTGTGTCGTCAGCTGGGCTTTGGCTCTGCTCGGGAGGCCCTCTTTGGGGCCCGGCTGGGCCAAGGTGAGTGAGACAGCCTGGGAGGGGTTAGAAGGCCTGGATATGCCACTGGTCCATGTCTTGAAGGCCCTGGGGTGACAGGGCCAGGACAGAAAGTTATCCCCCTCTGTGAAGGGGAAGCCACAAGTGTGGGGTTACGGAGATGGAGCCTCGCACACAGCACCTCTCTCCCCATCTAGGGCTAGGGCCCATCCACCTGAGTGAGGTGCGCTGCAGGGGATATGAGCGGACCCTCAGCGACTGCCCTGCCCTGGAAGGGTCCCAGAATGGTTGCCAACATGAGAATGATGCTGCTGTCAGGTGCAATGTCCCTAACATGGGCTTTCAGAATCAGGTGAGTTTGGGTCTGAGCATGGCCTCAGGCTGGGGGCCGGGAAACCCTGGGGAGTCCCCAGGACACCACATCGAGCTAGCGGGGAGAGGTCCAGGAGGAGCGGCTAGCGCTTCTGCTTTGGGCACCAGTCTGCCTTCCCTTAGAGCCGACCTGGCTGCAGCCCCTCCGAAATGTCAGAGGCCACAGGGGCTCTGCAGATGGATGTGCTCTCCCATACCCGTCTCGGGTCCCCTGTGAAGCTGAGAAAGAAGGTGCCTGGGAAAGAGGGCCACAGGGCTGTCGGCACGAGGGAGTCTGTGTGGGATGCTCAGGGCAAAGTGTCAGTGCTAACATGGACTGTGAGCAAGTCACTGGTGCCACTGTAAAATGGGGTTCACGCTCTCAGGGGGTCACTGTGAATGAGGCAAGGGACATGAAAGCCCTTTGCAAATTGCCAGTTGTCGTTAATGGTGGAGGGCAAGTGCCAGAGCAGGAGGAGCCCCTGGTCCAGGCACTTTGAGTCAGATTTCTCTAGCAGGCAGGGACATTAGAGACTACCTGCTACACTGTCCTCACCTTACAGAGAAGGAGACCAAGGCAGAGAAGGGGACTGTCTTGTCTAGGGTGACACAGTGAGCTGGCTTGGGCAGACCTCCAGGCTCGCAGCCCTGAGCTCTTCCCTGCAAGGCTACCCCACTCCTCACACACCCCTCGCCATTGCAGGTGCGCTTGGCTGGTGGGCGTATCCCTGAGGAGGGGCTATTGGAGGTGCAGGTGGAGGTGAACGGGGTCCCACGCTGGGGGAGCGTGTGCAGTGAAAACTGGGGGCTCACCGAAGCCATGGTGGCCTGCCGACAGCTCGGCCTGGGTTTTGCCATCCATGCCTACAAGGTAGGTCCCTCTGTTGTTTCTTCCGTATGACCTCTCACCCTCCTGTTCTGAGGCCCAAAACTTCCTGTGCTAAAGCTGCTGCCTCTTTGCCCATTTGGCAATTCATTACTGAGTGAAACTATGAGCCGACATGATGCTGAGTGCTGGGAACAGTGTGGTAAACAAGAAGACATAGTCCTAATGAAATCGTCAATGAGGGACACATTTGCATCTGCAGGAAAGATGAATAGAAATTAGTCAGACAAGGTGGAGGAGGAATGAATAGCTTATGCAAAAGCCCTGTGGCCAGAGAAAGCTTGATTCAGCTGAGGAAATCAGGGCCAGGGATTGTAGTGTGGCTCTCTCTCGAGAGTGCTGTCAAACATGAGGGCAGAGGAGGCAGGGGCAAGATCACTCAAAGCTTGCAATCCACATGTTTGAAAGATTTCTTCCTTTGCTGTTTGGAAAACGTTGGGTGGAGATTAACATGAATGCAAGGAAACACACTCAGGAGGCTATTGTAGTAGCCCAGGTGAGAAATGAGGCTGGACTGGACCAGGTAGTCCAGGAGAAATAAGTGGATAGATCTAAAATACATCAAAAAATAAAATCAAGAGGACTTAGGCATGACCGCAACAGAGAAACCTCTGCACTTGCACCCACACTGGCTGCCGCACAGTGTGGACTGGGCAACCCTGAGCACAACTGACGATCTGGGCCGCTTGAGGAGCAGCTGGGGAAATGTGAGCACAGCCCCCAGGGAGAGGGGCGGGGAACAGGACCCTCCTCTGCCATCTGGAAGAGAGAGGGGTGTAGGGCCAGTAGTGGAAGCCACGGTGGGTGGATTTTTACCTCCATATGTGGTGGGGATTTCTAACATCAGAAGGGTCCAAATGTGTCATGGACTGCCCCAGGGAATTCGGGTTCTCATCACTGAAGATTTTCAGGCCCAGGCTGGACACAACCCGGTGGGGGTGGTATGACTGAGGCCACACCTCAGATGGGAGTCAGGAGGTGACTCCAAAGGCACGCTGACTGGGTGACGCTGGCTGTCTTCTTAGGAAACCTGGTTCTGGTCGGGGACGCCAAGGGCCCAGGAGGTGGTGATGAGTGGGGTGCGCTGCTCAGGCACAGAGCTGGCCCTGCAGCAGTGCCAGAGGCACGGGCCGGTGCACTGCTCCCACGGTGGCGGGCGCTTCCTGGCTGGAGTCTCCTGCATGGACAGTGAGTGACGGAGGGCTCACAGGGCTGGGGACAGGTAGGCCTGTGCTCCCCTTCAGGGAGGGCCCTGCATGCTGGTCCCAGGTCTATGGCCAGCAGCATGGGGGAATGAAAGTACCAGCTCTGCCATTTCCCAGCTGTGTGGCCAAATCACCCATCCCATCAGGATCCATACCCTGCCCCCTCACGGAGTTATTGTGAGAAAGAACACTGAGAACATGAGGAAGCACAAGGACACGGAACGGCGGTTTTCAACTTTGGGTTATGACCAACAGTTACAAACAATGAAACAGGACAGAAAACAGCAAGGGCAGTTTTTCCTTGGAACTATGTGTATACTGGGTTACAGCATAAAATGTATTTCTTACTGTGGTTTGTAGTCAGAAAAGCAGTTTGAAAGCTGTCGTAGAGGACATACAAATATGAGCACACCCGGGGCCAAGGCCCAGCTGTGTGTTCTCTTCCTGAGCTGTGGGATTTACCCAAAAAGACTTTGGGACAAGGCCATCTGTGGCATTGCTCTGCCCCACAAACCCAGATTCTTAGGGCAGCAGCATCTCTGACATCTCCCAGCCAGGTCAGTGCCAAGATGGACTATATCCAGCCCAAAGGTTACAGATAGCATCAACCCAAGTGGCCACTTGACCTTGTTCGTGGCCAAATTTCGACACCAAGATATCCTTCATCTTTGTCAGTGAGCTCCTGGCTTCCTCTCTGTCCAGGGCACCCTGGGGAGAACACTGGGCCCATCCATCAGACCCTCCCCTGCAGGGATGGGGCATGAGAGTGGACCTCCCCATCACCAAGGCCTCCCAGCACGTGGGGAGCCTGCTCCTCACTTGACTCCCCTTCCTGGGAACCTCGAACCCCTCCCTGCTCCACTGCCTACAGTGGGAGCGCTCTTCTTGAACACATTTGATCCTTCACGACAACTTGGCACAGTCAGCCAATCTGCAGTCTCTGTAACCACCTGTTTTTCCTCCCTGGCTTTTCACATTGCTTTCTTTCCTTTACTCTCTCTTCTCATTCTCTCTGAAAGCTCGCCTTCTTTCACCAAGAAACTCTAGGTTTGTCAGTGGGCACTTCCTGGCTCTCTCCAATATATACCACAGGACCCTACATGGCCAACTGCCAGATGCAGATGGCTCCAGCCTGGGGCAAGCTGCGGCCGGCCTGCCCAGGTGGCATGCATGCTGTGGTCAGTGGTGTGGCAGGGCCTCACTTCCGCCCAGGACTACTTTAGTGATAGTGATTTTTAGTGACAGTACAGGCAAAGTATCCAGGTTAGGTATCAGCAGAGCTTTTTGAGAGGATTATATGAACTAAGCTACATAAAGGCACTTTACAGGCTTAAAAGCATTTTACAAAATAAATACTAGCTTCAACTGCATGTTTACTTAGGCCAGACATGTTACAGGTGTCATCAGATTAATATCACCATTATCTTCATCTTACAGATGATGAAAATGAGAGACAAAATGGTTAAGCAGTTATAGAGCTAGTGAATTATACAGTCAGAAAGTAAGCCAAGAATGAACCCAGGTGGCCTGGCTCCAAAACCAGCAAGCCTAACCATGACACTGTAGCTGCCTCCCAGGTTAAGGTGATAGACTTCCTTTAAATGTTATTAGAACTCACCATCTCCTGACTCTTAAAACTGCCCTTCTTTTGTGGGGTCCTCTCGGAGGGTTTAATCTGGGGGCAAGCTTGCCCTCTGTGCTGGAGACTAAGACTGGCTGCCTTTCCACCCTTTGAGTCACTGCCATGCCCTCCGCCGCCCCAGGTGCACCAGACCTGGTGATGAACGCCCAGCTAGTGCAGGAGACGGCCTACTTGGAGGACCGCCCGCTCAGCCAGCTGTATTGTGCCCACGAGGAGAACTGCCTCTCCAAGTCTGCGGATCACATGGACTGGCCCTACGGATACCGCCGCCTATTGCGCTTCTCCACACAGATCTACAATCTGGGCCGGACTGACTTTCGTCCAAAGACTGGACGCGATAGCTGGGTTTGGCACCAGTGCCACAGGTTAGAGCCTGCCCATGCATTGGCACTAGAGGGTTAGGAACAAAAAGCAGGGTCCAGGGAGCAGTTTGGCCCTTCCCTGGCCACAGGCAAGTTTTCCTGGGAGGGGTGTGCGCTCTCCTTGCTGGCCTTGCCTGCAGGAGGCAGTGAGGACAGCGGCATCCACCTGCCCCTCCATCGCTCTCGCCTTCACTATGTCAATGGTGCCCGTGGGGTCTGTTTCCCACAGCAACATCCCATAGAGGCGTCACCGCCAGCAGAGTTGTTCTGTTAGAATGGTATTTGACACTTTTCCTATGTTGGATCATAGGCCTTGTCTTCAGAAGCCAGGTAAAGTGGGGACTCCCAGGAACCTGGGGGCCCAAAATAGACATCCCATCCAGGGTGCTGGCTCTGCAGGAAAAGCTCGCTGATTCCTTCAGTAGTAAGGCAAGGCCCTCAAAGAACAGCATGAACAGACTGCCACTAAAAAAGTGACAATGAACATTCTTTCCTATCAGGAGCTTCCAGACCAGAGAGAGGGAGAGACAATGCCTGTGACAAAGGCAGAATTGTTTTTTCTTCTTCAGAACATAGCCACGGGTGGAGAAAGTGGAAAGGAATGGGCAATGACTTTGGGACTTGGTCTCGCCTGAGATAATAAGCACCTTTCCCTGTAGCATGAACAGAGCTGTCATTATAACTGGATTGGAAACAATGGTAGCAATTTGGTCCCAGGCTTACAGGGACCCTCTTCCCAGCAGGTCAGCTCCTAGGCTGCTCACAGACCCGGTGCCCCGCCTCTCCCCCCAGTTCAGGCCTTGCTGTCAGGCACCAGCCTCCTGGAGGCGACCAGAGCAGGGCTTCTACCTCTTGCCTGGGTTGAGACCCTAGGTGGTGGGGGCAGCTGTACTTGCTGCCTGGCAGGGGTGCCAGCAAAGGAGGCTGTGCGTCACACTAATCTCGGGTTTGGGAGGGAGAAGGGCACTGCCTACTATAACTTTCCTCTCGGGTCATGATGGGGCCTGGGGCCTGTCTTCCCTACCAGCCCCTCCAGAGAGGACCCTCTCCTGTTGCTGCCGCACTGACAGCTCTACCCCTTCTGCAGGCATTACCACAGCATTGAGGTCTTCACCCACTACGACCTCCTCACTCTCAATGGCTCCAAGGTGGCTGAGGGGCACAAGGCCAGCTTCTGTCTGGAGGACACAAACTGCCCCACAGGTATGTGGTTTCCTGTCAGCACCTATCAGCATCTCCTTTTGTTATGTTCTTCAGCCCCTTTGGGATCAGGCTTTCTCTCTGCCCTGTTCAGCAGCCCAGGGCACCTGGAGACCCTGGCTTGAAAAGTTAGCATTCAAGGCAATTTCTTACCTTCTGAAATCTTACGCAGGAGGTTTTTACTTCCTCTGAATTCCCCACGCATTGTTCTTCTTTTAAAACACTCAGCACTTTCCATCTTGGAGAAGAGTTGCAGACCTGTCCTATCTCTGCTGAGCTCTCCGAGGGCAAGCATTGCCTGCTTCCTGTCTGCACACCCACAGTCCCTAACCCTTAGGAACTGCATGGTAAACACTGAATCTTTAGAGGTTTGGAAGGATGGATAGGCGGATGCACAAGTAAATTAGCACGGGAGCGTTGGAATCTCCCAACCACAGTTCCTAGTTCAACAGGGATTTGCACTGGAGCAGTCAAACAAATCCTATCTTTGTCACAATGTGGTTTGCTATGGTGCTGGATTCACAGCAGGATTCTAGCTCTGACGGTCCTTAATCTGTGAACTGGGCATGATGACACTGAACTGGTAAAGGAAATAAAAGACCTAGCAGAGTGCTTCGTCCTGCCTCAAAACCTGTCTGTCCCCTTCCTTACAGGACTGCAGCGGCGCTACGCATGTGCCAACTTTGGAGAACAGGGAGTGACTGTAGGCTGCTGGGACACCTACCGGCATGACATTGATTGCCAGTGGGTGGATATCACAGATGTGGGCCCCGGGAATTATATCTTCCAGGTAAGGCGGCTGGGGGATTCCCCACAGAGCCTGATTTCCTCCAGATGTTCCACAACTTTCCCTGAGGGCAAATGAAGGGAAGAATTTCCCATACAGGGTTTCCGACAGGCCTGTCACTTAAAGGAGCTGTCCTGTTAGGGAAGTAACAGTCAAGCTGGGTCCAATGAACCTGTGTTTGAGTATTGATTCAGTGAACACTGGATAAATCAGTTTCTCAGTTGGGACTTCTCAGTCCCTATCTGTAAAATGGGAACATCAGTACCTACCTCCTGGGTAATTGTTAAGAATTAATGAAGCAAATAGAAACACATGTAAGGATTATCACAGCCACAGTCAACTCATTCAGAAACCAAATCACCCATTTTCAGTTGTCCCCTCTTTCACTCTAGGTGATTGTGAACCCCCACTATGAAGTGGCAGAGTCAGATTTCTCCAACAATATGCTGCAGTGCCGCTGCAAGTATGATGGGCACCGGGTCTGGCTGCACAACTGCCACACAGGTAACTCCGAGCCACTGTGGAATCAGCCATCTATAGGCTCAGGGAGCTGGAACACTGTAAATGTACCCTCTGCTCCCACACTCCAGCGTGTGACTTGTATGTGTGTGGTGTGCAAAAGGCTATGGATGGAACAGAGATGCATTTCCTTTGACATCTTACAAGGCAGACTTCTAGAACTGGTCAGACCATCGGCTTCACCCAATAACTACATCTTCTACATCCCTGTTTGCACTTAAGGCTGTTTGATTGTAAACTCAGTTTCCAATCTGTTCTAGAATCTTTCCTGTCACCTCAAGCCATGTCAGGATTTTCAAGTCCATTATTTTTCCTTTCTCTTTCATATAGAAGTTAGGGTTAGGGTCCTCACAGGCAAAAGTAGTCCTCTTGCTCTGTGTTGCTGTCTCCAGCTGTGATCACTGCTTGCAAGAAGGGGACCATGGAAAACAGAGCCACTTACAGGATTGGTAGCATCAGTCAAAGGAAGCATCATGATCCAGTGGGGGCAGAGAAGAGGGGCTGTTCTGTCAGTAAAGACTCCCTCTATCTTCAAGGGTTAAAAATGCCCATATTTGCTATGGGATATGCATTCACTCATACTTGCATATGTGCGGTGGGATGGGGCAGAGTTGTTCATTTAGTCAACAAACATTTACTAAGGCTCACTATTGTGTTGAACGCTGTGCCCCAGAAACTGGGAATGTAAGTGTCAGATAGGGTATGCACACATGCAAATAGCCCCAATACTACTAATGTGTGGACTGAATGCTGAGCAAGCACAGACAGAAAGCAACCTGTTGGGGGCTAGCACAAGCTTCACAGAAGTAGTATTTGATCTGAGGTTTGAAGGAGGAGCCAAAGTCAAACATGGGAGGAGTAGAGAAAGAGCACAGGACTGGGCTTTGGAAGGCGTCACCCGAATCCAGTCCCACCACTTTCTAGCTGGAGGACAGTGAGGAAATCACGACCTGAGTTTTCTGTTTTGTAAAATGGGGCTGTATACTTCAAACTTACTAAGTACTAGAGCTTTTTGCAGGGAGGGTTGTGATAGTTCTAAGATAATGGATTTTATCCCGTGGGCTTCTGGGAACTATTGACAAATTTCAGTCAAGGAGGCAAAAGATCATTTAGGTTTTCAAAAAATAACTGTGGCAACAGATGGACGAAAATGAGAAGAGGAAGAACAGTCTAAGGTTTCGAATTTGTGTGGCTGAGTAGATTGTGCTGCCACTTAAATGAAACAGGGATATTGAGAGGAACCAGGAACTGGAATCCAAGGCTACGCACACGGAGACAGCAGATCCTCCATAATGCTAGAATCAGGCTGCAAGGGTTCCCAGGCAGTGACAAGGGCAAGAAAAATAATGCAGTCCTGCAGGTCCTCTTGCCAGTGTTTAGGATCCAACAGGGCTAAACAGAAGTGTGCGGAAAACAGAAGGCACACTCGGGTGAGAGTCTGAGTTTATTTAATTAAAGGACTATTTATAAGAAAACAAGGAGTGTTGAGACATCAAGCATAAAGAAAGTAGAAAACCGTTATCTGCTTTAGGCTTGAAGAGGGGCAAGGGCTGCTTTGCAGCCAGGTGCAAGCCAGAGTTGTGAAGGAGGGTGAACCTAGCTGGAACAGGAGTCACAGACCATCACTGCCAGAACCACAGGGCCAAAGTAGGGGAAGGAATATCCGGCCTCTCTCCTTCCACCCTCTGACCTTCTGCTGTTGCTTTCCATTGACCCAACTCAAACAAACAAAAAAAGAGGACAAAGGAGCCAGAGTGATGTAATCGCTAGGCATCAGCTTCCTAGGGCACAGAGGGAAAAAAGGGCAGAGAATGAACCTGGGGAGGGGGGCAAAGGAGAATAACTAGCACAACTCTTTCCAATCAATAGCCTGTTCTTCCTGATGTTCCTGAAACCACACACCTGTCCCAGGCCTATTTCTATAAAATGATTGGTGTCTGTGCCCATGCCATGACTTGATATAAAGGATGAGCTGGGCAGAGTGGATCTATGTAAGTTGTCAGGGAAGGGATGAGACTGGAAAGGTTGGCTACTTACCTGTTTTCCTTTGGCCCACAGGGAATTCATACCCAGCCAATGCAGAACTCTCCCTGGAGCAGGAACAGCGTCTCAGGAACAACCTCATCTGAAGCTGTCACTGCACACTCCTAGCTGCTGCCGATACACCAGATACCTCAGCTTATTGGAGCCATGCCCTTCACAGAGTCCCAACTCAGAGGAAAAGGGCCAGTGCCAAGGGGCACCAAGAACCTGCTCAGGAAGCCTTTTGATGGCAAGATCACCAATCCAGATGGTATTGCTCCCTCAGGATGGCTCTGGGCCTGCCCCTAAGGGCCTGTGGCCTATGGAATATGTCCTCCAGGCTTTGCTCAGCTGAGCTCCTCTTCTGTAAGGAAACCCAGTCATCCCTGAATCTTGCCACAGAGATCCGGGATTCAGGAGCTCTCAGTTTCTTAGGGATGGACTATGGCCCAGTCCCCCATCTAAGTGGTGCTTTGCAAATGTCTTGGAGGAGTATAGGACAGAGGACCAAAATACACAGCAGGTAGTGTTAGCTCTCTGCTAGGAGCTCAAAGCAACACAACTTGTATCAAAATCACAACTGGCAGAGAAGCTGGTGGATCCAATCCTTTCTTCATCTGTTGTTATTTAGAACTCACCTCTCACACTCTGTTCTTTAGTGTCCTTACCTTTATCTTACCACACACATGGGTGTTTCTATTATCCTTGGAAGCACAGACCTCGGGCATCCCCTTATTGCCTGATGGGCCAACACCAACAGTTACGGAGTGCTTGAGAAGGGGCAAGTTTCACAGAAATGGCCAGATAGGGCCTTCCTACAGAGCAGCAAGAGTAGGCCAAGCAGAAAGACTGCTGAGGTAACACGGACCCCAGCCCCTGTCAGGGCCTCTGCCAAGGAAATAATATGGACCATTTACCTGGCAGGCAGTCTGCTCTCTCTCAGGATCACCACGCATCTCAGGATTGGTCTAAACTTCAAGTCTCAACCAAGTGTCTGAAGTGAACTTTGCATTGAATAAATTTTTGCCATGGAAAGAACATCAAACAAGCCACTCATCTCTACAGAGATAAGAAAACAAGTTTGGCAGAGCAAGAGACAGAAGACCGTGGAGAAATCAGAAGGGGGAACAGTCAGTTTAGTTAAGGATGGAACCTGGGAAAGGCCACCATTCCTGCTTGATGGGGCTCTGATTTGCTCTTGCTCAAGTGGAATAAAACCCCATGGTCTTCTTGACATGATTCTTGATCTTTTCTCCACTGAGACACACTTAAGTGATGATCCTTACAGGACTGACACCCTAATGCCAATAAAAGTTGCTCATTATGGACTGCTACAAAGACCAGACCAGCTGTGATTATGTACACACCCCAGAACCACAGACCTACCCTTTTGCCTCCCATGGAGCCAGGGCCTGGGATACACAGGGCACACATGCTTCTCATGACTGCCCATCTACATTTCTCCAATCAGACATAAGTCTGCTTCCCAGTCAGCCTCCCCAGGCTTAGAGCTGAAACACGGGTTAGAAAGGTTAAGGGGTAAAGGATAGGGGCAAGAAGGTAAAGTCTGAGGATTGCAAACTTTTATAATCAAGGCTGCGAAGCCAAAATAAATGGTAGCAGATGGAGCAGATTTACAACAGCACTACCCCCACCACATCACAAGAGCCACCACATCACAAGAGCTACCCCCTCCTTAGGGAGTAAAAAGGGACATGTTCCGGGGAACCCTCTGTGAATACAAAGAAGTGCTTTCTTCCTTATCCCCGACCTTCCCTCTCCTCAACTCCCTCATCTCCTTCATTAGGCAGAGGGAGCATTATATTTTGGCATGGCAGTTTAGGTAAACAAGGGAAGGACTGATTTCCTGTTGGATCCAGCAAACATCCCCCAAACAGTAACAACATTATGCTCACACATGCAGCTAATGGTCTGTGAAAGAATGTGCAGCTAGCAGGGGAGCATGTGGTGACTGATGACTAGATTCAAGCAGGGAGGTTACCCACAGCTGCTTGCTGGATCCAGTTTCTAAGAGGGACCAAAAAAACAGGCCAGGCAGCCAGCCACCGGCTCTGGTCTCAGCCTTGCTGCCCACATTACACGTTTGATAGGTGCAGCCAGTTCTAATTCTTGGAAAAGGCCATACAAGGGTTGTGCTGTTACAACTCTGAGCTGAAAGGGAAGGACATGGGAAGACTGGTGGCTGGCATGACTTATAACTAGATGAGGAATGTTAACAGAATACCAACCACCAAATTCCAGGTAGAACCAAAAATGTCAAAAGACTTTCATCTCAGCATACTTTAGCCTCAGAGAAACTAAGGTGCTAAGAATGTCAGCTTAGTCTTCAGAAGCCTAACTTACCTTTATACTACAAAGACTTTCACTCTATGAAGAGCATATCATAACTAATGGGAAATGTACTTTTCTACTAAATTCCAGGTAATCCTGAGATTTAGATGTTCAACACATATGCACAGCAGAGTACATTAGCTGTCTTCCTGAATATCTAACAAAGGCACCAGTGGCAGCTACAGGGTGCTCTCCAGCTAACTCAGCTTGAGAAAGCATGGCTTGGATGTGCCCAAGGATTTAATTCCCATCTGGAAAAGCTCAATATAGTCTGTGCTGGGCCATAGCAGGAGCTCTTACCTCCAGCTAGCATACATCAATCCCAACTACTTGAATAATGTAACTAAAAAGCACATTCTCTACTAATGGTAGAAGCAGCAACACTCCATAATTTTCAAGTGTAGGCTTAAAAAAAAATCCTTTCTCTGGGTCTGGTTATAAGGATAAATCTGGAAAGTTAGAGGTGGCTGACTATTGGCTGAAAAAAAGGACAGGCTACTAGCATACAGCATTAGAATGAGAACCAAAATAAGTTATTGAAATTACGAAGATTACAAGAAAACTGGGAAATAAACATGGGGCTATATGTTACCATTAACAATGCCTTTAAAAGCTAAAGTGTAGCCAGGAAGAAGCATCCTCACAGGCAAGTGACAGGAGTAGTCATCTCTTTTGTACTGCCCAAGGTCACTCTTGGCCTTGAAGAATCAAAGCAGAGCAAAGGTATAACTCAGAGGTATACCATTCAGTATGAAGTCAGGCTGCAATTCCCTGCATTTCCTTTCAAATGGAGCTGCACTGTTCAGACCTATCTTAGAGAAGTCTGTTCCATGAAGACAGAGAGCACTAGTCTTGTTGCTATAGGCCAAAGAGAGGGGCACTTGGACAAAGTACTAGTGGAGAGGGTCAAGAGAACAACTTACTTAATCCCTAAATTTGGCATGGAGTCACTGAACATGAACAAAGGACACTAGTAGAGCCAACCACGAATGAGGAAAACAATGCTGAGGAACTGGGAGAAGGTTGTAGTATCTCAATAGCAGCAGGGATAGTTGGGTAAGGATCAAGATCCAAGGCCAGGGTCATTTGAGAAACATCTGAATAGAATCCTACTCCACCATGTTCTAGGTAATGCTAATAATTCATCATCGTCATGGGCACTAAATCATTAAAAGATGAGGCCGTTGCCCTAGTTGAAAGCACAATGAGCCACTATTTCTTGCCACCTCAGCATCCTAAGGTCTAGTGCTACCATTTCTTCAGTGCAGAACTACTTTCCAAAAACACTGAGAATGCAGACATGAGATGGATAAAGCCTGAGTTGATGGCTTTGACTTGTCCACATCCTTTAGGAAATCTCTCACTGCCCAGAGGTGTTTATTTTATCCTGGCTGCTTGTCATTGTAACGGATGGTCTGGTGCTGCTTGCCAAGTACCTCTGGCATAGGTTGAGAAGATCATACCAAGAACACGCTGGTGTGCCACATGTCTTCTTCAGGGTATCAGATTTGCAGAGATAGCAGAAAGCAAGAAAAAGGTTGGAATGAGGGTGTACAAGGAAGATATGAAGGGGAGAGGAGCTACCACATAGCAGTCCCAGGATAATCACTTTTGTAGTATACTGAGGCAGAGATATGATCAATTCTCTACTCACTGGGATTCAATAAAAACAACAGATCCATTTAACTTATGCACAGCCTTATAGGCATGAGGATAAGAAGAAAGCTGCTCTCCTATTTCTTTGTTGGAATGACAAAAACCAACAAACACCACAGTGATATATGTCATAAAATGGGCTTTAATGTTCCCTCTTACAACATGGTATTACTGCTTACACTGGAACTGGCACACAGCTCCCAAGGTTGGTTTACTCTGAGGAATGAAGCTGGTATCCCCCCTGGCTGCAGTGCAGCTGGAGCGGTCCCAGGCACTGAGCTCAGTATAAACTTTGGAGTCTAAATACCCACATCTCCTGTAGTTCACCAACTTTGCAGTTCTGGAACCGGCAGTGCAGATTCTGTGTATGCCAAGTAAACCAGACACTGTTCTGCCTCTTTGTACTAACTGCTCTCCAACCACCCCCTACTCTGCCTCCAGTATTACTCTGCTTTGTGAGATACTAAGGAATGGTCTGCCTCTGCAGGGCCTAAATCTCCCATACTTGCGGTTTGAATCCTCTGTTCTGTTTTGTATTTGCTTTAAATATCTTGGAAGTGTGACCCACGCTAACATGACTTGCCCTGTCCAGGCAACTCTTGGAATTCACATCTCCCACGTTTCTTCCTAGCTGATGGCTCCCTACTACGCCCACCACAGTAGGGTGATTCCAAAGAACTGCATTTAGGAGTGAAGACAGGAGTCTGTCTTCCTTCTATACCCAGTCAGTCCTTGTCTCGATCACTTTATCTCTTTAACATGCACATCTGCATGTACATAGAGCTCTGGAAGGATCATCTTATCTGAAGGCTATGGAAACATTTTCTGATTCATGGAATTATCCCTTTCATTGAGTGATGTTCAAACTGTAGACTGGTCTCTGCCTTCCCAGATGTCTTCCCGTTGCTTGGCTTCCAACCGCTTTCTCTCTGTAAATAAGAGCAGTATTAACCACAGTTGTCTACTTCATATAACCAATGACTTTCCCTTAATCCAAATTACAAGGCAAACTTTAGTCATGAGACAAGTGGATATCCTGGTCTCTCTTACCTGATAACAAGAGTTAATTCCTTTAATTTCCTAAGTGCTTTGTAAGTGAAAATGATACTACTGTAAGTCATTACATTTACTACTATATAATAAAAAATATCTGAGGCTAATAGAAGTATATGGAATAAGTCAGAATCTAGTAGGGACTCAGATTCTAGTCTTGCTAATACATATTTAAATTCTACTTTTCAACTATGTTTAGTGCTTCAACACAATTGCCCATTATTCTCAGCTTACTGATCTTTACAAATATTTCAATAAGTATCAAGGATATGTATTGATATTCTTCTATTTTGTTGCTTAAATGGAAATGGTAGCCCCTGGGCTTTACTCATATCTCCTCTCTAAAACTTTATTGAAAAAATATTTCAGAGGCAAACCACATTTCAATATTTTCAGAGCACTTCCAGGAGCCAGAAATCTTCTGGAATATACAATTACAATATGGAAAACTAAAACTATTTCTAAAAACAAAAAATATACAAATCTGGATAATTCATCTTCAATTTTTAATATAGAAGCTTGGTTCTCCATAACACTTTCACCAAGGTCTGAGAAAATATGGACCATACAACAGTCTGGTGACCCAAGCGCTCCTTTAGGTGCCACAATACCAGTTCCAATTGCATGGCTAGTCATTTATCTTGACACCATAAAATGGGGATAAGCCTACATCATAGATGGTAAGCCTAAATGCTTCCTTCTTACTGTTCCAAATTGATAATGCCTGTATAAGGTTTAGCAAGTCATGAACCAGGGAGATTACAGAAATCGAGATGAATTCAGAATAAACACTTGCTATTCTGATATATCTTTCCTCATCAGCAGAATCCCTTACAACATTCCTATACTGTATTTGACTGTACTTTAAGGGCAAAGAAGTTAGTTATGAAGCTGACTGGCACTTGGAAATGTGAGAAAAAGAAATTCACTGCTATTTGGGCACCATCTTGTGGCATTATCTGAATATAGCAGCAAAGTTACAAGAGGCAAAAAACAGTGGTCTGCAAATTGCAAAATGAAGGCTGGTAGAGAATGCCCTGGAACTGAGGCAGGCCTTGAACTGCACTGGGGTTCTCTAGGAGACAGCACAAAGGATAACTGGTTTGTCTAATGGATTCCAGAATTTCTTAGGAAGGCAGCATGGTCTTGATTCTTACAAACATGGAGAAGTTAGGAGGAGATCTAAAGGCAATGGATGAAAGCAATCAAAATCTGGTTCTACATCCCAAGGAAAAATGAAGAAACCAGAAAAGTAAATTATTAGAACTCCAATTTTTCAATAAGGTGTGAAACTTAAATCTTTAAGAGTAATATGAGAAGAGATTCGAGAGCAGTAGAAAAATATAACAGGCCCATAACACACAATTCCAAAATCAAAACAATTCTGAAAACAAAGTTATTGCTTTCTTTAAAGCTTGGGGCCAAAATTAATCGATGGAGGCAAATCTAACTTGAAAGGATACGAAGCTATTTATAGTCTTTACATATCCCATTTAGTGTGAACAGTCACACACTCTGCTGCAGAAATATTAATGTGTCTGATTTTGGCGTTATAAGACAGATACCATATTACCTTTCTAAAATCTGGAAAGTTCAGAATTCTGAACCTTTTTTTTTGGAGATGGAGTCTCGCTCTGTCACCCAGGGTGGAGTGCAGTGGTGTGATCTTGGCTTACTGCAACCTCCGCCTCCCAGGTTCAAGCAATTCTCATGCCTCAGTCTCCTGAGTAGCTCTTGAGTAACAGGCACATGCCACCATGCCTGGCTAATTTTTTTGTATATGTAGTAGAGACAGAGTTTCGCCATGCTAGCCAGAATGGTCTTGAACTCCTGAGCTCAGGTAATCTGCCCACCTCGGCCTCCCAAAGTGCTGGGATGACAGGCGTGAGCCACTGTGCCCGGCCTGAAACATTTCCTAACACTTTCTAATAAAAGTAAATAGATTCTAATGGTAAGCCATATGAAAAAACTAGTAAGAGTAGGAAGACAAATTGAGAAGCACAAAGAAATAGTGAAAATGTGAGGTGTAAATTTAGAAATACAAGAACATGAATAGAATAGAGAAATGTAGGTCAGGATAGGAAATAATAATTTCTTTATTTTAAAGATGAGGAAACAGAAGCTCAGAGAGCTGAAATGACTTGCCTAAGGTTACACAGCCAGTGAAAGAACTGAATCTGGGACCCAGATCCTTAATTCTTCACCAGCACACTTTCTACTATCCTGACATCTGAAAATATCTACAAGGGAAAAAAATATGAAAAAAATTGTATAAACAGAAAGACAAAGAAACATGTCCCTTTATTAAAGAGAAAGGAAAGCAGATAATAGCTGATAAACTGCATGAAACAAAGCTCCTACTAACTTGACCTCCAACAATTAAAAGAATAAAGAGAAAGCCCAACAGTAGACACAAGGGCAAGGAATTAAGAAAAAATAGAAAATTCAGCACAAAATGATTGACCTAAAACATTCACATTGGCTGGCCCTGAAAACTTTCATTCTCCAATATAATAAATCAATCAACAGAAATGACTATATTAAATGAGTTGCCTGCAATCACGGTGCAGTCAAGACTTTACATAAGAGAATGTAAAGCGTTGAAGATTGTAAAAGGGCCAGTTTGGTGTCATGTTTTAAAAAAAGCAGAGAGAGGATGTAAATTAAAGACTTTCAAAATTTATTCTAGATCTATGAAAAATAATCACAAAATCTACTGTAGTCACATACAGAACAATAGACAACATGCTTTGTGAAGAACGCGTCTGGTCAAACGAATCTTATTCCCTTCTTTTAGAGTGACGGACATAGTAGATCAAGGAGAAGTAATCTAAATAACCTCTTAATTTTAGCAAAGTTTTAGATTTTAAGTTTACTAAATATTTATATGATCATAATATATGGAAAAATACAGTCTGAATCCCATAAGGGGGCATTTAACTCTAGAGAGTAGAATAATTATCAATGTATTAAGTGTTAACACAAGGAACCATGTACTATTTATTTTAGCAACAGCTGGTGACCTGGTCAGTTAGTTAGTCCTAGTTAACATTTTCATCTCTGATCTAGGCAAAGGTATTAGGTTTATTAAACAGCAATTGACACCAAAAAATGAGTAAACGCTACATCACAGAAAAAAAGTCACATTAAAATGAAAAAAAAAAAAAAATGTGGTTAGAAATGAACTTCAGACATCAGGGGAGAAAAAACGCCAAGAAAATACCCTAAGACCTAGATTATGAATCAGCAATGCCACACTGCCCTTTAAGGCAGAATAATGGAAAGTCTAAAGAAGGTTTTCAGAAGGTATGAACTGTGATTAAATTTATTACTATCTTATAGAGATGGTTTGAAGTTCTTTGTGATTTAATTAATCAAACTAGGTGAGCGGGCTACTGTTTACTTACTTTGCCTTTCAGGCTTGTGACCCAAAAGATGGCCTTTCAGAACCAGCCAATTAATCACCTACCTTCAAGAATAAAATGAAAATAAATTAAAATAAAATTGTAGCAGGCTTTGAAAATGAGAAGATAGCTTATTCTGAGAGGTAACGATATCTAAGTCCAGTTTTAGGTGGGAATCAAATATCTGGATGAGTGGAACATGGGAAAATTTTATATACATTCCTGAGTTTGGTCTTTATTTTGTTTTTTATTTTTTTGAGATGGAGTCTTGCTCAGTTGCCCAGGCTGGAGTATGGTGGTGCAATCTCGGCTCACCGCAACCTCCGCCTCTCAGGTTCAAGCGATTCTCCTGCCTCAGCCTGCTGAGTAGCTGGGACTACAGGTGCGCGCCACCATGCCCGGCTAATTTTTCTATTTTTAGTAGAGACAGGGTTTCACCATGTTGGCCAGGCTGGACTCAAACACCTGACCTCAGATGATCCGCCCACTTTGGCATCCCAAAATGCTGGGATTACAGGAGTGAGCCACCATGCCTGGCCCTGAGTTTGGTCTTTAAAATGTGGTTTTAGGCTGGGCACAGTGGCTCAGGTCTGTAACTCCAGCACTTTAGGAGGCCAAGGCAGGAGATCACTTGAGTCCAAGAGTTTGAGACTAGCCTAGGCAACACAGAGAGACCCCATCACTACTAAAAGGAAAAAATTAGCCAGCATGGTGGCACATGCCTGTAGTCCCAGCTACTCAGGAGGCTGAGGTGGAAGGATTCCTTATGCCTGGGACGTTGAGGCTGCAGAGAGCTGTGATCGTGCCACTGCACTCCAGCCTGGGTGACAAAGTGAGACCCTGTCTCAATAAATAAATAAATAATCAAAGTAGAGTGAAAAATATAGCAGAAAAGTACTTAAAACTCAAAATCACAAATTCAAAATTCTTAATTAGGAAGGTTTCACATTCTGGGTTTTATAAAGAAAAACATGGAGGACTTAGCATTCAGAGTAGAGTCAAGATTTACAAAGAAAAATTAGAGTAACCAATGTCATCCATGTATTTGGTCAATGAACATGTACTGAGTATCTTTTTATGTACCAGGCACTGTTGCTAGACAGCAGAAGTCTTCAAGCGGGAGAAAGAAAGGCTGGGAGATTATTATACCATATTATAACAGGATGATATATAGATTTCAATTCCCATGCTAATTCTGATAAATTGGCAATGGTCATGTCAAAACTCACCAAGAAAGAATGTCATGACTGATTTAACAATATCTGCCACTTGTAATGGATGGAGAGTAGCAGTATATAATACGTATTTGTCATTACAAGCTCATATTATAATGAACATTAAATTCTTAACAGTCATATCAATAATCATATCCTGAATTTGTAAAGCACTTTTCCAAACATTTTTACATATGTTAACTTATTCTGTGCTCAAAAAATTCTCCATGATTAGGTAGGCTGAGGAGTACTTTCGCTTTGCTGGAAACCAGGGGGCACAGAGAAGTATAACTGACTTGCCCATGGCCACGCAGCTAGTTAATGGCAAAAGCTCTATTAGAGCCCAGATTTCCTCATTTCTAAACAATCTGCCCCTAATCTTTAGCGTTAAAGTTGTTAGAACAAAATAGTATGCAGATATTCTCTATTTCTACTAAGGAAAAAACAAGAGGACACTGGTTTAAACTATCATGCAGATTTAAGTTAGACCTAAGGAAGATTTTTCTGACAGTGAAAAGCTGCTAACCATTGGTACAGATAACAAAGAAGCTTGTCATATTTTGTTCCTGGAGACTTTAAAAAATGTTTTATGTAAGTTTTTTTTTCTGGGAGAAAATGTCAATAACTGCAAAAGTCCTTTAAGGGGGATTACAGTATTACAGAAGAAGCATGGGTTTTAATCAGCGGTACCTAGATTCAGATGCCTTCTCTTTCAGTTTACCAGCTGGGTGACCTTAGGCCAGTTTAACTTCTCTGGGTCAGCTCTAAACTCAAGATGGTATCACTGGTCACAGAGTTATCATAATGCAATATCATCATAACCTGTAAGTTATGATGGAGTTTCCTTCCTGTCCTTTTAATCAACAAAAACCATTTATGGTTTTTAATCTTAAAATCTTCAGAACTGAAGTGAGAGGAAAAACAACTGCTTAAAATACCTAAAAGAGGAACATATTTTCTTCCCTACTCAAGGCAGATTATCTTCACTAGACTGTAAGGCTTAAGGAGAGGAACAAAATCTTGCCATCTTTCTAATTCTCCTAAACAGGGAACACAGTGCTCTGCACAGGGCAGGTGCTCAGTGAATGCCAAATGGAGCTAACAGATGATTACAGGAATTTTAAAATAAAAAGAGTAATGACAAAAATATGCACTGAAATCTGTGCTGGATTCACCATATAATGATATTTCTATTATTACTAACAAAAACAACAGCAGCTAACACTTACCATATAACTCATTATAGGCCTATAGAAACAGGAGCAAGAGAGTACCTATGGTTTTTTGAAGATGACTAAGTATCCTTCATGGATTAACTTGCTTGAGCTCTGTTTAAGGATGAGAAAACAGGCCTCCAGAAAGTAAGTAAGTTACTTACCTACCCTCTCAAGGTCACACAGACAGTAAATGGCAGACCTAAGATGTGGACCCAGGAAGTGAGATTCCAGAGTCTAATACCTAAAACAGTAAAGTTTCCACTGAAAAAAAATATTTAAAGCCTGGGCTCCATGCAGGCAAGCATATAAGTATCTGCCCAACACAGAAAGATGCCAGAAAGAAATACATCAGGAAATCTTCCAGATGCATTTCCTCAGATATAAAGAATGGTAGCACGCTGGAGCATAATAAAGAGTCCTCATAATCCATACAGCCTCAGCACCAATAGGTAGGAGAAACTTATCACAGTGGGTCTCTATTCACAAATAAAGGCCTTCTTTAGAAAAGCAATAGAGTACCCGCTTAGTCAACAGAATCATTTTTAATTGCATCACTGAAATGTCCTTTGCATAGCCAGACATTTAAAACAAATACTTCAAGTGGAGCTGCATGCTGATGCACCTAGAGAAAGAAAAGGGAATACTCAAGATGATATCCACGCAAAACCACTGCTGCAGGATCTGTAGAGATACAGGTGATATACACCCACAGAGAAGCATGATAACATGGCAAAGGGAGTCATATCCCCTTTTATAGATATCACTGTTATCACACAGAAATCATTTTCTTCAGAGACAACCAATTAACAAAGGGTTAAGGACACTGTACATTCATCTTTAATCTAGTTCTGTTATTGCCATCTATAAAAACCCAAGGAATCCGGTTATGTTTCTATAGTCTGTAGGAGGCCTTTGAGTAAACAATGATTGGAAAACATGGAAACTGCCTCATTATAATCATTAAAGTTTCAAAAATTAGTTGGGTTCAACTCTGAAACTCTAGCACCTGCCATGACACACTCTGTCACTGGTTATCTGGCCAGTGCAGCTGGGAGTCCGCAAGCTGCCTGCTATCACTAAAGCAGAGAGGACAGGACGTATTAATGGCCTTGTTAGACCAGCAATAAACAAGGAGTTTGAAACTTCAATTCGTTTAATGGAAAAATGAAGTTACTTTTCGGTAAGTGGAATTTTCAGAATAAATTGCCTTCACAGATTCCAGGAATTGTGGGCTAAGGCAATGAGACTGTCTAAAGCCTGAAGGTTGATAAAAAGTACTTAAGTGCCACACCAGAGTCCCAAGCCTTTACATACAATTCAACAGCCTGTAGAGGAGAGAGAGATTTTAACTTCAGCTCCAAACTATAAGAAAGAAAAACTCTGCTTGTGGATCAGGGGAAATATTTTTCTGAGAACTCTTGGATACTGGAAAATAATCAGAAGACAGGTAAATCTAGATGTACTCTAATGGAGCCACTCAGGACTGTCTTAAAAAGACAAAAATACCTCCTACAGTTGTTATCATCAACGTCAGTTGCTGGCTTTTCCTAAATTTGTCTTCTACCTCAGATCTAAACCATTTGATAACATTAGGGCAATATCATGGCAATCGTGGCCCAGTAAAACCATAGCAAATGTTTTCTCCCTAGGACACTATCTGTTTTCACAGGAAAATTTTTCTCATAGAAAAACTGTAGGAAAAGCCATGGATGAGCTGAGAAGACCAAACCTATCTCTTGGAAAACAACAGTAGGAGCGTGGATTAGAATGTCTTGGTGCGTGAAACAGGCAGACAATCCTGAAACATCTTCTCCTGGACGTAAGGCATGAAAATTTCTATACACTTAGGAGGCTTCTAGGAAACAGAAACGACAAAAATGGAATGGGCTTCATTCATTTTTTTTTAAACACATGCCTTACAGTGAGTTCTGAAGGGCCTAGAGAAGAACACCACCCTTTCAGCTCACCTCTGGCTTCTTGCAGTTTCTTGAGCTCTGCTTCTCGTTCGGTTTTGCTCTGCTTACTTCGAACCCCAAGGGCACTGATGACTAACCTTCTGGCTAGGGCTGCTGAAGTCTCAGGACGCTCCTTTGCTGGCTGGAGGAACTCTGAATCGAAGAAAGGAAGGGAGTAGGAAGGAGTCAAGAAGAGAGAGCACTCTAGCTTCAAGTGATTTAACTCAGTAATTAACATACAAAATAGACTAACAAGGGCTGCATCAGCAGTAATTAATACAAGTCTGATAGATGATGATCAGAGGAAATTAACATGGCAAAGCACAAACAACCCTGGCTTCATTATCTGCATTAACAAAGTATCTTACAGTGACTCTATCAGGCAGCTAAACACAGAGGTAAACTAGGTAGGGATGTCATCAGAAACTGATTGCTGCATTGCCTGCAGTTAGTTCTCACACACTCCAAGTGGCTGCTCAGATGCCATATTTCCAACATGGTCATTTCCCTTTTATTTATTTTTTCTTAAAAACATATTTCTTTTAACACTAAAAATAAAAGTGATATGTCTTTAGATGTCTGGATGCTATAAAACTTCTGGAAAGAACAATAATACCACCATCAGCAAGAAAAAAACCCAGAGATTATAGACTCACCAGCATAAGCTCTAGCTTTGGCCTTGGCTGCTCTTGTGGCCTGTGACAAGGGACGAATCTTCACCATGGTGTGTTTAATACCCAACGCATCACGAGCTGCAAAGAGGAATAAAAGGAAGCAGAAGACATGAAGTAGAGTGATGCAAAGGAAAAACTAGGGATAGCTCTTAGTATTTCCTAGATGTTATGCTTTTTTTTCAAAGCAAGCAAAAGAGACAGATCTAAAGATCAACGTGGCAGTAATTATTTTAGATCAGGTATCAGCAAACTATGGCTCCATGACCAAATCCAGCCAACCACCTGTTTTTATATTTATTTACAAAGTAATTTTATTATTTTACTGAAGCAGAGCCATGCCCATTTGGTTTGTATATTGTCTATGGCTGCTTTCTTGCTCCAACAGCAGAGTTAAGTAGTGACAGAGACCTGATGCTCCACAAAGCCTAAAATATTGTATTTACTGTTTGGTCCTTTATAGAATAATTTTGCAGATCCATATTCTAGGTGGTTCAGATAGGAACTAACGTTTCAATATCTCTATTTTCTTTGAATGCCTCTGCATCAGATCTATCATGAGGCCAATGGTATATGTAAGAAGGCCCAATCATATATTCAGAGGGTATGTATTATAATTTCTCACTAGACAGGTTAAAGGGCTAATTAAATTCACTTGTCTAGGATGGAAAAAAAAAATCACCAATATTTTAAGAGCCCCATTGGATTCTTCAATCTCTACCTTAATCTGTTTACGTACTATCATGACAGACAGTTATGTGTACAAATAACCTTGGAAGGTGTTGACTCTATCTCTCCAAATACCACTGGACTAAGGTGAAAGGTGAGAATGGGTACCAAAGTACCTTACCTCAAAAAAACCACTAACTGCCCTATTACCTACACTGGCTGAATAAGATGCCAACTTGCTCAAATAGAAGGGAAATAGAAAAAGTAGCATGAGAAAATGAACAATAAGAAAGGAAGATTGAAAGCCACTGGGTGAATACCTGTAATTGGACTGGAGAATACTCCTAGGGCATGTGTATCATCCACCCATTTAATATCAAATCCTTTCTTTCTGCAACACAAAAAAACAATTTTATTTCCTAAAATAAAATTTACTTTTATGAAACATCTCACAAATAGAATCTCATAAAGCATTTCACAAGATAGAAACACTCAACGAGTGCACAGGTGGAATGGGGATAATGACACAGAAAACAGTTTGGAGGACAGAAGAAGCCATTGAATTTTAAAAGCAATAATACCATCATAAACAAGTACCCAGGAGTATTTTACGTTCTCAGCCATTTTATAGACATCAACTAATTAATCCTCACAAGTCCCTTGGGGATGTAAAGTATTTAATGCACTATTTACAAGAGATGTTCTTATGGGCAGGGAATGAGAAGAAATGGAAAGAGGAAGCAGAGGAGGGGTAGAATATAAGAGGAGTAGGTAGGCAGGGAAGGTCACCTGGATTTAATGCAAATGTAAACTCTGTCCTTGAGGACAGAGACAGAAAGAGAAGAGAATGGGGTAGGGGAGATTATACTGAAGATGTTATTCAATTTTTTTAAAAAAGTCAAGTAACGGGGAAAAAAGGGGGCAACTATAATCAGAGAGGCTGATCTATTCTTCACTTGTTGCAGAAGGGAGGTTAAAAAAATAAGAAAAAATTAGAAAGAATTATGTGGCAAAGTCAGAAAAATTAAGGATGAAAGGAATCATGATAAGAGAAATATCAGACCAGATTAGAAAGCATCAAAAGAATGAACATTTAAGTACTAGAAAAACACTTTTATTTTGGAGAACAACTACCTAGTGAGCACAAGGAATGTCAGGATGATGACATAACAGTTATATTTTTCAGCTAAGAGCTTAAAAATGCTCATGGACTCAGGGTTCTGCCACCTTGAGACCCTGGGCAAGTTTAACCTCTCTTGAAGCTAGGTCGGCTCCTCTGTAAAAATGAAGAAAGTATGTTCCCCACAGAGTTGTTGTGAAAATGGAAATGAGATCATCCATGACAAGGCAAAGAAGATGGTGTTGAGCACTTCATGGGCATCTAATAAATTAATGGTGTTCATTACTTTTATTATTAATAGCAATGTTCATCAATATTAATATTTTCATTTTTATAAATCACAGATGGGTTCTAGAGGGCCTTTTATACTTCAAAATTTCATAATCCTTTAAAATTTTTCTCTTTGGGGAATGTTTTTGAATTTGATAGAAACATGGTCCTGCAGGTGAGATTATCAAGAAACAAAGCAAAGGGAAGTAAATAGTTTGTAAGAGTTAATTGATCTTCAAGAAATTCTAGACATCAACAAAATGATCCTTAGTTTTAAGAATCATCATTATTTATGACAGTCTAAGGTAGTTCTAACAGGATTTGATCCCTCTGACTGCTTTTAAAAAATCTATTATGAATTTTATGTTGAACAGGTTCTGATACTAGATTTTAACCTAATTCTAGTAAGTAAGACTGACCTACACACTATACATTTAAAGTTTATGGCAGAGATTAACTGTCATCCAGGATCCATTCACCCTTTCTTTCTGTTAGTTATAGAACTGATGCTCCCCACCGAATTAAGTTTAACTGATTAAACAAGTACATGGCTGCTAGTTTTGCCTGTTCTAGAACTTCATATGAAAACAGAACACTTCTTTTTATAAATAAAGTTTTAGTTTACAGCCATGCTCATTTATGTATTGTTTTTGCTTGCTTCTGTTTAACAATGGCAGAGTTGTCTAAAATATTTACTTATCCTTTAAGAAAAAGTTAAGGGCTATACCCTGACTTATATAGAATCTTACACATTCAAGGTGAATTTTAAATTTAAATTTGTTATATCACACTACAGACCTGGTTCATTTTAAATATCAGGACTGAAACATTAAAGTATAATTCTTCTTGATACTGACTTTCTTCCAGACCCTGAAAATCTTCTTAATAACTTTCTTTCTGGATTATCATCTCTTTATTCCTGAAGCTTATTTTTTTCTTATAAGCTAAATATACAAAGGTATCTACTTCTAACTCTTTTAACTTCTCCTATATAAGTATCAGCTATACACATACCAAGGGTTAGTGCAAGTGTTCTCAAACCCACATATATCAGTGTGAGTTGATATTTTCACCATGGAATTAAATAAAATTAAACCAATGAAACAGGAGCAGAGCGTAAAAAAGAAGAGTTATTTTGTCTATAAAAACTTAGTTGAGGCCAGGCGTGGTAACTCACACTTGTAATCCCAGCACTTTGGGAGGCTGAAGTAGGCGGATGGCTTAAGTGCAGGAGTTTGAGACTAACCTGGGCAACATGGTGAAACCCTGTCTCTACAAAAAAATACAAAAATTAGCCAGGCATGGTGACACACACCTGTGGTCCCAGCTACTTGGGAGGCTAAGCTGGGAGGATTGCTTGAGCCCAGGAAGTCGAGGCTGCAGTGACCCCAAAAGAAGGCAAGAAAGAAAAAGATAGGACAAATAAACACATAAAGATGGCAGGCAATCTGACAATACATCCAAATATATCAACAATTACAATATGTATTAATGGACTAAATGCACCATGAAGTCATCACTGATGACAGTCTTCTTAAATGCTAAAATGGGGGCTAGAAAGGCTACCTGACATTTTTAAGGAACTTAGAACAGTAGTTTAATATAGAAAATTTCTACTGGACCTGGAAAAGACAATAAACCAGCCTGATGCTAAAATATGAAAAACGGGATATAAAAAACAAGAGATGATTTCTCAGAAAACATTTTTTAAAGACTTCATCTCACCCTCCCTAACATCCACAATCATTTGCATACTCACTGATAACTGCAGAAAACCCGTAGAAGGTCTTCAGTATGAAATTCTTGGGGAAAGTCATAAATTTCAATGACATGTGGGAATTCACAATCACTGAGGTCAATATCAGGAACTTCATGATTGTAGTAATCAGATCTAGGTTCCTGGATGCTCTCTCTGCTCTTGGTATTCCCTGATAACTAGAAAGGAAGAAGCACGTTAAGTGCCGGTTACATTAAACCTGGTTATTGTAAAATATATTCCTATATATAAACAATCCTCCTCCCTTTCTCTACATGTTCCCATTCCTCAACCTTTGGCATAGTCTCTGTATTAATTCTACTCACAGATACAATAATGATCAGGTGCTTATCGCCCAGTTTATACTATACATATGGAACTGTTGAAAAAGTGTTGAAATTCCAGCAGACAGGCAATGCATGAAACTCAACTTGCATCTCTAACCAGCACACGAGAAAACACAGACTGAATACTGTTGTGAGTTATAAATGGCACATCTTGGAAAATGAAGCTTAGATAATAGCTGAAGAGATTAATTAATAATATTTGTTTTAATTGAGCTTACTGACCAGGCTCATAGTTTCTTTTCTGGAAGTGAACAAAAATGAAAAAAAGTTTTTAAATAAAATTCAAAAAAACTTTTTTACTTCACTTTTTGTTGAATGTATTAAAGGGTGAGGAGACAGCTTACAAAGGCATTTGTTAAGACAAATTAAGTGGTACAAGTAGTTATACTTAATGTCCTTAGCATGAGACCTACCTTAAGGAATGTGCATATAGCAGGCTAGTGAAGGAATTAATAAAAGAGGTAACAAATTAAAATTCTACCGTCCTATAAAAAAAGCTGAACTTCACACTGGAAGCAAAAGAAACAAAACGGGAAAGTGGAAAGCGGCAGCAAAGCCATGACAGTCATTCTGTCATTCACCTGTTATAAAACCTAGACACTGTTTGCGTAGAGGGAAATTTATAGCACTAAATGCCCATAAGAGAAAGCAGGAAAGATCTAAAATTGACACCCTAACATCACAATTAAAAGAACTAGAGAAGCAAGAACAAACACATTCAAAAGCTAGCAGAAGGCAAGAAATAACTAAGATCAGAGCAGAACTGAAGGAGACAGAGACACAAAAAACCCTTCAAAAAAATCAATGAATCCAGGAGCTGGTTTTCTGAAAAGATCAACAAAATTGATAGACCACTAGCAAGATTAACAAAGAAGAGAGAAGAATCAAATAGACGCAAAAAAAATGATAAAGGGGATATCACCACCGATCCCACAGAAATACAAACTACCATCAGAGAATACTATAAACACCTCTACGCAAATAAACTGGAAAATCTAGAAGAAATGGATAAATTCCTCGACACATACACTCTCCCAAGACTAAACCAGGAAGAAGTTGAATCTCTGAATAGACCAATAACAGGATCTGAAATTGAGGCAATAATTAATAGCTTACCAACCAAAAAAAGTCCAGGACCAGACGGATTCACAGCTGAATTCTACCAGAGGTACAAGGAGGAGCTGATACCATTCCTTCTGAAACTATTCCAATCAATAGAAAAAGAGGGAATCCTCCATAACTCATTTTATGAGGCCAGCATCATCCTGATACCAAAGCCTGGCAGAGACACAACAAAAAAAGAGAATTTCAGACCAATATCCCTGATGAACATTGATGCAAAAATCCTCAATAAAATACTGGCAAACCGAATGCAGCAGCACATCAAAAAGCTTATCCACCATGATCAAGTTGGCTTCATCCCTGGGATGCAAGGCTGATTCAACATACGCAAATCAATAAATGTAATCCAGCATATAAACAGAACCAACAACAAAAACTACATGATTATCTCAATAGATGCAGAAAAGGTCTTTGACAAAATTCAACAACCCTTCATGCTAAAAACTCTCAATAAATTAGGTATTGATGGGACGTATCTCAAAATAATAAGAGCCATTTATGACAAACCCACAGCCAATATCATACTGAATGGGCAAAAACTGGAAGCATTCCCTTTGAAAACTGGCACAAGACAGGGATGCCCTCTCTCACCACTCCCATTCAACATAGTGTTGGAAGTTCTGGCTAGGGCAATCAGGCAGGAGAAAGAAATAAAGGGTAATCAATTAGGAAAAGAGGAAGTCAAATTGTCCCTGTTTGCAGATGACATGATTGTATATCTAGAAAACCCCACTGTCTCAGCCCAAAATCTCCTTAAGTTGACAGGCAACTTCAGCAAATCTCAGGATACAAAATCAATGTGCAAAAATCACAAGCATTCCTACACACCAATAACAGACAAACAGCCAAATCATGAGTGAATTCCCATTCACAACTGCTTCAAAGAGAATAAAATACCCAGGAACCCAACTTACAAGGGATGTGAAGGACCTCTTCAAGGACAACTACAAACCACTGCTTGATGAAATAAAAGAGGATACAAACAAATGGAAGAACATTCCATGCTCATGGGTAGGAAGAATCAATATCGTGAAAATGGCCATACTGCCCAAGGTAATTTATAGATTCAATGCCATCCCCATCAAGCTACCAATGACTTTCTTCACAGAACTGGAAAAAAACTACTTTAAAGTTCATATGGAACCAAAAAAGAGCCTGCATTGCCAAGTCAATCCTAAGCCAAAAGAACAAAGCTGGAGGCATCACACTACCTGACTTCAAACTATACTACAAGGCTACAGTAACCAAAACAGCATGGTACTGGTACCAAAACAGAGATACAGGCCAATGGAACAGAACAGAGGCCTCAGAAATAATACCACACATCTACAACTATCTGATCTTTGACAAACCTGACAAAAACAAGAAATGGGGAAAGGATTCCCTATTTAACAAATGGTGCTGGGAAAACTGGCTGGCCATATGTAGAAAGCTGAAACTGGATCTCTTCCTTACACCTTATACAAAAATTAATTCAAGATGGATTAAAGACTTAAATGTTAGACCTAAAACCATAAAAACCCTAGAAGAAAACCTAGGCAATACCACTCAGGACACAGGCATGGGCAAGGACTTCATGTCTAAAACACCAAAAGCAATGGCAACAAAAGCCAAAATTGACAAATGAGATCTAATTAAACTAAAGATCTTCTGCACAGCAAAAGAAACTACCATCAGAGTGAACAGGCAACCTACAGAATGGGAGAAAATTTTTGCAATCTACTCATCTGACAAAGATGAGTAATATCTTTATCCACAAAGAACTGAAACAAATTTACAAGAAAAAAACAAAAACCCCATCAACAAGTGGGCGAAGGATATGAACAGATGCTTCTCAAAAGAAGACATTTATGCAGCCAAAAGACACATGAAAAAATGCTCATCATCACTGGTCATCAGAGAAATGCAAATCAAAACCACAATGAGATACCATCTCACACCAGTTAGAATGGCAATCATTAAAAAGTCAGGAAACGGCAGGTGCTGGAGAGGATGTGGAGAAACAGGAACACTTTTACACTGTTGGTGGGACTATAAACTGGTTCAACCATTGTGGAAGACAGTGTGGCAATTCCTCAGGGATCTAGAACTAGAAATACCATTTTGACCCAGCCATCCCATTACTGGGTATATACCCAAAGGATTATAAATCATGCTGCTATAAAGACACATGCACACATATGTTTGTTGCGGCTCTTTTCACAATAGGAAAGACTCGGAACCAACCCAAATGTCCAATAATGATAGACTGGATTAAGAAAATGTGGCACATATACACCATGGAATACTATGCAGCCATAAAAAAGGATGAGTTCATGTCCTTTGTAGGGACATGGTTGAAGCTGGAAACCATCATTCTCAGCAAACTATCGCAAGGACAAAAAACCAAACATCACATGTTCTCACTCATAGGTGGGAATTGGACAATGAGAACACTTGGACACAGGAAGGGGGACATCACACACTGGGGCCTGTTGTGGGGTGGGGGAAGGGGGGAGGGATAGCATTAGGAGATATACCTAATGTAAATGACGAGTTAATGGGTGCAGCACACCAACATGGCACCTGTATACATATGTAACAAACCTGCACGTTGTGCACATGTACCCTAGAACTTAAAGTATAATTAAAAAAAAAAAAAAAAACACACACTGCTGATGACCCAAAGCCACCAGATCCTTAGATAATATTTTTCTCTCTCTCTCTCTCTCTGTTAATCAAAAGTTCACCCAGGTCCCTTCAAGCTTTCTCTGGTTTTAATACTGTGTCTCTTTTCCCATCAAATGAGGAAAATAAGAACTTGCAATGCCAGGAATATATATCTCCTTTCCTTGGAAAAGTTGAAAAATGGATTCAAGAGTTTTATTGGGAGAAGGAGGAAGGTGATTTGGATAATATCAATAAAAATTATTATTTATTCCTGTGCCTCCAGTTCCTTTTCTCTACTAAGCCTCAGTTTTACATGTAAAACATGGGAATAATAACAGTACCTATACTTCATAGATAAGTGCATGGACTAAAGGAGATGATATGGTAAGTGCTTAGCATACTGCTTGGCACATAAGTATTCAGTAAAGTAAACCCACTTTAAAAGAATTTTAACCAAGTGCTAAGTCTGTTACATGCCAAACACCATATTAGTTCCACTCTGCTTAGGATGTAGAAAGCAGAAGAGAATGTTCTTCCCACTGTAACAAGAGAAAAGACCAGCTGATCTATAAAATCATAACTTTTCTTGAGTTTACCAGAGAGCTGAGTTTGTAAGATAACAAGGGAAACTGCTTATCTTAAAATCCATACAATGACAAGTCTCTCCCAAAGAGAAACAGAATACATAAACTGTTTTGCCTTTGGCAGACCACTGGAAGAAGTGATCACCACATAAGTGGGCAAGAAGATATCAGTTAAACTTTAATAAATTCTTAAACGTCTAGAGTAGATTAGTGTTAACAGTTTGGAATAACTCAGAGGCCAGGGACAAAAGGAGTCTGCAATAACTTGCAAGTCAATCCTTATGCCAGTGCCACACTGTTTTGGTTACTGTAGCTTTATAGTACTCTTTGAAATCAAGAAGCTTACTAGAAAGCCTGAGTCCTCCAACTTTGTTCTTTTCAAAATCACTTTTGATTATTTAGGGCACTTTGCATTTCCAGAGAATTTGAGGATCTGCTTGTCAATTTCTGCAAAAAATTTTCTGCCAACCAGGCAGCTGGGATTGCACTGAATATGTAAATCAACTTAGGAAATATCTGAACAATATTAAGTTCTCCAGTAGATAAACATGGGATGTCTTTCCATTTCTCTAAGTCCTTAATTTCCTCCAACAATGTTTTATAGTTTTCAGAGTATAAGTTTTATACCTCTTTTGTTAAATGTATTCCTAAATGTTTTATTCTTTTTGAGGTTATTGTAAAATTGTTTTCTTCATTTTCTGCATTGACTTTGAGTTACTTTGCAAAACCCAAACAAAACAAGGAACTGCATGTTTGTACATTCATAAATTGGGGCTAAATAATACACTGTCAAAGATACAATGCAAATCACAAAATATCTTAGAAATATAAATCCTGAGAAATGTTACAGGCCAGGCATGGTGGCACAGACCTGTAATCCCAGCACTTTGGGAGGCCCAGGCAGGCAAACTGCTTGAGTTCAAGACCAGCCTGGGCAACATGGCAAAACCCTGCCTCTACAAAAAATACAAAACATTAGCCGGGCATGGAGGCACACACCTGTAATCCCAGCTACTCAGGGTGGGAGTGCTGAGGCCGGAGGATAGCTTGAGTCCGGGAGGTCGAGGCTGCAGTGAGCCAAGACTGTGCCACTACACTCCAACCTGGGTTACCGAGCCAAGACTTTGTACCAAAAAAAAAAGTTACAAAAAGGAAGGAAATGACAGGATAGTCTGGCAAGAAAATTTGATTATGCTCCTTTGCTCTAATCTAGTCAGCAAAGCTAAACTTGTATACTTATATCTCATTTCCGAGGTACCTATTAAACATCTGGCTTCTGACACTGATTAAAAACAGTGTTAATAATAGCAAAAAACATAATTCTTGTTCTACATTTCATGAAACAAACAAAGGCTACGAGTTACATACTTCTGATCAGTTCTTCCTGTATCACTCAGAATCCACAATCATCAGAGATTCCTAACTTTTCCTAGAGGAGGAAGAACTTCATTTCCCCCAGGGTACTGATATTGTTGAGATCAACTTACATTTCCCCAGTAACACATTTTTTTTTGTGGAGATAGGATATCATACTGTTAATGGAACTTTCTTTCCTAAGAATCTCAGCAAAACATGCAAGAGAACTTGACAGAAAGAAGGAGAGGATTTGTGGCATAAAAGGGAGAAAGTGTCAAAGAGAGGATAACATGGGATGAAGATGGAAGTGAGGCAAAGAAAGGCTGTGAAGAGGGATGGGGAGGTAGGACCACTGACACAGAGTGATGAGACATGGCAGTATGGGAAGCTTTAAGAAAAAGCTCTACAATCTGATGTACTGATTATGTACTTTGGCAGTAGGCCTGAACTGTCCAATACAGTAGCTGCCTGTCACATGTGGCTATGTAATAAGTAAAATGTGGCTAGGTCAAATTGAGATATGCTGTAAGTATAAAATATCCCACAGATTTCAAGACTTAATACAAAAAAAAATGTCTTTAATAATTTTTTATACCGATTACATGTTGAAATGGTATTTTGAACATATTAGGTTAAAATATATTATTAATTTTACCTGTTATTACTTTTCTAATATGGCTACTAGAAAATGCAAAACCATACATGTGGTTCACATTTGTGACTTGCATTGTATTTATACTGTAGACAACAGAAACATTTACCTTAAGAATCACATGTATTTGGGCAATCCCTCCTATAAAGTCAATATGAAACCTTCACAATATTTTTTATTAGGGCTAAGAATGTCTGATAGAGCAAAAACAGATGGTAGACGTTTAGAATTTCATTCATTCTGATCTATCTATTATAGACCAAGGGAAAGTTTACAAATGATTCAGAGAAAACAATTTTGAGTTATGAATCACAAATATTTTTAGGATCTTAAATAGTGGTCTGTGTTGCTATTTATAAAGCATAAATGATATGTGAGTATTCCTTCATATGCACAACTAGCTTCCACAAAACCATTCAACTAAATTAAAATTAACTTCCCGAAATAAAGGGTTTGAAGACACTTAGGGCCTAGCAGTCTGGTCTTGAAAACAAGTCTATAAACTATTACCCAACTAGTAATGATGTTATTGCCCTGATGCCTATTCGCAGAGGGATAAAAGGATAGGGGAGAGAGCACAAGATCAACAAGGCATGCATCATTGAGTTTTTATTTTTTGTTTTCTGTTTATTTAATACTTAGTTCTTCAACATATAAAAGGAAAAAAACAAGAAATTCTGAAGTCACATGCCAATTATTCCCCACAGACAAAAAAAAAATATGCCACATTATGCCCCTCCTAGCTGCTGCCACTGGCACCCACACACACCATGAGGGGAACCTGAAAGCAGACCTGCCCACCTGTCACTCATGCACACCTTCCTGGGGCCTAAGAATGAGCCTACACAGCTTTCCGCTGCTACAACAATGAGCGGCACCCAAGCACACTGTCTGAGGGCTAGGGATTAGCCTGCCCCACTTGCCACAGCCTGCATTCAAGTGCAACATCAGGGAGCCTGGAGATTGACCCGCCACAACCCCCCACCTGCGTAATTATTCTGCGTGCTGCTTGGGAGCCAGAGGGATAGCCCACTGCTGCTCCTACCATCACCAAAACACATTGCCCAGGAGCCCAAGGACCCATACGCTCACCCAGCACACTGCTGCCACTGCTGACACCCAAGTAAAATGCCTGGAGGCCTAAGGATCAGCCTGTCCAGACTCACTACCTTTGGTGCACAGAACGCTGCCTGAAGCCCTAAGGATCAGCACACTCAGCCTGCTGTTGTCCAAGGACTGGCCTCTACCTGGTGTCCTCATCCCCAGCAAAGTTCTACTACAGCTTCCACTAACCACCACAGCCTAAGCCATTGAAAAACTCACAGACACAAATAACTGATTACAGCCCAAGATATCATACAGAAACTATGCTACTTTACCCACCCAGAATCAAAACCAAAGTGCCTGACCCAACCAAAAGAATAGATATATCTATAGGAAAAAGTATTTTCCCTATGAAAGCCAATCCATAAAATTTGAAGAAGTGACTATTATACTAGATGCACAGATATGAATGAAAGAACACAAGAAACATAAAAAAGCAAGGAAACATAACACCTCCAAAAGAACACAGTAATTATTCACCAACATTCCAATGAAAAATAAATCTTGCATCCCAGGGATGAAGCCCACTTGATCATGGTGGATAAGCTTTTTGATGTGCTGCTGCATTCGTTTTGCCAGTATTTTATTGAGGATTTTTCCATCAATGTTCATCAAGGATATTGGTCTAAAATTCTCTTTTTTGGTTGTGTCTCTGCGTGGCTTTGGTATCAAAATGATGCTGGCCTCATAAAATGAGTTAGGGAGGATTCCCTCTTATTCTATTGATTGGAATAGTTTCAGAAGGAATGGTACCAGTTCCTCCTTGTACCTCTGGTAGAATTCAGCTGTGAATCCATCTGGTCCTGGACTCTTTTTGGTTGGTAAGCTATTGATTATTGCCACAATTTCAGATCCTGTTATTGGTCTATTCAGAGATTCAACTTCTTCCTGGTTTAGTCTTGGGAGAGTGTATGTGTCGAGGAATTTATCCATTTCTTCTAGATTTTCCAGTTTATTTGCGTAGAGGTGTTTATAGTATTCTCTGATGGTAGTTTGTATTTCTGTGGGATCGGTGGTGATATCCCCTTTATCATTTTTTATTGCATCTATTAGATTCTTCTCTCTTTTTTTCTTTATTAGTCTTGCTAGCGGTCTATCAATTTTGTTGATCCTTTCAAAAAACCAGCTCCTGGATTCATTAATTTTTTGAAGGGTTTTTGGATGCAAGGCTGGTTCAATATATGCAAATCAATAAATGTAATCCAGCATATAAACAGAGACAAAGACAAAAACCACATGATTATCTCAATAGATGCAGAAAAAGCCTTTGACAAAATTCAACAACCCTTCATGCTAAAAACTCCCAATAAATTAGGTATTGATGGGACGTATTTCAAAATAATAAGAGCTATCTATGACAAACCCACAGCCAATATCATACTGAATGGGCAAAAACTGGAAGCATTCCCTTTGAAAACTGGCACAAGACAGGGATGCCGTCTCTCACCACTCCTATTCAACATAGTGTTGGAAGTTCTGGCCAGGGCAATTAGGCAGGAGAAGGAAATAAAGGGTATTCAATTAGGAAAAGAGGAAGTCAAATTGTCCCTGTTTGCAGATGACATGATTGTATATCTAGAAAACCCCACTGTCTCAGCCCAAAATCTCCTTAAGCTGATAAGCAACTTCAGCAAAGACTCAGGATACAAAATCAATGTACAAAAATCACAAGCATTCTTATACACCAGTAACAGACAAACAGACAGCCAAATAATGAGTGAACTCCCACTCACAATTGCTTCAAAAAGAATAAAATACCTAGGAATCCAACTTACAAGGGATGTGAAGGACCTCTTCAAGGACAACTACAAACCACTGCTCAAGGAAATAAAAAAGGATACAAACAAATGGAAGAACATTCCATGCTCATGGGTAGGAAGAATCAATATCGAGAAAATGGCTATACTGCCCAAGGTAATTTACAGATTCAATGCCATCCCCATCAAGCTACTAATGCCTTTCTTCACAGAATTGGAAAAAACTACTTTAAAGTTCATATGGAACCAAAAAAGAGCCCGAATCGCCAAGTCAATCCTAAGCCAAAAGAACAAAGCTGGAGGCATCATGCTACCTGACTTCAAACTATATTACAAGGCTACAGTAACCAAAACAGCATGGTACTGGTACCAAAACAGACATATAGATCAATGGAACAGAACAGAGCCCTCAGAAATAACGCTGCATATCTACAACTATCTGATCTTTGACAAACCTGACAAAAACAAGCAATGGGGAAAGGATTCCCTATTTAATAAATGGTGCTGGGAAAACTGGCTAGCCATATGTAGAAAGCTGAAACTGGATCCCTTCCTTACACCTTATACAAAAATCAATTCAAGATGGATTAAAGACTTAAACGTTAGACCTAAAACATAAAAACCCTAGAAGAAAACCTAGGCATTACCATTCAGGACATAGGCATGGGCAAGGACTTCATGTCTAAAACACCAAAAGCAATGGCAACAAAAGCCAAAATTGACAAATGGGATCTAATTAAACTAAAGAGCTTCTGCACAGCAAAAGAAACTACCATCAGAGTGAACAGGCAACCTACAAAATGGGAGAAAATTTTCGCAACCTCCTCATCTGACAAAGGGCTAATATCCAGAATCTACAATGAACTCAAACAAATTTACAAGAAAAAAACAAACAACCCCATCAACAAGTGGGCGAAGGACATGAACAGACACTTCTCAAAAGAAGACATTTATGCAGCCAAAAGACACATGAAAAAATGCTCATCATCACTGGCCATCAGAGAAATGCAAATCAAAACCACAATGAGATACCATCTCATACCAGTTAGAATGGCAATCATTAAAAAGTCAGGAAACAACAGGTGCTGGAGAGGATGTGGAGAAATAGGAACACTTTTACACTGTTGGTGGGACTGTAAACTAGTTCAACCATTGTGGAAGTCAGTGTGGCGATTCCTCAGGGATCTAGAACTGGAAATACCATTTGACCCAGCCATCCCATTACTGGGTATATACCCAAAGGACTATAAATCATGCTGCTATAAAGACACATGCACACGTATGTTTATTGCGGCATTATTCACAATAGCAAAGACTTGGAACCAACCCAAATGTCCAACAATGACAGACTGGATTAAGAAATTGTGGCACATATACACCATGGAATACTATGCAGCCATAAAAAATGATGAGTTCATGTCCTTTGTAGGGACATGGATGAAATTGGAAAACATCATTCTCAGTAAACTATCGCAAGAACAAAAAACCAAACACCGCATATTCTCACTCATAGGTGGGAATTGAACAATGAGATCACATGGACACAGGAAAGGGAATATCACACTCTGGGGACTGTTGTGGGGTGGGGGGAGGGATAGCATTGGGAGAGATACCTAATGCTAGATGACGAGTTAGTGGGTGCAGTGCACCAGCATGGCATATGTATACATATGTAACTAACCTGCACAATGTGCACATGTACCCTAAAACTTAGAGTATAAAAAAAAAAAAAAGATGGGAAAAAAAAAAGAAAAAGAAATCCATGAAATGCCTGACAAAGAATTCAAAAATATTAAAGAACGTCAGTGAGATACAAGAAAACACAGATAAATAATACAAGGAAATCAGACAAACAATTCATGACCTCAATGAGAAATTCAACAAAGAGTTAGAGTTTATAAAGAAGAACTAAATCAATCCTGAACTGAAGAACTCAATGAATGAAACAAAAAATACAATTGAGGGCAATAGCAGACTAGGTCAAGCAGAAGAAAGAATTTCTGAACTTAAAAGACAGACCCTCTGAAATAACCCTGTCAGAAAATAAATAAACAGAATAAAGAAAGCCTACATGAAATGAGGGACATCACAAAGTGACAAATATTTAAATTTTGGGAGTTCCGGAGAAGAGATGGCTAAAGGCACAAAAAACCTATTTAATGAAGTAACAGCTGAAAATGTCCCAAGTCTTGTAAGAGATATAGACATCCAAATATAGGAAGCTCAAAGATTCCCAAAGAGATTCAACCCAAAAATGTCTTCTCCAAGGCACACTAGTCAAGTTGTCAAAAGTCAAAGACCAAGAATTCTAAAAAACAGCAAGAGAAAATCTTACATAGAAGGGATATACAGAAGGGATTCCCATCAGATGGGAACAACAATAAAGTTGTTCCCAGATAAGCAAAAACAGGGAATTCATTATCATGAGACTGGACCTACAAGAAATGCTTAAGGAAATCTTACACCTGGAAGTGAAAGGATGCTATCTACCATCATAAAAACACATGAAAGCAGAAAGCTCACTGGCAGAACAGACACAAATGAGAGAAAGAAGTCAAATGTTACCACCACAGAAAACCATCAAACTGCAAAGATAAATAAGATAGGAAGAAAGAAACAAAAGATACAGAAAACAATAAAATGACAGGAATAAGTCCTTACCTATCAATAAGGAACCATGAATGTACATGGGTTAAATTCTCCACTTAAAAGATATAATTTGGCTGAACAGATTAATAAACATGACCCAACTATATGCTGCCTACAAGAAACATTTCACCTGTAGACACATATTGCCTGGAAGTAAAAGGATGAAAAAATATATTCCACACAAACAGAAACTAAAAGCAAAGCGGGGGTAGTTATGTAAGATAAAACAGACTTTAAGTCAAAAACTTTAAAAAGGCCTGGCTGGGCATGGTGGCTCACACCTGTAATCCCAACACTTTGGGAGGCCAAGGCAGGTGGATCACTTGAGGCCAGGAGATCAAGACCAGCCTGGACAACATGGTGAAACCCTGTCTCTACTAAAAATACACAAATTAGCTGAGCATAATAGCATGCGCCTATAATCCCAGCTACTCAGGAAGCTGGCGCAGAAGAATCGCTTGAACCCAGAAGGTGGAGGGTGCAGTGAGCTGAGACCATGCCACTACACTCCAGCCTGGGAGACAGAGTTTCCAAAAAAAAAGAAACAAAGTCTATGATAAAGCGATCAACTCAGTAAGATGATAAAACATTGTAAATATAGACGCACTCAACAAAAGAGCACCCAGATATATAAAGAAAATACTATTAGATCTAAAGGAAGAAATAGACTCCAATACAATAATAGCTGGGGGCTTCAACATCCCACTCTCAGCATTGGACAGATCATCTAGACAGAAAATCAACAGAGAAACATTGGATTTACACTGCACTGTAAACCAAATGGACCTAACAGACATTACTGGAACACTTTACCCAACAACTGCAGGATACATTCTCATCAGCACAACCTAATGAAGCACCTCGAAGAATTAGAAAAGCAAGAACAAACCAAACCCAAAATTAGTAAAAGACTTCATAAAGATAACATTGGAACTAAATGAGAGACTAAGAAAATACAAAGTATCAATGAAACAAAAGTTTTTTTTAATACAAAAACCAAAATCAATAAAACACCAGCTAGACTAACCATGGTCAAATCATCATATGACTTGCATACGTTGAATCATCCTTGCATTCCTAGAATAAACCCCACTTGATCATGGTATCTTTTTTTTTTATGTTGAATTTGGTTTACTAGTATTTTGTTGATTTTTGTAAAAAATGTGATACATTAGATCAACAGAATGAAGGTCAAAACCCATATAAACATCTCAACAGATACAGAAAAAGCACTTGATGAAGTTCAACATCCCTTCATGATAAAAACCCTCAACAAATTAGAAATAGAAGAAACATACCTCAACATAATAAAGGCTATATATGACAAACTCACACCTAACATTATGATGAATGGGAAAAGCTTTCCACTTTTCCTCTAAGAATGGGAACAAAACAACAATGTCCACATTCACCACTCTTATTCATCGTAGTACTTGAAGTCCTAGACAGAGCAACAGGAAAGAGAAATAAAGAGCTGCCAAATTGGAAAAGAGGAAGTCAAACTGTATCTCTTTGAAGATGAAATGATCTTATAGAAAAATCTAATGACTCCACCAAAAAACTCTCAGAACTGATAAAGAAATTCAGTAAATTACCAGATACAAAGTCAGCCAATATAACTCAGCATTTCTGTACACCAATAGCACACTAGTTGAAAAAAAAAATCAAGAAAGAAATCCCATTTATAATAAAAACAAAAAATGAAATAAAATACCTAGGAGTAAATCTGACTAAGGAGGCGAAAGCTCTCTACCAGGAAAACTATAAAACACTGATGAAAGAAAACTGGAGAGAACACAAACAAATCGGAAGACATCTCATGCTTATGAACTGGAAAAATTAATACTGTTAAAATGACCATACTGCCTAAAGCAATCTAAAGATTCAATGCAATCCCTATCAAAATACCAACGACAATTCTTCATACAAATAGAAAAAACAATACTAAAATTTGAATGGAACCACAAAAGACAAAGAATAGTCAAAGCAATACTGAGCAAAAAGAATAAATCTGGAGGTATCACACTACCTGATTTCAAAAAATACTGTAAAGCTGTAGTAACCAAAACAGCATGGTATTGGTATAAAAACAGGCATACAGACCAATGGAACAGAATAGAGAACCCTATTCTGTTCATGCATTTACAGCCAACTGATTTTCGACAAAGGCACCAAGAACACTGAGGAAAGCACGCCCTCTTCAATAAATGGTGCTGAAAAAATTGGATGTCTATATGCAGAAGAATGAAGCTAGATTCCTATCTCTTACCATATACAAAAACCAACTCAAAATGAATTAATGACTTAAACGTAAGACCTGAAACTATAAAACTCTGTATGACAGCCCTAGCAAACTAATACCTTATTCTAGTAAATAAGGCTGGAAAAGAAGGATGGAGTTTCAATTTCCTTACCAACATTTTGGTTTTAAATTCAACTATAACTGACATGTCATATTTATTCCTATATTCCCCCACTGAACATATTATCTTGCAAACTAGGCAGTCAATATATATTTATAGAATGAATAAAATGTACATGCTTCAAGTTAATTATTTTGTCCAAATGCATGCTTAACAAGACTTATTCTAAGCTGGGTGTAGTGAGTCATACTTGTAATCCCAACACTTTGGGGGGCTGAGGTGAGACGATCACTTGAGGCCACAAGATCAAGACCAGCCTAGGCAAGACAACAAGAGTCCTCCTCTACAAAAAATAAATTTTTTAAAAATTAGACAGGCATGGTGGTATACTCCTGTGGTCCCAGCTACTCGGGAGGGTGAGGCAGCAGAATTGCTTGAGCCCAGGAGTTTGAGGCTACAGTGAGCTAAGATCGTGCCACTGCACTCTAGCCTGGGCAACAAAGTGAGACTGTCTCAACCCCCACCACATAAAAAACAGACGAACAAAAAAACCCAAGACTTATTTGATTTATACAACAACAAATACATGTATGTTGAGACAGGGTCTCATTCTGTTGCCCAGGCTGAAGTGCAGGGATATGACTTGGCTCACTGCAGCGTCTGCCTCCTGGGCTCAAGCGATCCTTCCACCTCACCCTCCCCAGTAGCTGGGACCACAGGCACATGCCACTACGCCCGGCTAAGTTTTGTATTTTTTGTAGAGATGAGGTTTTGCCATGTTGCCTAGGGTGGTCTCAAACTCCTGCACTCAAGCGATCCACCTGCCTCGGCCTCACAAAGTGCTGGGATTACAGGTGTGAGCCACCCTGCTCAGGTAAGAACATATATTTTTTAAATGATTCTAAATGGCACTCTAAAATTGGGGGAAAAAAATTGATACTTTTTTCTTTCCCTTTACCAATAAACTTCAACTGCCCTGGTTAATCATGAAGAAAATTCAGAATAAATTATAAAAAGAAAACAAAATTTCAAAATAAATCATCTAAACTTCTGATAGTGACAAACTTAGGACTTGATTCTGATTCTGTTTTTCACAAGCTGTTCTCACAACCTGGAATGCTTTTTCTGCTCATGTTCTGTCTTCTCCCAAGATCCAGCTTCAATCTTTAAACTCCTCTGGATGCTTCTTTCCCAATTTACTCCAATTTGGCGATCTTTCCTTTCCTATATTACTATTTCCTAACACTCAGTAGTTGGATATATACATTTCATCAATTCTAAGATATATCCTTTTTTTCACATTTTAACAACACTGACATTAGGACGCATCACAATCAACATATTGTTATTGCTTCCTGCACATGTGTATCAGAAGCACCAGTACCAAAACTGGCAGAAAGGATGGTCAGTAATGTGGAGGAAAATTCTAAATATCAGAACAGCTCTACACAAGTACAAAGGTGTCTTAAGAATTCTGCAACAAAGATTTTTGGTTCTTTTATGTATTCTTTTAAGAAATGCTGCGTCATCAAAGTTCTCAATGGCAAAATGGATGACACTGAATAGAAAAGCATCAATATCAGTGGCTGAATCAACAAATTATTAGAAAGAGTTGGATTGTGAACGTGAAGTATTAGGAAAATCTTAACCAATTTATTTTACTACATTTTTTATGTATGAAGATGAAATATGATAAAAAAAAATTTATGTCTAATTAGGAGAGTTGTTTCAATATGTATAAAATTAAAATTTTAAGGGAAAAGCACTGTGTCAAAGTTTTTTCTATCTTAGTAATTCATAAAATAATGGTATATTTCACAAAGGCATTTCCAATTCATTTAAATAGAATACTCTTTTTTTTCTAGTCATTCCTGAGAATAAATAAGTCTCATTATTCCACAGGACTGTACACTGTTTAAATATTGTTATCCTTCTCTTTTACCCCCAACATCACTAAGATCAGCGCTGGGCACAGAATATTTGTTCAATATCTGTTGACTGGCTGAGACCCAGTCAGGTAGAGACAAAGGCTTAATGTCATGGAAAGAGCGCAGGGCTAGAAACCAGGAGGCACAGATTCTAATGCCAACTCTGGCATGAACTTACTTTAGCTACAACCCTTCTGGGCCTTAGTTACCTTATCTATAAAATAAGAAGGGGCCAGACTAGATTGTAGGCTAGACTAGACTAGAGCTAGACTAGACCGCTAAATCAATGTTTAAGGAGTTGATAGTCTTGTAGAACTAATGAGACTTATTTTCAGAAATGATTTTAAATGCTAACATTCCACTTTTAAAAAATGACTTGTGCAGTTCTATCTCTAAGACAGGATAAAGCTCTAGCTCTGAGTCCTTATATGTCAAGGACTATACTATAAATTCTGGCTCATCTTGGAAGATAGGAATAAGAACGTTTTCATGGGTACTTTTAATTAAACACAATTAAACATAACAAACCACTTTACAGTTATAGGTAAAACAAATTTAAATGAGAGGCACTGGGGGTTACAGTGACAAGGACAACAAGATTTGGGCACAAGTTGGTGGTGTGAAATTACTACAGTTGCTTCAAAAATCTATTTACATAGAATTAACCCATATAATCAATTCTCAATTATGTAGGTGAGGTTATTCAAGCCCTTCATTTCTGTTTTTCTCTTCCACTTAACTGCTTGTTAACTCACTTTCTACTGAAGAAAATCAATTTAAGATTTTATGATTTACTATATATATACCCTGACAAATTAAAAAATGCCCTAACCATACTCCACATGCCATATCTCATGGAATTCACTGAAACAAGCACTGCCAAGGACAGAGCAAGGTACACTAGGAATCTGAATCTTCAGGCAAGAATCCTTAAATAAAAGCTTCCTTGTACTGACAATACAGGCCCAGAACTGTTCACCTTTCTGCAGTTTTGAAAGAGGATCAGAAATTAAAATGCTGCTGGCTTCTATACTGATTCTGAGGAAAAAATGTTATGCAACAAATATAACAGAGCTCAAAGGGAGATTTTTAATTTTAGGAGTCACCTGGTTACAAAAACAAAAACTATGAGTGATGGAATCTACTTAATGTTCCCTCTTTCTGTTTGGACCAGAGATCTAGTCATCATTCACTAATGGATTGAACAATAAAAACAGAGTACATAATTCACTCAGATTCTTCACTGAATGTCCCAACTGACTGCATTAGAATATACAGCATCTGGAAAGTGAGTCAATAAATCCCCACTTAGGCAGTCAATAACATGTCAATTCAGACATCTTTATAAAATATGAATTAGAAATCTGTTAAAATGAGCTGGAACTTTTAAAAGATATTGTGAAAAAAATTAGAACGACAGGTGAGGGGGTACAAGGGAACTCTGTACTCTGTTCAATTTTTTAAATAAATCTAAAACTACTCAAAAATAAAGTCTATAGATTTTTTTAAAATGGAATAGAAAACAGAAATTAGAAACAGAACAGCATAGTAAAAGTGGGAACTATAATCTCTTGTTTAATTCTATAGCCTCACCAACATGAAACTGCATCAACCAGTCTAGCATTGGGGGATCTAATCCCCTTTTGTTCTTTTTCCCCTGTCCTATCCCTCTAATCTCCTTTTGAAGTCATATTCTGTGTCACTTATCAGGCAATGAAATACAGTTTTAGTACATCTGTTATAAGGTTGTTTTATATTAATTTCCCTGCAGATTGCTGTGGGACTAGTCACATAGTTACATACTGTCTCTCCAAATAAAACATGAACAACTTCAGAGCAAAAGATGGCATGCAGCACAGTGCCTTTAACATAGCAGTGATAACAACACATATCTAGCTATTAGGGATTTATAGTTTATCAAACTCTAAGTGTTCAATATTTGCTATTCAACTGAAAGGTGATGGGCTACCAACTATTTATGAGGCCTCGAGGGGTTGGGATATGAAGGGCTTTCCTCTCTTTGTATGTTACATAATTTGCTTTTAGTGACTGGATTATAAATTTTTCCTTTCAGTTTTGGGTTTTCCACTTAACATGGACACCATTTTTGCAAAAGACTATAGGGAGACAGAGACAGTATAACAATGTAAGTTAGCACACACTGAGAAGTAAGATGGGTGGGAAAAGATGGTATTCCTTTTACTCTTCTCTTACCCATTATGGTCTACATACTATTATAGAATATGGTGGTATAATATTAGTGGCCTTCTGTAACCAAGGGAAGGCCTCAAATTCTTAAAAAGTTTAGGAGATACTACTTAAATATTTACCCCTATCTAAAAATTCAAATCAGTGCCAGAAATGACAATGAAGGTAACAAATGCTGGTATCTATCAACATCAATGTTATGTTCTTGGTATCCCATTAATCCTCCTACCAACAGATCTGATGATCAGTACAGATGGCAGTAGGGCTATGAAAGTATTTTCTAATGAAAAATAACTCCTGTGTTCTTCTACCAAGAATTCAGAGGGCTAAAAAAAGTCATGCCAATATCATCTCCTTCATCAATTACCACCTTAAGTTTCTGGGCATTCCATACCGTGGCTTTAGGAGACTAAGTGTGATTCTTGGAGACTCATCAAGAGTTGCAGTTCTGGGAGCTCAATAATGACCTACTTATACTCTAACCCCCTAAGGCAGTTTTGGAGGTTCAAATGTCACAGGAAATTGCTTCACAAGCCAATGGCTGTCACACCTTGCTCTACAGCATACCTGACTATTAGAAGTATTAGACATACCTCCATATGTCTAGCTGCTATCAATCAAGAAACAGGCCAGCTGGGATGATAGCCAAAAACCTTTAGTTGGAAAGTTTTCAAGGGAGGCAGGCACTCACTCTGCTTTAGCACTTAATAAAGTATGTTTGGAGCAATAAAAATAATAAACCAGAAGTCATCAAAGGGCTATTAATGTTGCTGGATTTGTGACATCTTTTAATAACAGTATCATTATTACATTTTCTAAAACCCAAAGCAGAGGAGTTGGATCTGCTACTTGCATTCTCAATCCATTTCCCTCCTTCCTGCTCTCAGTTATGCTCATTCCTCAACACAGACCCTACTCTTTTCCAAGTACCTCCAAACATAAGCCAAACACAACACCCAGACACTGTCCATCTTCAGCTTAAAATACTATATTCTCTGTTTTCCTCCCAATCCCAGCTTTAGGTCATCCCAATGTCCTCTTTATGTTACTATGCTCCTCGAAATACTGAGTTGTTGCCTAAATTATCTTACACCTAAACACTGGAAAGACCTGAAAAACTGAGTTGTACACCTGAACTCCCCCTCTTCCAATACACAAGCCATATCCATAAGCTACCCCACTGAATCCAAGTTCCAGCCCCTGATGTTTTGAAAGCCCCTGGAAGCCACCCTAAAAAGACAGAGCCCCCAACTCTGCCCTATCAACGCCATCCATTGGATAAATATTTACTGAGTACTACACCATGTGTAAAAGGCCATGAGAGCCACGCTCTTCTTTTGGAGGAAGCTGTTCATCTCTCCTCCATGTTCATGTGCTCTCTCTATTCCTCATGCAGTCCTTTCACCAACTCTTGCGAACACTGTTTCTTTTCTCAGACTAAAGCCTTCTCTCAATGCTTTAGTTCTTAATAACATCTCTATATTCACCTAGCTTCCCACCTTATTATTATTTCTTAACCTGATTTGGATCTCAAACCTCTACTGAACAGTATTTTTCTAATTATGGGCTGACAGTCATTTGCAGTTCCCTACTCACATTCTGATATAGATTTAAGTGTATTACCTTTGAGCAGTGGTTCTCGGGCTTTATGTGCATCAGAATCCCCTGAAAAAGTTGTAAATAGACAGTTTGCTGGGCTAAATAATTTGAATTTCTAACAAGTTCCTAGGTGATACTCATGCTGCTGGTCTAGGGACCATACTTTGGAAATCACTGCCTTTGAGAATCTGATGAAAGCTATGAAAAAACACACATACGTACATATAATTTTGCATGTAATTCAAGGGGCTCATGGATGCTCATTCATAGGTATTCTCCGCTCTATATTTTGTTCTAAGGAATGTTTAAGATATAGTGTTTCCTGACCTGACAGGATGTGCTCGTTTGTGGTACAGGGAAATTCTTTCTGTGCAAACAGCTCCCACGAATGAGGTGGGATTGCTTGGTATTGGAAAGTCAGTTCTATCCAATGGACCGCCCTCTTCAGTATTATGTGGCTCTTTTACAGGCATGTGATAATTTTTCTATACTTCCAGCTTAATTCTCAGAACAAAAGACTCATCACTTAGTATTCAAAAGGGTCTTTGGAATGCCTCAAAAGAAATCCTTTAGGTGAGGAAATAGTCTCGTAGAGAGAACATAAACATTGGATTAAGACAGAACTAGACTGAAATCCTGATTCTGCCTTTCCTAAAGGTGTGACCACTGAGCTTCAACTTCCTCATTTATAAAACTGGTGCTCTTATAGGAAAATAATTTTTTCCTTTCCAGGCAAAGTTATGTGAACCCACTATAGGGAAGGAAAGAGGGAGTGTTCTACTACTTAAAACCAGTGATTCTTATTTAAGGTAAGGAATTTAAATGTTGGATACAGAGTAAACATTTAAATTAAGAAAACAAAAAGACTGAACTGAGTAATTTCTAAGATGCCTCAAATCTAACATTTATTTATGAATTCTAATTGGCCAGCATATCATTATTCACTTACATCTTCTATTTATGCTAAATGGGTAATTCATTCTTCAATTTAACCCAGTATAAACTCCTTAAAAAACAATGATACTTTCTTGTATTTTACCCTTCTTTTCTCTACTTCCTTCCCTCTACAGTGTCTAACACTCCAACATCCACTAGAAAATAAAATATAAATAACAATAGTAATAAATTATTCTCCTTCCCTTAAATAGGCCCATGTAAAAGATACCTTGTCAACATAGAAAAACCTTTTTGAAGAAGTTTTCCTTTGCATTTCCTTGACAGATAGTTAAAATCCATTAAATTCATCTTTATTCCATAAAATCTCTCAGGGCTTGGCTATTATAGATACAGCTCAATTCTGTATATTTTATTTTTTAAAGATCTATCAGATATTCTCTTCTTAATCTACAAGCCTATTAGTTTATTGCAGGAACTCTTAAATATCAGTGAATGTGCATCACTGTCTATCAAAATTACCACTGAAATCCTAATTTATAAACTAACTAAGCATCAAGCAATTTCAATTAAACATACCTCTTGTAGAAGACGTGGATCCAGGCAGTCACCATCATCGTTAAACATAGACTCCCAGCTCTCCTCAATGGCAGTAATTCCCTCTGTGTGAGAAGTTTCAGTTGCTTTTGGTTCGATGGATGTTTCCATAGATGATGATTCCCTATCAGGAAAAGATACACCAAATTCTATACTCCCTGAGTCATCTTGCTCTTCTGTTTTGAACTCTTCGGCAGTTCTTAGTTCGTGCAATGCTTCTGTTGTATCACCAGTACTACCCAGGTCAATGCCCACGGCACTGTCTGAAAGAACTTTTGTCCCATTTAACATACTGAGTTCAGAGTCCAAAAAAGTGTTATAATTACTACCAGCAATCTTTTTTATAGGTAAGGAGGAAGCACAATCTGACAAGCTCTCTATCAACTTTCCTGTTGACTCTGTAAAATGAGATGAAATACTCTCACCATAAATATCTGAGCAAGCAGAAGGGTTGCTGAAATCTTCAGTGTCATTCCCACTTCTAGCTACATGAAGAGGGGTTGCATCTGCACTCATTCCTACAAACTTTGAGAAACTTCGTGTATTAATAGAGGTCTCATCAGCTATTCTAACTGCAACTACATAAGGGCTATCAACAGTTACATGATCACTACAGGACATACCTGTAGTGTCCATCATACATGCTTTATTGGTAATGTCACCTACATTCTTAAATCCACTATCTCTATGTGTTTCATGAGCAAGGACAGCTGTATCAGGAGGTTCGTGCTTTACATGTAACTCATCAGCAGTGCTGTCATTCTTCTCACATTCTCTAATCATTACTGGACTAACAGTGTCATTTGTGCTCTCTGACAGAGAGATGTGACCCATAGTTGCAGGAATGGAATCTGTATCTTTTTGATCTAAGATGAAACCTGTACTATTGGCTATACCACCTACACTCTCAACTTCAAAATCTACGCAAGTTTGATCAAAGACACCATCTGGACTTCCAGGAACAGAAGTAGTGGTGATGCCTCCGCTGCTGGGATTCAATATTCCATCTGATGTTTGCATGCTTTGTTGTACAATTTCAGAATCAGAGCTTAGTTTTATTGGTACAATCATATTCTCAGGTTTCATGACAGAACTAAAAACTCTAGGAAACTCATATAGTATCTCCAAAACCTTGGTATCAGTTTCAATTCTGCCTTCCAAATCTTTGTCTTCAAATGCTTCCCCATCAGGTTCATGCCTACTGAAGTCACAGAATTCCACATTTTGGAATGGTTTGCTTGGAACTTGAGCCTCGCTGATTTCTAAACAGGCCTGTGAAAGAAGTATCCTCTCATGTCCTGTCACATCCGTAGTTTCAACTTCCAAACACTCCACCTTCTTTGGTTTAAAATGTCTCTGCAAAGGTGCATTAGTTATAACCCCAGCATTTGGGGCTCCCTGCTGTTGTCCTTGGGATAATACTTCTTTGGATTCAGTGGTTCCTCTCTTAGAACAAACTCTATTTGTTTTTTGAAGGCATGTGTCCATTCTTAATTTTGTTGAAGATTTCTTTTCTTCTCTACAATTATGCTCCTTTCTATCAGGATTGATATTTAGTCTTCGAGCCTCCGGTTTGTCTTTAAAGACTTCTTTTTGGGAGAGAGAACTTTCTTTTTGCTTTTCTTTCACCACAGAGTTAGGTGAACCACAGCTTTCTTCTTCATCACCTGTCTTAAGGAGTACTGCACCCCTACGAGCTTTAGGTACATAAAGTGCCATGTCAGGCCTTCTGGCTCTAACTCTGCATCTCTCTGATTCTTGCTGCATGGCACCACCACAATCTGCAAGAGAAGAATGATTTAATTATTAGACACTAATTACAATGTATTGAACCAAAATATTTTCTTTTTTCTTTTTGGGACAGAGTCTCACACTGTCACCCAGGCTAGAGTACAGTGGAGCGATCTCAGCTCACTGTAACCTCTGCCCTTCCAGGCTCAAGCGATCCTTCCACCTCTGCCTCCTGAGTAGCTAGGACCAGACACATGCCACCATGCCTGGCTTTGTGGTTTTGTTTGTTTGTTTTTGTATTTCTGGTAGAGACCGGGTTTCATCATGTTGCCTAGGCTGGTCTCAAGCCCAGGCTGAGCTTAAGGCAATCTACCCACCTTTGTCTCCCAAAGTGCTGGGATGACAGGCATGAACCACTGTGCCCGGCCTTTTTTTTTTTCTTTAATTTTTTTGTTGTTGTTGTTCAACATAAATATACATACACATAAAGTGATTTCTGAGAGTAACTTGAATGTTGGCTAGAAAATGAAATGACTTATCAGAGAATGCTTTCTAGAAGATGCTGCTTTTGATCTAAGATATCTTAGAAAAGAGAAAGTAGTGAAAAAGAGAAAAGTATTATTCTATTAATACCATTTAGTCAAGTGACTTGCTATCAATTTCCCTTGCTTCCAGCAGTAATAAAACAGATCTGGCTAGGATGAAGGAGGATAGAAGACCAAGGAAACTGTGATGAGACAATTCACTCTAGTAACTCCCTGACAACCTCCACCATGGTTGCTCAATGGAATTTAACAAGAAGAAATATAACAAAAGTTAAAAAAATCTTTATCTACTATCTACTAAAATACAAGAAAATGTGCTAGGGAATTTCATATTGAATTATTCTTTTAATTTTCAAAATAATGCTATGAAGTAGGGATAAGTTTGTCCAGGACAAAGAGAATAAGGAGGTGCTATACACAACAGAGAAACACCCACATACACACAGATGCACACACTGTTAACATTTCACAACGTACATTTCAAAAGAAGGAGATAATGAGAAGGCAGAGAGGAAAAAAGGCTAACGCATCCTGTCCACTCTATTCCAGATCCCTAAAATTTCACCTGGTCCAGAATACTTCCTTGATGAAAAAGCTCTATTCTCATGGCACAGGTTATTTTCCTTTCAGCCCAAGTAATACCGTGGCCCTGATCATCAAGTATCTCCAGTGATTATCTTGTTCCTTTTCTCTTTTGGTATCTTAGTTAACATCTAGCCCAACATTCTTCATGTATTTTATATCTTCCATTTGAGGAAGAATATGACCTTAACATTTAGGCATGCCAGGATTTTTCAAAAAATGCCTAATTTTCAAAGACAGAAGTACTGAAGTGTGTTTCATAGAAAGGGATACCAGAGACATAGCACACCTGGATTACAGTAAGTAAAACATCTGACAAAATATATCATAATGAACTTCTGGATATAAAATGATGAAATGGGGATTACTTAGCAAAACTGATAAGTGGACTCACAAAAGATTAAACAAAAAATAATAATAATAATGGGTAGAAATGAATTTAGAGATTAGTTAAAGGAGGATTATATAGCCCTTTGAAATTCAACAATTTATACAATAATTTAGATGTAAACAATAAACACTGAGTGCTTATCAAGTCTGCAACTGACACAAAAATGACAGAACTAATAAATACCAAAAATTATAAAATTAAAATTCAATATCATTTCTATAATCTGAAATGCTGTGCTGAAAGCAATATGAAGGTTTAAAGCAGTAAATACAAGGATCTCTTTTGGAGGTTTTTTTTTTTTTTTTAAAGAATCAAACAAAAGACAGAAGACGTGACTTCTGTATAATTTGCATAAAGAAAGATCTAAAGGCTTTTATTTGTTCACAAGGTCAATAAAAGCCCCAAAATAGTGATGTGATGTTTAAAAAGGTAACACACTCTTAGATTACAGAGTCTAGAAAATATGTCATACAATGTAGAGCTAAAAGAACTAAAGGTATAATTCTTGCCCAAAGAGGTCTCAATGAAAAACCACAGCTAACTTTATACCTGAAAGATCAGTTGCTCTATAAAAGAGACAAGATTTCTTGTTTATGTTTCTATGTTTCTCCAGAAGTCAGTACCAGAACCAATTGTTAGAAATAAAAGGAAAACAAAATTTAGCTCAAAGTAAGAAAGAATTCTACTACTAGATTTCTCCAATGTTATTACCAGGAAATGAGCTCTGTCTCTAGCAGAATTTAGATAAAGGCTGGATGACTGACATATACTAGAGAAACTCTAAATTCTATGATTCTATTTCTAATCTGCAATAGACCTATCAAAGGCTTCAAATTATCTACTTTAAAATTATTATGTGCCACAGTTAATGACTTTACAAATTCAACCTTTTTTTCTTAAATAATGCTCACATGTAATACTATTTCCTATAGCTGAAAATCAGTATAATAAATTTATATTATTATCTATTTCCTACCAAAGCAATGATTTCGACTGTGCCATGACCAGCAGTGTGCTGGCAAATATTCAGCAATCAGCTTTCCAAGTGTCCTTTGTAGTATTACTTGATGTTTTTCTTTATGTCACTGATGTCAATGATGTGAGCGACTTCTTAGCTGAAGTAATCATTTTTTAAGAATGGAAGAATATATACTTTTTTTTAGTTACAATATAATAACTAAAGGCATGACACATTTTTATTAGCAGCATTTTCTCCATCACTTTAAGTCTAGACAATCAAGAAATAAGAAATCAAGCCCTATTTATGGCATTTGACAATCTCTGTAGCGTAAACATTCTTCCCATAGCTAATTTCTAGTTATCATTGTGAGATCACCAAATATAGAGTTGGGGAAAAAAATGTACAAAAGCACACCATTCTATTATTTCAACCAGAGGTATGATATACTTACATAAATAGCTTGAAAAGCATAGATTATAATAAAATGTAGTAAAATAATTAGGAAGTGATGAGTTTGAAGTATTTATTAGCTTTTAAAATGTAATTTTAATAGTAAGCCTATGTTCTTTAGTTTTTAATAATAGCTGTGTTTAACAATCAGTTTGCAGAATTCCTAAAATTTTAACAATCAGGTCTCAGGCCAGTAGGAGACACTCCAATCCACCAGTATGCCCATTTTTTCATAACTCACAGACACAAAAAAGGAGAAGCATCCCCATTCTTGTGGACTGTCAGGATACAGTAGTCCCCACTCTTATCTGCGGCAGATATGTACCAAGATCCCCAATGGATGCCTGGACCATGGATAGTACCAAACCCCAAATATATTGTCTTTTACTACACATACATACCTATGATAAATTTTAATTTATAAATTAGGCACAGGAAAAGATTAATAACTAATAAAACAGAACAAGTATAACGATACGTAATATTGTTATATATAATATATAAAAGTTACGTGAATGTGGTCTCTCAAAGTATATTATAGTATGCAATATTTTCATACATGGATGACCACAGGAACTGAAATCATGGAAAGCAAAACCGTGGAAAAGAGGAGAACACTATATTGCCAATTTAATTTAAAGCCTTATTGCATTTTTATGAATTTCTTTTGCAACTATAGGCAAGAAACGCTTTTCACATTGGGAGTGGGGCTGCCTGCCATACAATTTTTTAAAATGTACCTTGGATTAAACTTTTCCCATCCTGCTACTTGCTATTTACTAATAGCACTTGATCTTCTCTCTCTCTCTTTTTTTTTTGAGACAGTTTTGCTCTTGTTGCCCAGGGTGGAGTGCAATGGCACGATCTTGGCTCACCACAACCTCTGCCTCCTGGGTTCAGGCTATTCTCCTGCCTCAGCCTCCCAAGCAGCTGGGATTACAGGTGCCCACCACGCCTGGCTAATTTTGTGTTTTAAGTAGACATGGGGTTTCTCTATGTTGGTCAGGCTGGTCTCAAACTCCCGACCTCAGGTGATCCGCCCACGTGGGCCTCCCAAAGTGCTGGGATTACAGGTGTAAGCCACCGTGCTGGGCCGATTATTTTCTCTCTTTTAACACAGTTTTAACTTTTTCGCAATGTTCTAAGTGCTTTTTATCCATCTAATTTGCTTCTTAACTGGACAGAATCCATTATTTGGGGTGCATTTTGCAGCTAATTTATGCTTGAAGGACCATCAGCATGCACTCTGTTCAAAAATCACACTTTCTAAAGGGGATAAAAATTCAGATTCCTTCATAATGGAGGTCAGTCAATTGCTAACACATGCCTTTAAAATATTTTAGGCCAAATCATTTTTTTCTGTTATACTGTTGAACACTGGGATCATACCTGAGCACCTGTCCAATTACTTCTACAGTTTCCACGGCTCCCTGAGAGAAAATATTGGTAACTTCCTTTAAGTACCTCTCTGATTCATCTTCATGAGAAATTGAACAAGCACACAATAAATTGGGCTTTCATATTTTCACAACAGAACATCAACGCTTTTTGTCCCATATTTGGTATCTAAAACATATGGATCCCTCTTCAATCAACAACTGAGTATTGGCACTTAAGGCACTCACTGGGTAATTCAACCATGAATTGATTTAATCCAGTATTTACCAAAGACTCACATGAGACATCTGATATTTGAGAGAAACTGCCTAATGAGCATACTATTCATTCTTCTAGAACAAATTCTGTATTTGTTAGTTCATCAGAATGCACCATAGCTAAACTATATATATTGTCTTAACATTTTATTTGGGAATAATTTCATACCTATAGATGTTACAAAAGTAAAAATAATACAAATGGTACCCTTATACTGTTTACCCATATTCACCTATGGTTAATATTTCACCTCATTTATCATTTGGAATCATGCATATATTCCTCCTCCTCTTCCTCTCTTTACATACACATACACACACATGCAGTTTTTTTCCTGAATATTTTTGAGGGCAAATTACAGACATCATGGCCCTTTGCCCTAAATACTTCAAAGTATAATGTATTTCCTATAAATAGGGATATTCTCTTATGCAGCCATAATACAGTTATCAAAGTCAGCATATTTAACACTAATATAATACTTTCATTTAACATAAGTAATCCAGTTTTGTCAAGCGATCCTGTAATGTCCTTTATAGAATATTTCCCTTTCCATACAGGATCCAGTTAGGGTCAGGTAGTGCCTTTAACTGCCAGGTGTCTTAAGCCTCCGACATTCTAGAACACCTCCACAGTGAAAGCTGTCATTTATGACACTGACATTTTGGGAGAACAGCTCCCCTCCCCACTCTATTTTTTTTTTTTTTCCTGTGACGGAGTCTTACTCTGTCACCCAGGCTGGAGTGCAGTGGCACAATCTCAGCTCACTGTAACCTCCGCCTCGCAGGTTCAAGTGATTCTCCTGCCTCAGTCTCCCAAGTGAGTAGCTGGGACTACAGGCGACTGCCACCATGCCTGGCTCATTTTTATAATTTTAGTAGAGACAGGGTTTCACCATATTGGCCAGGCTGGTCTCAAACTCCTGACCTTGTGTTCCGCCCGCCTCAGGCTCCCAAAGTGCTGGGATTACAAGCGTGAGCCACCGCGCCCGGCCCCCACTCTATTTTTTAAGAGAATGCTCCTTATGTAAGGTTTGTCTGATGTCTTCCCGTGATGAGACTGAGGTTACACATTTTCAGCCAGAACACTTCATGGTGGTGATGTGTCCTCAGGGCATCACATCTTGAGGCACATGATTTCCACCTGTCCTTCAGTGATGCTCTTAACTTTGATCATCCAGTCCCAGTATTGTCCAATTTTTCTACTGTATAATTACTATGTATTTTCTCCCTTGCAATTAATAAGCGGTGTGTGGGGTAGCACTTTAAAAGCATGCAAATTTTCTGCTTCCTCATCAAAACCAGGTAGCATCCTAAATTTGTTTATTCTTCTCTGATTCCATCTTTACTGTGATGGTTGCAAAACAGATGATTTTCCAACTTGAGGGGTCCCTGCATATTTTACCAGTCAGGCCTTGGAATTTTTCTGAAAGCAAAAGTAAATCATTTATCTTAGCTCACTAGAGACGCTAAGATTCCCTAAATTAAAATTTAATGTTAAAATCTCAGCCAGAGGCATGCGCCTGTAATCCGAGCTCTTGGAAGGCTGAGGTGGGAGGACAGCTTGAGGCCACGAGTTCAAGGCTGCAGTGTGCTATGACTGTGCCTGTGGATGAACAACCACTACACTCCAGCTTGGGCAAGGTAGTGAGACCCCGTCTCTTTAAAAAAAAAAAAAAAAAAAATCTCATCTTTCATAGTCATTGGTCAATAAAGAAAATATCCATCCAAAAAACATTTCCTAACTTTTGCAAAATCAAGGCTGAAGGCAACTATCATTTTTCCAGTGTCTCACTTATAAAACAAAGGAAAGAAAGCTGTCTCTCTGACAAAGTCATATAGTTCCTTTACCAGACATAGCATAACATGTGTCTCATTCTGCTTTCTTTTCTAGAAAATACAGAATTAAGTTTGGTGTTCAAATGCAATGACTAATGCATCTCAGGTGTCTGATAATATTTGTTTCCCTGTCCCTTTATAAAGTCATCTCCAATTCCCTTGAGAAGGAGGCAAGGCACATGGGAGGGTACGGAAGGAAAATATTTTTGTGGAAAATACTTAGACAGTATATTCATTTCAAATCTATTTTCTGAATAATATCTTTAAGTTTTATCAACTTAAATATGTTTGAATGACAATATATTCTTTGGAATTATAAAATGTCTTAAGTGAGGTATTCAGTATATTGAGTTCTAATCCTGGCATCCTCTTCAAATGATATGCAAAAAACTATGCAACAGAAAGATATTTATATAAAGCATTCACTACCAGACCACTACCAGACCATTACAATTCTCATACATTTAAATGCCAATGCAAATATCTTGAATGTTAAGATTCAACAGACAGGCTTTTAATTCAAGATGACAGATTAAGCACACAAGTAAACCCCCCTAAAATGGATCCACATCTATATGGAATTCATTTTATAATAAACGTGGCACTCCAAATCAATGGAAAAATATGGAACATTCAATGTCAGGACAAATGCCTAGCTGTTCATTTGGCTTGTCAATATTGAAGGTTTTGTGTGTATATTCAAATGAGACTGGTCTACGATTTTCCCTCCCAGTACTGGGAGTTATATGATTGGGTTACCAAGGTTACTGCAAGACACACTATGTAAGTTAAAGATTTATAAAATAAGGCTGGGTGGGCTTACTGTTGGTAGAATTCCTTGGCAGCACTGTCTGGGACTCATACTTTTTGGTGAAGATGTTTAAAAATCATTCATTTTCTTTAATGTTAAAGGTCTATTCTAGTTTCTCTTTCTTCTTCTAGAAAATCTGCCTTTGACCTAGCTTTTCAAATTTGATATAAAAGTTATTCACAGTAAGTTCTTGTTGTTGCTTTAGCTCTGCTATATGTCCCCTTTTTTGTGCTTAATATTATTTATTTGTGCTTTCTTCCTTTTGTGTTGAGCAGTGCCGACGGAAGTCTATTTTATAAGTCTTCAATGGGCCAGATTCTATACTACAAAAGTTATTGCTCTAAGCCTTAGTTTACTTAATGCATAAAATGGGGATAATAACAGACTTATAGGCACACTGAGCAGATTACCTAAAAATATGCATGTACAGAAATTTGCCAGGCATGGTAAAAGTCTCCATAAAAGTCAGCTATTATTACTTAAATGGACATTGAATCCCTTAAGTTACAAGTTTGCAGACGGAGTCAAGGCCCTTATGATACACTAGTATTCATAATGTCCCCTGATATCTGTTTCTACTAGACACTAACACCTATTGCAACCATGTATCCTGGTTTTGTTTATCAATTTCTCACTAATAGCCTATTGCTGTAAATACTCAATCACACGAAGTAAATACAATGCAACTCAGTAGTAATGTGAAAATACAAACCCTCAAAAGAATGCAGGATTTCATGAAGTCTATGAAAATAATATTAAAGAAAATGCTCATCTCACAGCAACATCCTTTGATTCTGGCAGAATCAAACCACTCAACAACTAAAGATAGAACAATTCACTCAACAACTAAAGAAGGACGATGATAGAATAAGAATTGAGAAAGGGTTAAGAAAATATCTTGAGAAACTGGTGAAACCCTCAAGAGTTTTGATAAGACTGATACACAAGTCTATTTTATATAACAAATGCTAGATAAATGAAACACAAAATGAAGGATGCTATCAGACTATTATACAATTCTACTGGAAAAATTATGCCAGGAAGATATCACATCATTCTTTGTTGATTCTGAGAATTAGCACAGCTGCAGTTACAATTTAAATTTTGTTAAACATATAGAAAAATGATATACATATAGTAAAATGTTTTCATTTCTGAATACTGTCCCTAACAAGTCGTTTTCATTAATAACTAATAAATCTTGTCTCCATTTTTAATAGGTTTACTTTTAAGAGGTATTTTCCAAATACTAATTTTCTCAATTAGCAAGAATTTCTCTTAAGTGTATATTCCTAATGAGGAAAAAAAAAGCTATTATCTAAACTGCTAACACTGATTACAACTGGGAGAGCAGGAACTGAAACAGGAAAAAGAATTATAAAGAATTATCATCTTTTTATACAACATATGCCACAGTATTGTTTAAATTTGTTACAAAAAGAACAGGCAGTATTCTTGTAATTAAAAAAAAAATCACTAAAATTTAAAGATACGCTATTGTTTTAGCATAATAGGACATTACTATAAACATGTAAGAGAAAGCAAAGGCAATGAATATTGATAAGCAGATATTTATTGGACAAAATTACTGTAAGCAAGAAAATGATGAGAGGACAAAAGAAACTCTTTAATATACTTGACAGGAAAATGAAACAAGCAGCACATAAATTACTCGATGTTGGAAAGATACTCTCAAATGCTGCAGAATGCTGAGCAACCTCTACTCTTTAGTTTAAGAATGATCTAGGACTATACTGTCCAATTAGTCACAAGTAGCTATCAAGCACTTGAAGTGTAGTTAGTCTAAACTGAGATGTGCTGTGCATATAAAATACATTTGGATTTCAAAGACTTCATACAAAAAAATGCAAAATGTCCATTATTTTTATACTGATTATATGTTGAAATGATACTATTTTGAATATACTGCATTAAATAAAACATTAAAATTAACTTCATTTGTTTATTTTTGTAGTTTTTAAAGTAGCTTCTAGAGAATTTAGAATTACATATGTGGTTCACATTTGTGGTCCACATTAAATAATTCTAATGGGTTAGCACTGGTCTAAGATCTTGCCATATCCCTAATGCCACAGGACAAATATAATCTGCTTTTCTCCTTCTGTTTTGTTGGCTTCAGCAGCATGGGAACACACCAAATCAAGAAATCAACTAAACCATGAATGTACAGATAAGCTTATCTGCATACAAACACTTTAGTTCATAATGATTTTTTTAAAGGATCCAAAGAAGTAAAGTCTATTCATGTTCCATAAATCAGAAAACAAAACCAATTAGATAACAATCTGAGAGGCAAAAGTCAGCTCCAACAAATTTAGAAGCATTTTTCCCAACTTTTTTTTTTTTCCTGAAAACGAAGGCTTTTTATTATGTTTGAAACTGTGGAAGGCCCTAATTTCAAATCATTTCTTTGCATATTAAAAAAATAACTTCCTTGGTTTCACTACACTATCAAGAGTATTCTTTCTTCTCATTGGTCTACTTGCAAACTGGCAAAACTAAGAGATGTCCTAGTCCTGCCATTCAGCAGTGTATATGTCCATTTGTAAAGGCATGGAAGTACCTTACAGACAAATTTAGTATGTTTGTAATTTAGTGTAGTATTAAAAATTATATTAAGTGATACAAGCAAATCATAAGATTTCTGGGCACTAAGATAATTATACACTTTTAAATTCTAGCCATCCTCTTAAAAAAAAAATTCACTGCTCTCCTCTCCCTAACTTCATAGTTTGGTGAACAGTATCACTGTCAGCCCATTTGTTCAAGCCAAAACCCGGGAAGTCACTATCCCTGATATTTCAATCATTTACCAAGTCCTATTCACCCACCTCTACACTGCTTCCAGTGACTTTCTAAAAGACCAATCAGATTCTCCTCTTCATTTCCCAGTTCAAAATTCTTCAGTGGTTTTTCACACACAAGCTTTTTTGCATAACAAATACAATCCTACATAATTTAGCTCCATTACCACCCTCAAAACTTCCTTTTCTATAACTTCATTACTATATAGAAAAGGTTACCTTTTCTATAACTTCATTATGACTCTCCTTGATAGTCTAAGGTCCTTCCTGTAAGTTTCCACTATACATACACCTTTACATACATACACTTTCATTAAAGCAATTATCATACTGCTTTATAGTTACTTGTTTGCACATCTGCCTCTCTTCTTCAGTGTAGAGTTAGTTTCTTTTTGTCTTTGTATCTACAATGCCATTGCACTGCATTTGTTACTAAATAAATATCATTTATTTATATCACTAAATATTCATTCATTCCACAAATATTTATTAACTACTGTGTGCCAAGTCCCATCTTAGGCATTGGGAACACAGTAATGAACAAAGCTCCTGGCCTCATGGAACTTACTGGTGAAGACAATCAATCAATCAACAAACATTTAAACACATCCTATAATGTATAAGGCTACAGAGTAAAATGGAGCAGAGATGAAAATACAAGGAAGACCATGTTGTAAAGTGAGGAAGACCACACTGAGGAGTTAACACCTGAGCTGATGTTTAAATCGAGTCAGAGAGACACATAAATTATCAGGGAAAAGAGAAATCCAGGAAAAAGAATGAACACGTGCAAAAACTCTGAGGCAGGACAATTTTGGCACGGACAAGAAGTAACAGGAAAACAAGTGTGGTATCAGCAGAATAGGAAGGGGTGGAGGGGGGGGCATGGTGGCTTGCATCTGTAATCCGAGGTCAGGAGTTCAAGGCCAGCCAGGCCAACATGGTGAAACCTCTGCTCTACTAAAAATACCAAAAATAGCCAGGCATGGTGGCACACGCCTGTAATCCCAGCTACTTGGGACGCTGAGGTAGGAGAAATCACTTGAACCTGGGAGGCTGAAGTAGGAGAATCACTTGAACCTGGGAGGTGGAGGCTGCAGTGAACTGAGATTGTGCCACTGCACTCCAGCCTGGGTGACAGAGTAAGACCCTGTCTCAAGAAAAAAAAGAAGGGGCGGAGAAGTCAGTAAGACAGCTAAGGGCCAGAATTAGTAGTGGCTGGTAGGTTATGGCAAGAGCTTCGGATTTTATTTTCAGAGTGCTGGGGAATTATTGGAAGGTTTCAACATGATCTGACTTACTTTTGCTAAAGATCATTCTAGCTAATATGTAAGTACAGGGGGACAAGAGTAGAAGGAAGGAAACCTGTTAGGAAGTTATTGCAGCACGTCTAGGGTGGTAGCAGAGGTCATAAGAAGTGGTCAGATTAATCATAGAATCTGAAAGCAAAGCTAACAAAACTTTATGGACTGATTGTATGGGATGTGAAAGAAGAGAGGAGAAACCCTTTCTCTACAAAAAATACAAAAATTAGTTGGACATGGTAGCACACGCCTTATAGTCCCAGCTACTCAGGAGGCTGAGTTGGAGGAAAACTTGAACCCAGCAGGTTGAGGTTTCAACCCTATCTCAAATAAATAAATAAATACAAATAAAATAAGATAAATGCTGTTGGAAGGTCAAGTAGGACGAACTGAGAATTTCCACTGGATTTAGCAAGATGGGGTTGTCGTTAACACTGGAATGGCTTCATGGAATTGGGGAGATAAATATCCCACTGGAACAGTCTAGGAAGCAAGTATGAGGGGAGGAAGACTAATCCAATAGGAAGGTAAAAACTGATGATGTAAATGGGAGATGAATGGGTTAACTGTAATAAAGGCATAGATAAATAATTTTTAAATCCTGGAACAAAAAGTGAGCAACTATGAGAATAGAAATTCTAACAATACCTGCTTTGTCATACCTTTATTAGAAATGCAAGGGTAGTACTAAGTAGAATATAATATTTTGCACTCCTCTATTCACCACATGACAAAGCACCTTGAGACTCAGTATTTATACATAAATAAATGTCACATATTCAAAATCTTCCTTAAAAGCTATTCTTGACTTAGCAAAGTTCAGTATTAAAGCCTGTACAAAATCAGTTCTCCAGTCATTTGAATTCAGTCTAAGGAACACATATTTAAATAAACTCTGCTTCTTTAGCAATAGTCAGTATACAGCTTTGGAATACTGGCTGACTTTATGGATATAGCAGCTAATATTTATCGATGAATTTTTATACAGTGCTCAGTGTTCTGATGACAAAACTAGATACAAAGTTATTTTTCTTGGCCACTACAGGCTACTTGAAGAATGAGGTATCCAAGTAAAAAAAGACGGGGTTTAACAAGGTACAGTTTTAAAAATAATAGATGGCTCAAAGGTCTACAATGGAAGGTACAATCTACTTTTAGGAAAAGTTTTAATAGCTAACAAAGAGTTTTTTTTTGTGTGTATTTTAATACAAAAGGACTTTACAATAAACCTAAAAGCAAAAACTAAAAATCTGTATTCTCCTTCCAGAGAAAACCACTGTAACATTTTGTTTTGTATGCTTATAGACGTTTTGTGCATTTTCTGTAGTAAAAAAAAAAAAAAGAACATAAATTTACCTCTTCACAATTCTCAAGTGTATAGCACAGTATTTTAACTATATGCATATTGTTGTATGACAGATCACTAAACTTTCTCATCTGACATGACTGAAACTCTACACTCACTGAACAATTCCTCATTTCCTTGGCAACCACCATTCTAGTTTCTGTTTCTATGAGTTTAATTCCTTTAGATACCTCATATTAGTGAAATTATGCAAGTATTCAACTTTTTGTGATTGGGTTATTTCACTTAGCAAAATGTCCTGAAGGTTCAACCATGAGGCAGCATGACAGGAATTTCTTCCTCATAAGGTTGGATGATATTCTGTTGTAGGTACATGCCATATTTTCTTTATCCATTCATCCACTGATGAACACTTAACGTTGCTTCCACATCTTGATTACTGTGAATAATGCTGCACTGAACATGGGAGTGCAGATGTCTCTTTAACATCTAATCTCATTCCCTCGGAATATATACCCAGTAGTGGGACTGCTGGCTTATATGATAGTTCTATTTTTAGTTTTAGGAAGAATTTCCATATGTTTTCCATAGGAGCTGTGCCATTGTACAATCCCACCAACAGTGTGCAAGGGTTCCAATTCCTCTACATCCTTGTCAACACTTGTTATTTTCTGTTTCTTCTTTGATGGCGGCCATCTTAGGTGTGAGATAATATCTTACTGTGGTTTTTATTTGCATCTCCCTAATGATTAGTTGTGTAGAACATCTTTTCACATGCCTGCTGGCCATGCACGTATCTTCTTGGGAGAAATCTTTATTTGGGTTCTGCTCATTTTTTATTCAGATTATTTGTTACTGAGTTGTCAAGTTCTTTATATATTCCCAATATTAACCCCTAGTCTAATATATGGTTTACAAATATCTTCTCCTATTCCTCAGGCTGTGTTTACACTCTGACAACTGTTTATTTGCTGTATAGAAGACTTTTAAGTTGGATGTATGTTTTTTACATTTTTAGTTTTTTAAGTTGGATGTACATGTTTTTGCTGTTTTTGTTACTTGTGCTTTTGATGTCATATGCAAGAAACCACTGCTAATTCCAATATCAAGAAGCTTTTCCCCTGTTTTTTTCTAGGTTCTCAGTTCTTATATTTAATCCATTTTTAATTAAATTTTGTATATGGTACACCTCATTCTTTTGCATGTGGATATCCAGTTTTCCCAACACGATTTATTGAAGAAACTATCCTTTTTTCCATTGTGTAGTCTTGGTATGCTCATCAAAGATCATTTGACTATACGTGGGTTTATTTCTGGGCTCTCTAGTCTGTGCTACTGGTCTATATGTCTGCTTGTATGCTAACACCATACTGTTTTGATCACTATAGCTTTGTAATATACTATGGAATCAGGAAGTGTGAGGCCTCCAGCTTTGTTCTTCTTTCTCAAGACTGCTTTGGCTATTTGGGCTCCTTTGAGATTCCATATGAATTTTAGGATGGTTTTATCTGTTTCTGCAAAAAACGCTGTAAGGATTTTGACAGAGATTGTTCTGACTCTGTAGACTGGACAGTATGGACATTTTAACAATATTAAGTCTTCCAATCCACAACAGTATTGCATCAATATTTATCAGGAATATTGGTCTTCTTGTACAGATTGAGCAGCCCTAGTACAAGAATCCTAAATCCAAAATGCTCCAAAATCCAAAACTTTTTGTGTGCTGACAGTGCTCAAAGGTCATACTCAAGGGAAATGCTCATTGAAGCATTCTGAATTTTGGATTTTTGGAGTAGAGATGCTCAACCAGTAGTATTTGTCTGGCTTTAGTTTCAGCATAATAATACCAATTTATGTCTTTCCATATTTTTGTATCTTTAATTTCTTTCAGCAATGTTTTATAGTTTTCAATGTATGTCCTTCTCCCCTCGATTAAGTTTACTCTTATGCATTTTATTCTTTGTGATGTTACTGTAAATGAGATTTTCTTTATTTCCTTAATTGTTAGTGCACAGAAACACAAGTGATTTTGGAGAGTTGATTTTGTATCCTGCAACTTGGCTGAATTGGTTTAACAGTTCTTACAGTTTTTTTTATTTTTTATTTTTTTTGGTTTTGTACACGTAAAACCAAGTCATCTGTGATTAGGGATAATCTTACTTCCTCCTTTCCAATTTGGATGCTTTTTATTTCTTTTTCTCGTCTAACTGCTCTAGCTAGGATTTCTATTACAATGTTGAAGAAAGTGATGAGTGGGCATTCTTGCCTTGTTCCTGATCTTAGAGGAAAAACTTCATTTTTCACTAATGATTATGTTAGCTGTGAGTTTTTCACATATTACCTTTATTATGTTGAGATAATTTCCTTCTATTCCTAGGTTGTTGAGTGTTTTTATCATAAAAAGGTATTATGTTTTGTCAGTACTTTTACTGAATCAGTTGAAATGATGTGATTTTTGTCCTCAGTTGTTAATATTGTATATATTCTATATTTATTGATTTTCATATGTTGAGCCATCCTTGCATCCCAGAGATAAATTCCACTTGGTCATGGTGTAAGATCCTTTTAATGTCTTATTGAATTCATCTTGCTAGTATTTTGTGGAAGATTTTTACAATATTCATCAGAGATACTGGCCTGTAGTTTTCTTATAGTATCTCTGGCTTTGGTATCAGGGTAATACTGACCTCATTAAATGAGTCTGGAAGTGTTCCTTCCTCTTCCATTTTTTGGAAGAGTTTAAGAAGAATTGGTATCAATTCTCCTTTAAATGTTTGGTAGAATTCCCCAATGAAGCCATGTGGTCCTGGGCTTTTCTTTGCTAGGAGATTTTTGCTTACTAATTGAATTTCCTTACTGCTTATGGGTCTGCTCAGATTTTCTATTTCTTCATTATTCAGTCTTGTTATGTTTCTAGAAATCTATCAGTTTCTTTCAGGTTAGCCAATATGTTGGCGTATAATTGTTTATAATAGTCACTTAATGATCCTTTGTATTTCTGTGGCATCAGTTGCAATGTCTCCTTTTTCATTTCTGACTTCAGTTGAGTCTATTCTCTTTTTCCTTAGCCTAGCTAAGGGTTTGTCAATTTTATTGATCTTATGATCTTTTCAAAATGCCAAACTATTTAGTTTCTTTACTTTTTTCTATTATTTTCCTATTTTCTATTTTGTTTATTTCTGCTCTATATTATTTCCAAGACCTTTTTTTTTAAAGCTTTATAAGACTTACCTAAAAGCATAGGTTCCTAAGCCAGTTTTTCCAATTTTTTTCCTGCATTCCACAGTAAGAAAAGCATTTCATATAATAACACAGTAAACAGACTCATACACATATGTGACTTAAAAAAAAAGTCCAGGCTGGGTACAGTGGCTCACACCTATAATCCCAGCACTTTGGGAGGCTGAGGCGGGTGGATCACCTGAGGTCAGGAGTTCATGACCAGCCTGGCCAACATGGTGAAGCCCCATCTCTACTGAAGGTACAAAAATTAGCCAGGCGTGGTGGCGGGTGCCTGTAATCCCAGCTACTTGGAAGGCTGAAGTAGAAGAATTGCTTGAACCCGCGAGGCAGAGGTTACAGTGAGCCGAGATCACGCCACTGCACTCCAGCCTGGGCAACAGAGTGAGACTCCATCCTTACCTTACACCTTATACAAAAATTGATTCAAGATGGATTAAAGACTTAAATGTTAGACCTAAAACCATAAAAACCCTAGGAGAAAACCTAGGCAATACCATTCAGGACATATGCACGGGCAAGGACTTCATGATTAAACACCAAAAGCAATGGCAACAAAAGCCAAAATTGACAAATGGGATCTGATTAAACTAAAGAGCTTCTGCACAGCAAAGAAACTACCATCAGAGTGCACAGGCAACCTGCAGAATGGGAGAAAATTTTTGCAATCTACTCATCTGACAAAGGGCTAATATCCAGAATCTACAAAGAACTTAAACAAATTTACAAGAAAAAAACAAACAGCCCCATCAAAAGCGGGCAAAGGATATGAACAGACACTTCTCAAAAGAAGACATCTATGCAGCCAACAGACACATGAAAAAATGCTCATCTTCACTGGTCATCAGAGAAACGCAAATCAAAACCATGATGAGATACCATCTCACGCCAGTTAGAATGGCAATCATTAAAAAGTCAGAAAACAACAGATGCTGGAGAGGATGTGGAGAAATAGGAATGCTTTTACACTGTTGGTGGGAGTGTAAATTGGTTCAACCATTGTGGAAGACAGTGTGGCAATTCCTCAAGGATCTAGAACTAGAATTACCATTTCACCCAGTGATCCCATTACTGGGTACATACCCAAAGGATTATAAATCATGCTACTATAAAGACACACACACACATATGTTTAATGCGGCACTATTCACAATAGCGAAGACTTGGAACCAACCCAAATGTCCATCAATGATAAACTGGATTAAGGACATGTGGCACATATACACCATGGAATACTATGCAGCCGAAAAAAAGGATGAGTTCATGTCCTTTGCAGGGACATGGATGAAGGTGGAAACCATCATTCTCAGCAAACTATCACAAGGACAGAAAACCAAACACCACATGTTCTCACTCATAGGTAGGAACTGAACAATGAGATCACTTGGACACATGGCAGTGAACATCACACACTGGGGCCTGTCGGGGGGTGGGGGACTGGGGGAGGGATAGCATTAGGTGAAATACCTAATGTAAATGATAATTTGATGGGTGAAGCAAACCAACATGGCACATGCATACCTATGTATCAAACGTGCAGGTTGTGCACATGTACTGTAGAACTTAAAGTATAATAATAAAAAAGTCCATAAAATACTTACCCTTAATATATGCACTACTATTACTTTTAATCTAGAATTCTTCTTCACTTTTTACAATTTAAGGCTTTTAAAATTCTTACAATTTAAGATCTATTTATTCACTAAGTTGATTTCACTTGAATAAAAGTTTTGAAATACTATTCTAAACAGCATATTCAATGTCAGAAAAGTATACAACAGGCATAGAAAATATTTTCTGTTTCAAATAATTTGTAATTCTGGTTGTAGAGCAAGGTAAAAGAGAAAACATGAGTAAAAAATTGGAAGATTCTTTGACAGAATAAAATTAGAATAATAAAATAATAAAATAAAAAATATACCCAATCCTTTCCACACTTTCAAGGTCTTCCCACTTTCAATGTCAATCACAAGTACAGTACAACTGGCCCTCCATATCCATGGGTCTATGGATTCAACCAACCCAGAGATGGAAATATTCAGTTAAAAAAATTGTGTCTGTACTGAACATGCACAGATTTTCCTCGTTATTATTCCCTAACAATGAAGTCTAACAAATATTTACCTAGCATTTATATTGTATTAGGTATAAGTAATCTAGAGATGATATAAAGTAAAAAGGAGGATGTACATAGGTTATATACAAATACTGCCGTTTTATATCAGAGACTTGAACATCCTCAAATTGTGGTATCCAAGGAAAGTCTTGGAACCAATTCTCCAGGGATACTAAGGGTCAACTGCATTTGCAAATAAGAAATCAAGAAATGTCCTTCTCCTGCACAGGCGCTTCACTTAAAAGAGATTCAACACAAACACAGCACAGAGGCACTTGTGTGTGATATAATAACATAAAAAATTATACTTGGACAGCAGAGAAATGGCTTCATATTTTAAAAACTATAAAATCTGCTAATGAACCACAACTGATTCTGCTGTAGTTTTCTTAATGCATCCTTCCGTAAATGCACTTGCACTAGTTATTATAATACAATGATATATTTCACACTTGAAAACACAAAATAATTCCTGTATCTGCTTGGAGATTCATTTTTACTTCTATTCAAACCAGGTTATACAAAATATATATTACAATTTAAAAGAATAAGACAATAATTTCTAAAATTAAAGTCTATAGTGAAAGAAATTACTCTATAGGTCTTCTCTTTAACATATCTGAACTAAAGAGAAATAAGCTTTTAACCCAGGTAGACACTCACTGAGAGACCTTACATAGATAGACCTTACTAAAAGGCATGCAAGAAACAGAATCACTAGTAAAAAGCAGAATGAGAAGTCAAACAGTTCTGTTCAAACTGCCAAACTGCGCCATGTATAAGGTGATGCCTCAAGGCCTTCTTCATTGTGAAATGCTGTCCTCACCCCATATGCAATGCACAGCTGTACTACAACCTCCAGATCACTATTTTTTGTTTTAGTAGAGTACCTGATTTTTATTGTTTCTTTCTCTTCACCATCTGTCACTTATTGCTACTCTAGGCATTTCTATTTCTCTCAACCTAAAGGGCAATGCAAATTCCAGAGTGTCCAAATTACATACAAAGTAACAATAAAAGCCCTCTAAGTAAGGATCTGAGGTGCTTCCTAATTGAGCAAAATATATGAACTTCAATACATGAACTTTATATTTATTTTGGCCACTTATCAGATCTTATTTGCTCACCTGACAACTCACTTGACTATTTTATGTTCAAAATAGTAACATTTCATTTGATTCTCCCAACAACCCTATGAAGTAGAATTATTACTAGTCCAATTCTACCAATGATAAAACCGAGGCAACAAGGGTGTTAAATTGTGTCCACCAAGGCCAAAGGACTAGAATATGGCAGAGGATTATCTAGATCCTAATCTAGATACTCTGAGACCAATGTCTGTGCTCATAAATGCCTATGGCAATATGACTATATCAGTGTGGTTAGTACTCCCCACTTAAATATCTTTAACAATCTTATAGGAAAAAATACATAAATAACTATATCAATTACTTAATGTTAGGAGATGAGAAGCCCCAATTGCCTTCTTTAACCTCTCCAAAAGCTACTCTGAAAGACATAACTGAGGCACAGAAATGAAAAGCCAAAGGAACACCAGTTCAACAAAGCTGATAAGGAAGTTTTCTACAGTCTAGCCTTATTTAGCATTACACTGAGCCTATCCTATAATGGATCCAAACACAGGAGTCTCCATTGCCATTTGAAGACTTACTTGTCAAGGATGACTTAGGGCTGTTCCTTTTGAGATGTAGTTCTAAATGATCTCTGAATGCCTACTGAATACTTGTATATTTTAGCTTTCAATAAATATTCCTTGAGTAAATGCGGGCTGGGTATTCTGCGCTCTCTACTGCCATACCAAACTGTAAGCTTGTCTGACTAACAATCATACCTACAACTCCTTGAAAGCAAGAAATACCTTATCATTTTTAGTTTCTCAATACCCAGCACCATTCCTGGCACATACAGCATTCAATAAGATGTTTGTTAAATAAATGAGCACAAAAGCAAATGTGCCTGGCACAAAGCAGTATCAATTCAGATGTTTCTCCTTAATTTGAGATTGTGTGTGTGTGTGTGTAAAAGGTATGTGTATTCTTGAACAACATTAAGAATTCCTTTGGCCAAGTATAATGGGTCCTGCCTATAACCCCAGGACTTCTGGGAGGCCAAGATGGGAGGATCACTTAAGTCCAGGAGTTCGAGACCAGCCTAGGCAACATAGCGAGACTCTATATGTACAAAAAAAAATTGTTTTTTAATTAGCTGGGCATGGTGGTGCACATCTGTAGCCCTACCTACTTAGGAGGCTGAGGTAGGAGGATCACCTAAGCCCAGGAGTTTGAGGTTACAGTGAACTAAGACCAGACCAATGCACTCCATCCTGGAGAACAGAACAAGACCTTATCTCTTAAAAAAAAAAAAAAAAAAAAAAGAATTGTTACATCTTATCTGTTTGACTCAACTCACTAGCTATTTTCCTACTAAAGCAAACCTTTCTCAATTTGTATATATGATACATATCTATTTATAGAAAGAGACCTTATGTGCAAACTAATGATAACAGCAAAATTAAACCGGAGCCAGACTTAAGCTCCCCATCCAAAAAACCTACTTCATTCTTGTAAACCATAATTTCCTGCCACCATCAAAGAATTGATACTCTGTATTTTTACATTACTAGCCCTTTTTACAGATGGGAAATATGTAAACATAATCCAATTATGAGAAATGATTAAGAGACCTATGATTATGACTGTTTCTTAGATTATAAAAACCTTACATGGCTGATATGCCCTAATGTGAAAATCTGCAATCCAAAATGCTCCAAAGTCCAAAACATTCTGAGCACCGACATGACACTCAAAGGAAATGAACACTGGAGCATTTCAGATTTCAGATTTTCAGGTTAGGGATTCTCAACTGTTAAATATAATGCAAATATTCAAAAAAAAAAATCAAAATCAAAAACACTTCTGGTCCCAAGCAGTCCAGATAAGGGCTACTCAATCTGTAGTATGTTGGATTTAACAAACTGTACATGGCAATATAATTTAAACTTGTACCCTACCAAATAAGTCAATGAATGAAGCACTGGGTTAAGTGCTTGTATACATCATCTCACTTAACCTTTGTAACAACTCTTCAAGGTGTATATAATTATTATCACCATTTTACAGACAAATAAATGAAGACTCAAGGTTGTACATCTGTACTTACTAAGTACAGAAACCAGAATGCACACCCAGCTTTGACTAATACCTGAGCTATTTAGCTACTCACAACTCTATCCCACAGTACACCCCCAAAAAAGCAAAAAATTTCTAAATCATGACTGCCTAACTCTAACATTGTAATAATACACCATACTTGCTTTTAACTACATCATTCTGAGAAGGAAAACTGATGGCCTTCATAAGCTTCACGCCTACTTTCCCACCTTAAGCACTGAAATCTTGAATCATATGAGAGCTGTTTATCACTAACATCCTTTTTCTGAAAACTATACTTTGCCCCTCCACTGCCATGAAAAACATTATTGGCACCCACAGCAATGTTGTGTATAAAACTTGTCACAACTGTTAGTGGCAATGGTCACTACCTTAGGTGACTCTGGAGTCTCAGAAGACTTGAACACTCTAATGTAAGTTCTAAAGGTTTATGTAAGATCCACCACACCAAATGCTGAGTAAAACCATCTGGAAAAAACAAGGAAATTATATGATTAAATATAGTTAAATGTCTCTCTACATGGAACAGCTATTTGAGAAGATCAATTGTATGCTATTTTTGTTCCAAAAGAGCAAGGTTTGCAGATTTTTTGTTTATATACCAATAAGCCAAACATCAAAACCGAAGGAACCAAACTGTCCTGTTTTTCTCAACACTCAAAGACAATCAGGCAAGAGAAGTTCATTTACCATGACTTACATATTACTTAGATATTTTTTCCTTTTCTCTTTTTCTGACTTACCTCCACGGCCTCAATGAATTTTGGGCCATACATAAACGATAATTATGAAAGTAAACCAAGGGTCCTTTCTTCTACTCTCCCTCTGGAAAGAAGGAAGGAAACTTGGAGGTTCTACAGAAACATACCAAGATTTTTACTGGATACATCCCAAGTCTTCCCTCTTCCTCACTCTCTGTATTCAACCAATGGAAAAGTTCCACTGATCTTCACATTTGAGTATCTCTTTAATTTGCCTGGTTGTCCCTATCTCTAATGCTACTACTCCAAGTTAAAACAACACATACAAATGCCTGGATTACTGAGGTAACCTATCTAACTAGTCTTGGTAACTGCTTTGCTTCTTTGCATTCACTCTTCACCTTCCATCCAAAATGACTTTTTCAAAACCATTAGCTAGTCAGATGTCACCCTCCCTAAAGTCTTTCAATGACTTGCCACTGTTTTCATGATAAAATCAACTTAACATGGCTTAGAAGACTCTTCTTTCTAACCTGGCTCCAACCAATTTCTCCAGTCTTACCTTCTGTCACTTCTGTCTTCATATGCTTTATAGCCACATGGCTCTTCTTTCAGATTCTCAAACTCTTCATGTTGGTTCTGTGGGTTTGTTTGTTTTCCATCTTAGCTACTGGATAATCTCTTCCTTCTACCTACTCTACTTCCCTACAGCCTCCCAGCCATCTTTAACCTAATTCCTACATAATCTTTAGGTCTGCATCACAGTTCTTTCTCTGAGAAGCCTTACCTAATCATTCTAGATAAGACTGGGTGCCTCCTTCCATATACATCTCCTACTACAGCTCTTATCATTACTTTAGTATAATTACCTCTTTAATTATCCGGTCTTCCCCATTAAACTATATGCTCATTAGAGAAAGTATTATTAAGGGTACTTGCTCATCCCTATATCCCCCAACACTGAGCACAGGGCCTAGACACATAGCACAGACTTGACTTTTTTATATTGAATAAATGAACAAACAAAAATACAAATTTGGAGGAAAAAACTGAAAGGAACAGATTTAAAAGATACTTTAACCATCAAAAATCCCGTATCAATAGACATCCTCAATAAAGAAATGGGACTTCTAGGTGCTGCTTAGGATGAAGAAAGTTAGAAAGTCATTTTCACCATTAAAACAAAGTAAAAGATGGATGTTGTGCAAAATCACAAATTTTCTTGAACCCAGCACAAAAGTAAGGTAACCTTAAATCTAAGTAATTGATCTAAAATCTAAGGAAAGACAGGATTTTAAAGGGAGAGATGGGACATGAGCACTACTTTACCTATAGTAAACACCAGACACCATACAAGCCAATAAGAACTTGGTTAAAAAATTTTGTAATTACTACAAGCCAAATGTGGACCTGCAGCTAGGGGAAGCAAACAAAATCTACCCTGCTTAAAGAAGGGGCAAGATCTCTGAAAAAGCCCCATACTTGAGACCCAGAGAAAATGGAAACACCTAGCTAAAATGGAGACTGGAAAAATCCAACACAAAATGTCCTCCCCATCTCCCATCAAATGCAGGCTAGCAAGCCTCAAACAACATGTAACAGCAATGTACTACAGTCATGTGTCACGTAATGACAGGAATATGGTCTAAGAAATGCATTGTCAGGTGATTTCATTGTGAGAACATGACAGAGTATACTTACACAGACAAAGACAGTATAGCCTGTTACACACCTAGGCTATACAGTATGGTATATTATTGGTCTTAGGCTACAAACCTGTACAGCATGTTACTGTACTGAATACTGTAGGCAACTGTAACACAATGGTAAGTATTTTGTTTATCTAAACATAGAAAGGTACAGTTAAAATATGGTATTATAATCTTAGGGGACCATCATCATATATGCAGTCTGCTGTTGACCAAAACATTGTTATGTGGCGCATGACTGTTTGTGAGCAAAGAGCTAAAGCATGGAGAAATACCTTCTCTGAGATGCAAGTTCAAAGGGAAGACCTAAAGCTGAGGGTAGACATTAAGAAAAACTCTCTGACAAACTAAATCCTACCCTAAACACAAAGTAATGCTAGAGAAACTTTAAGCCTGTGGTAAATTAAAGGTAACCTAGCAATAACAAAACCCTCAACATTCCTCCCCACCACACACACACACACACGTCTCAGGAAAAGACAAAGCATGTCCATTTCCAGGCATAAATACCATTTAACTGGCTCTCTACACAAAATGTCCAGATTTCAACCAAAAAAAAAAAAAAACCGAAAAAGGAGCAAAGAAAAAAAAACAAAACAATAGAACCAGATTCGGATACAACCATCATATTAGAACTATCAAACACGGAATTTATACGTTAAATGCTCTAACGAAAAATGTAGATAATATGCATACGCAGATGTGTAATTTAAGCAGAGGGATGGAAACGGTAAGAAGAAATCAAACGGAAATGCTAGAAATAAAAATATAGTAACAGAGATGAAAGCTTTCAACAACCTTATCAGAAGACCAAGACAGTCTCAGAATCAGTAAAGACATCAACAGAAACTACTCCCACAAAACATGACAAGAGAATGAAAAACAGAGAAGAGAACATCCAAGTGCTATGGGACAATATCAAATACTCTAACATATGTGTAACTGGAATTCCAGAAAGAGAGACAATAAGACAGAAACAAAATATGAAGAGATAATAACCAAAATTTTTCAAAATTAATACAAAAGAATCCAAAAAGCTCAGAGAACACTAGGCAGCATCAAATAAACAAACAACAACAACAACAACAACAAAAATCCACAATTAGACACATTATATTCAAACTGATGGTGGAAAAAATCAAAGATAAAGAGAAAACCTTGAAGGCTGCCAGAGTTTAAAAAAAAAAAAAAAAGACACAATACAGTGGAACAGGATAAGAACTTTCAGAAATTTTGAAAGTCAGACACCACTAAAGTGCTGAAAGAAAAAACTGTCAATGCAGAAATCTATATCCATGAAAATATATTTCAAATTGAAGAAGAAATAAAAAATGTTCAGCCTTGTGGTCCATTCCAAGACGGCCGAATAGGAACAGCTCCAGTCTGCTGCTCCCAGTGTGACTGACACAGAAAACGGGTAATTTCTGCATTTCCAACTGAGGTACCTGGTTCATCTCATTGGGACTGGTTGGACAGTGGGTGCAGCCGACAGAGGGTGAGCTGAAGCAGGGTGGGGCATCACCTTACCCAGGAAGCGCAAGCGGTCAGGGGATTTCCCTTTCCTAGCCAAGGGAAGCCATGACAGACTATACAAGGAGAATCGGGACACTGCCACCCAAATACCGCACTTTTCTAATGGTCTTAGCAAACGGCACACCAGGAGATTATATCCCTTGACTGGCTCAGCAAGTCCCACAACCACGGAGCCTTGCTCACCACTAGTACAGCAGTCCAAGATCGAACTGCGAGGCAGCAGCCTGGCTCAGGGAGGGGCGTCCACCATTGCCGAGGCTTGAGGAGGTAAACAAAGCGGCCGGGAAGTTCAAACTGGGTAGAGCCCACCGCAGCTCAATGAGGCCTGCAGGCCTCTGTAGACTCCACCTCTGGGGGCAGGGCATAGCTGAACAAAAGTCAGCAGAAACTTCTGCAGACTTAACGTTCCTGTCTGACAGCTCTGAAGACAGCAGTGGTTCTCCGAGCACGGTGTTTGAGCTCTGAGAAAGGACAGACTGCCTCCTCAAGTGGGTCCCTGACCCCCCATGTAGCCTAACTGGGAGACACCTCCCAGGAGGGGCCGACTGACACCTCATATAGCCAGGTGCCCCTCTGAGATGAAGCTTCCAGAGGAAGGATCAGGCAGGAATATTTGCTGTTCTGCAATATTTGCTATTCTGCAGCCTCCGATGGTGATACCCAGGCAAACAGGGTCCAGAGCGAACCTCCAGCAAATTCCAACAGACCTGCAGCTGAGTGACCTGTTAGAAGGAAAACTAACAAATAGAAAGGAATAACATCAGCATCAACATCAACAAAAAGGAAATCCACACCAAAACCCCATCTGTAGGTCACCAACATCAAAGACCGGAGGTAGATAAAACCACAAAGATGGGGAGAAACCAGAGCAGAAAAGCTGAAAATTCTAAAAACCAGAGCGCTGCTTCTCCTCGAAAGGATCACAGCTCCTTGCCAGCAACAGAACAAAGCTGGACGGAGAATGACTTTGACGAGTTGACAGAAGTAGGCTTCAGAAGGTCGGTAGTAACAAACTTCTCCGAGCTAAAGGAGGATGTTTGAACCCATCACAAGGAAGCTAAAAATCTTGAAAAAAAGATTAGATAAATGTAACTAGAATAAACAGTATAGAGAAGACCTTAAATGACCTGATGGAGCTGAAAACCATGGCACAAGAACTATGTGACTCATGCACAAGCTTCAGTAGCCGATTCGATCAACTGGAATAAAGGGTATCTGTGATTGAAGATCAAATTTATGAAATGAAGAGAGAAGTTTAGAGAAAAACGAGTAAAAAGAAATGAACAAAGGCTCCAGGAAATATGGGACTATGTGAAAAGACCAAATCTACGTTTGAGTGGTATACCTGAAAGTGACGGGGAGAATGGAACCAAGCTGGAAGCACTCTTCAGGATATTATCCAGAAGAACTTCCCCAACCTAGCAAGGCAGGCCAACATTCAAATTCAGGAAATACAGAGACCGCCACAAAGATACTCCTCAAGAAGAGCAACCCCAAGACACATAATTGTCAGATTCACCAAGATTGAAATGAAGGAAAAAATGTTAAGGGCAGTCAAGAGAAAGGTCGGATTACCCACAAAGGGAAGCCCATCAGACTAACAGATCTCTTGGCAGAAAATCTACAAGCCAGAAGAGAGTGGGGTCCAATATTCAACATTCTTAAAGAAAAGAATTTTCAACCCAGAATTTCATATCCAGCTTCATAAGTGAAGGAGAAATAAAATCCTTTACAGACAAGCAAATGCTGAGAGATTTTGTCACCACCAGGCCTGCCTTACAAGAGCTCCTAAAGGAAGCACCAAACATGGAAAGGAACAACCGGTACCAGCCACAGCAAAAACATCAATGCTAGGAAGAAACTGCATCAACTAACAGGCAAAATAACCAGCTAACATCATAACGACAGGATCAAATTCACACATAACAATATTAACCTTAAATGTAAATGGGCTAAATGCTCCAATTAAAAGACACAGACTGGCAAATTGGATAAAGAGTCAAGACCCATCAGTGTGCTGTATTCAGGAGACCCAACTCACATGCGGAGACACACATAGGCTTAAAATAAAGGGATTGAGGAAGATCTACCAAGCAAATGGAAAGCAAAAAAAAGCAAGGGTTGCAATCCTAGTCTCATAAAACAGACTTTAAACCAACAAAGATCAAAAGAGACAAAGAAGGCCATTACATAATGGTAAAGGGATCAATTCAACAAGAAGAGCTAACTATCCTAAATATCTATGAACTCAATACAGGAGCACCCAGATTCATAAAGCAAGTACTTAGAGACCTACAAGACTCCCACACAATAATGGGAGACTTTAACATCCCACTGTCAATATCAGACAGATCAACGAGACAGAAGGTTAACAAGGATATCCAGGACTTGAACTCAGCCCTGCACCAAGCAGACCTAATAGACATCTACAGAACTTTCCACCCCAAATCAATCAACGGAATATACATTCTTCTCAGCACCACATGGCACGTATTCCAAAACTGACCACGTGGTTGGAAGTAAAGCACTCCTCAGCAAATCAAAAAGAACAGAAATCACAACAAACTGTCTCTCAGACCATAGTGCAATCAAAGTAGAACTCAGGATTAAGAAACTCACTCAAAACCACATAACTATGTGGAAACTGAACAACCTGCTCCTGAATGACGTTATTTCATAAATAATGAAATTAAGGCAGAAATAACGATGTTCTTTGAAACCAATGGGAACAAAAACACAACATACCAGAATCTCTGGGACACATTTAAAGCAGTGTGTAGAGGGAAATTTATAGCACTAAATGCCCACAAGAGAAAGCAGGAAAGATCTAAAATCGACACCCTAACATAACAAGTAAAAGAACTAGAGAAGCAAGAGCAAACACATTCAAAAGCTAGCAGCAGGCAAGAAATAACTAAGATCAGAGCAAAACTGAAGGAAATAGAGACACAAAAACCCTTCAAAAAATCAATGAATCCAGGAGCTGGTTTTTTGAAAAGGTCAACAAAATTGATAGACCACTAGCAAGACTAATAAAGAAGAGAAGAATCAAATAGATGCAATAAAAAATGATAAATGGGATATCACCACCAATCCCCACAGAAATACAAACTACTATCAGAGAATACTACAAATACCTATACGCAAATAAACTAGAAAATCTAGAAGAAATGGATAAATTCCTGGACATATACACCCTCCCAAGACAAAACCAGGAAGAATTTGAATCCCTGAATAGACCAGTAACAGGCTCCAAAATTGAGGTAATAATTAATAGCCTACCAACTAAAAAAAGTCCAGGACCAAAAGGATTCACAGCTGAATTCTACCAGAGGTACAAAGGGGAGCTGGTACCATTCCTTCCGACACTATTCCAATCAATAGAAAAAGAGGGAATCCTCCCTAACTCATTTTATGAGGCCAGCATCATCCTGATACCAAAGCCTGGCAGAGACACAACAAAAAAAGAGAATTTTAGACCAATATCCCTGATGAACACTGATTCGAAAATCCTAAGTAAAATCCCGGCAAACCGAATCCAGCAGCACATCAGAAAGCTTATCCACCAAGACCATGCTGGCTTCATCCCTGGGATGCAAGGCTGGTTCAACATACATAAATCAATAAATGTAATCCATCACATAAACAGAACCACAGACAAAAACCACATGATTATCTCAATAGATGCAGAAAAGGCCTTCGACAAAATTCAACAACCTTTCATGCTAAAAACTCTCAATAAACTAGGTATTGATGGAATGTATCTCAAAATAATGAGAGCTATTTATGACAAACCCACAGCCAATATCATACTGAATGGGCAAAAACTGGAAGCATTCCCTTTGAAAACTGGCACAAGACAGGGATGCCCTCTCTTACCACTCCTATTCAACAAATTGTTGGAAGTTCTGGCCAGGGCAATTAGGCAAGAGAAAGAAATAAAGGGTATTCAATTAGGAAAAGAGGAAGTCAAATTGTCCCTGATGCAGATGACATGATTGTATATTTAGAAAACCCCATCAACTCAGCCCAAAATCTCCTTAAGCTTATAAGCAAATTCAGTGAAGCCTCAGGATACAAAATCAATGTGCAAAAATCACAAGCATTCCTACACACCAATAACAGACAAACAGAGAGCCAAATCATGAGTGAACTCCCATTCACAATTGCTACTAAGAGAATAAAATATCTAGGAATCCAACTTACAAGGGATGTGAAGGACCTCTTCAAGGACAACTACAAACCAGTGCTCAATGAAATAAAAGGACACAAACAAATGGAAGAACATTCCATGCTCATGAATAGGAAGAATCAGTATCGTGAAAATGGCCATACTGCCCAAGGTAATTTATAGATTCAATGCCATCCCCATCAAGCTACCAATGACTTTCTTCACAGAATTGGAAAAAAACTACTTTAAAGTTCATATGGAACCAAAAAAGAGCCCGCATTGCCAAGACAATCCTAAGCCAAAAGAACAAAGCTGGAGGCATCACACTACCTGACTTCAAACTATACTACAAGGCTACAGTAACCAAAACAGCATGGTACTGGTACCAAAACAGAGATATAGACCAATGGAACAGAACAGAGGCCTCAGAAATAATACCAATATCTACAACCCTCTGATCTTTGACAAACCTGACAAAAACAAGAAATGGGGAAAGGATTCCCTATTTAATAAAGGGTGCTGGGAAAACTGGCTAGCCATATGTAGAAACCTGAAACTGGATCCCTTCCTTACAACTTATACAAAAACTAATTCGAGATGGATTAAAGACTTAAATGTTAGACCTAAAACCATAAAAACCCTAGAAAAAAACCTAGGCAATACCATTCAGGACACAGGCATGGGCAAGGACTTCATGACTAAAACACCAAAAGCATTTAAAACATAAAAAACGAAAGCCAAAATAGACAAATGGGGTCTAATTAAACTAAAGAGCTTCTGCACGGCAAAAGAAACTACCATCAGAGTGAACAGGCAACCTACAGAATGGGAGAAAATGTTTGCAATCTACTCATCTGACAAAGGGCTAATATCCAGAATCTACAAAGAACTTAAACAAATTTACAAGAAAAAACTTAAACAAATTTACAAGAAAAAATCAAACAACCCCATCAAAAAGTGGGCAAATTATATGAACAGATGCTTTTCAAAATAAGACATTTATGCAGCCAATAGACACATGAAAAAATGCTCATCATCACTGGTGATCAGAAAAATGCAAATCAAAACCACAATGAGATACCATCTCACACCAATTAGAATGGCGATCGTTAAAAAGTCAGGAAACAACAGGTGCTGAAGAGGATGTGGAGAAATAGGAACACTTCTACACTGTTAGTGGGAGCGTAAACTAGTTCTACCATTGTGGAAGACAGTGTGGCGACTCCTCAAGGATCTAGAACTAGAAATACCATTTGACCCAGCCATCCCATTCCTGGGAATATACCCAAAGGATTATAAATCATGCTACTATAAAGACACATGCATACATATGTTTATTGAGGCACTATTCACAATAGCAAAGACTTGGAACCAACCCGAATGTCCATCAATGATAGACTGGATTAAGAAAATGTGGCACATATACACCATGGAATACCACGCAGCCAAAAGAAAGGATGAGTTCATGTCCTTTGTAGGGACGTGGATAAAGCTGGAAACCATCATTCTGAGCAAACTATTCCAAGGACAGAAAACCAAACACCTTATGTTCTCACTCATAGGTGGGAATTGAACAATGAAAACACTTGGACACAGGAAGGGGAACATCACACACTGGGGCCTGTTGTGGGGTGGGGTGATGGGGGAGGGATAGCATTAGGAGAAATACCTAATGTAAATGATGAGTTAATGGGTGCAGCAAACCAACATAGCACATGTATACATATGTAACAAACCTACACATTGTGCACATGTACCCTAGAACTTAAAGTATAATAAATTAATTAATAAATTAATTTTAAAAAATGTTCAGGCAAAATGTAATTCGCCATAACAAAAGACTAACAAAAATAAAATACATGATTATCTCAATAGATGTACATAAAATATCTGACAAAATTCAACATCCATCCAGTAAACTAGGAATAGGAGAACTTCCTCATCCTGATAAATGTTATCTACAAAAAAAAAGCAGAGCAATAAAAACCTATAGTTTATATTATACTTGATGAAGAACCAAATGCTCTCCCCGTAAGATGCAAAAATAAAGTAAAGATGACCACACTTGTCACTTCTATTTGACATTAAAATGGAGGTTTTAGCCAGTGCAGCAAGGCAGAAAAAAATATAAAAGACATCCAAATTGGAAGAAAGAAGTAATACTGTCTTTATCTGCAGATGACATAATCTTCTGCATAGAAATCCCATAGAATCTCTAAGAAAGCTACCAGAACTAAGTAAGTTTAGCAAGGTTATGAGGATACAAGCAGTTCTATATTCTATCAATGAAAAAAACTGAAAATCGAAGAGTATCATTTACATCAGCACTCAAAAACATGAAATGCTTAGGCATAAATCTAACAGAGTATGTGTACAATCTATGCTGAAAACTAAAATACATTGATAAGACATCAAAAATCGAAAGAAAGATCATAAATGAGATGCCTCAATATTTAAGATATCAATTCTCCCCAAAATGATCTTTAGAATTAAATCAGAATCCAGAAGGACTTTCTACAGAAATTAAGAAGCTGATTTTAAAATGGATATGAAGAGGCATAGGAACTGGAATCGCCAAAGTAACTTTGAAAAGGGATGAAGATGGAGAACTCACACTACCTGATTTCAAGTTTACTATAAAGCTACAATAATCTCAGGTAAGTGTCACATTGGAGAAAGGGTAAACATTTAGATGTATGAAACGCAGTAAGAGTCCAGAAGAAGACTCACACATATATGAACAACTGATTTTCAAGAAATGTATAAAGGAAATTCTATGAAAAAAGAGAGTCTTTCCAAAAAATGGTGCCGAAACAAGTGGAAATTCATTTGCAACAAAAACTGTATCCATACCTCACACCACATATAAAAACTAACAAAATGAATCACAGATCTAAATGTAAACCTACAATTTTAACACTTCTATAAATAAATATAGAACAAAATCTTTGTGATTTTTGGTTTAGCAAAGGTTTCTTAGATACAACATCAAAAGCATGACCCATAAAATAAAATAATTTTTAAATCAATAAACTCGACTTTATCAAAATTCAAACTTCTGCTCTTCAAAGACATGTAAGAGAATTTTAAAAAGCCACAAACCACAAGAAAATATTTGCAAATCACATCTGATAACTTTCATCCAGAATCTCAAAACTCAGTGTCAAAAAAACAACAAAATAATTTAAGAATACTTCACCAAAGAAGATATAAGGATGGCAAAAAAGATGCTCAAAATCATTTATCATTAGAGAAATACAATTCCAGTTACACAACATCCTGGAAAATACAAAACTGTAGAGACAGAAAACATACCACTGGTTGCCAGAAGCTTGGGGTCAGGTAAGGGGCTGACTATAAAGTGACAAGGGAATTTTTTGGATGGATGGAACTGCTCTCTCTGCATTTTAATTGTGTGGGAGTTACACAACTGCATGTTTGTCAAAATTCACAAAATGTACTCTATGAAACGTGAAGTTTGCCATATATAATCTTAAGTTTTTTAATGAAAAAAATGACATCTCTTTAAAATTCCTGCTAAAATACAGCTGACAGCACTGACCCTTTAATTTCTGATTCTTGGCTTTAAAATATGCCTGTCTAGTAGCCAGGAAATAATCAGTATAGCCTTAATGAAGTTATCTGTAAGACTGACGGTTTCTTTCTTAAATCTTGAGGCCATAGTCTTTCCCAATTTAATTCTGCAGTCATTACTTAAAACTTCATTGACTTACTCAACTTTGCACGCGTTAACGATGAGAAACTTGGTCTCCTTTGACTGTCAACTCTATCATCTCTTCCATATATAACCGAACTACACAATCCTTTGCACTGCACTCGGGTAGATACAGAAAACTATATTTTTAATTTGAACGGTTTTATTTTGAACTACAGAGGAAAAGAGGGCTCCGAGAATGCCAAGGTAATCTGGCAATTCCAAATAACATTACGAACATCAATATGTAAGAATTTTTTCTAAAATACATTTTTTTCTAGACTTTCTCACTCAAAACCTTAGATTCACCAGAGCATACAATATATAAACTAGGCTTACCTTGCATTTAAGATTTTCCATGATTTGGTGTCAATCTACAATTTCAATAATACTTCTATCATTCTCAGACACAAAGTCTCCATTCTGGGCAGGATGGCCTCATTGTCTGCTCCTTCCAACTTCTGAAATGCCCTCCTTGATAATGTCTAACGCCCTCCTAAATGAGTTGTGTTTAAACTGAGACATCTCATTGTTGTTATATCACTCTCATTATATACTCCTTTATATTCTTATTCAACTGTTTCATTTATGAATGCCATCTCACACTCTACAAGTTTCTTGAGGGCAGATAGTATCTTTCATATGCTGCTTTTATCCCTGGGAATACAATAAATATTCACAGAAAAATTAATGTAAGAACTGATTTTAAATTACTTTAGATCTTATACTAATTTTAAATTAATTCAATAACTTCCTGGAAGTTTATTTTGTACTTTGAGAAACGGAGGCAACGGGCACTAGAATTTGTTCCCTGAGATCTCAGCCCAATTCATCTTCGTATCTCCAGAGCTGAATACAATGCCCGACACATGAAAAACATTAAAACACTTAAATAGTTAACTAAATTTCACTTTCTAAGGCCACAGAGTAAGAAATGGAATCCTGAAGTTCTAGTCCAATTCTCCCAAGATTGTATTAGTACTTTGAAATGTTCTCTAATTTCTCATATTTGTTCACATATTCTCCCTGAATATACTACAAGTATAGCAAACATAAAAGTTGTTCTATCTCCTCTTTTTAAAGCTCAAAAAGCAACCATTACAGTATTGAGTGCAGGCATAGCAGGTGGGCAATATTCCTATCAGATTTCTTAAAAAGCAACATACACGCAGCTCACAGACACTTCTCTGCCCCATGTAAAAACACGTTAGATACTCTTCCTATTGGGAAGATTTATTTTTCATCATCTTTGGCACAAGTTCTAGAATGCTATCTGCCAGGCCCCATGCCCCAATAAATATGCATCCACAAGCAATTATGGAGATAGATAGCTTATGGGGAGGGGGCACTATTTGGTCAGGTCCCAATGCTAACCTGTGGTTAGGGGGAAAAAAGAGTAGGGGGAGGGGTGTGGCCCTGTGATTAATCACTGCCCACTCTGCTTAGGGGTATTTATCACAGCCCGCTGTCAGGTAAATCACTGGAAAAACACCTCTTCAGTAATTAATGCGAAGTGACGGATGGACAGCCCCTGGGCCCATTAATCAGGAACATCAGCAGCCTACTGAGATTATGAATGTCAGGATGCATAAACTGCCGGTGGATCAATAGGCCCAGGAATTCATCCAAGGCTCTCATTTCCGAAGCATCTCCGGTACATTAGGCTCCCTCTACCCCTCCCCCAGTCTGAAGTGAAAAGCAAGGTTT